>NC_000006.12:45817575-46120606 GCF_000001405.40 Homo sapiens | reverse complement strand
TTCTCTCAACTTGTCAAAGTTATTCTCCGTCCAGCTTTGGTCCATTGCTGTTGAGGAGCTGCATTCCTTTGGAGGAGGAGAGGCACTCTGATTTTTAGAATTTTCAGTTTTTCTGTTCTGTTTTTTCCCCATCTTTGTGGCTTTATCTACCTTTGGTCTTTGATGATGGTGACGTACAGATGGGGTTTTGGTGTGGATGTCCTTTCTGTTTGTTAGTTTTCCCTTTAACAGTCAGGACCCTCAGCTGCAGGTATGTTGGAGTTTGCTGGAGGTCCACTCCAGACCCTGTTTGCCTGGGTATCAGCAGTGGAGGCTGCAGAACAGCGAATATTGCTGAACAGCAAATGTTGCTGTCTGATCGTTCCTCTGGCGGTTTCATCTCAGAGGAGTACCCGGCCGTGTGAGGTGTCAGTCTGCCCCTACTGGTGGGTGCCTCCCTGATAGCCTACTCAGGCATCAGGGAACCACTTGAGGAGGCAGTCTGTCCATTCTCAGATCTCAAACTGCATGCTGGGAGAACCACTACTCTCTTCAAAGCTGTTAGACAGGGACATTTAAGTCTGCAGAGGTTTTTGCTGCCTTTTGTTTGGCTATGCCCTGCCCCCAGAGGTGGAGTCTACAGAGGCAGGCAGGCCTCCTTGAGCTGCGGTGGGCTCCACCCAGTTCCAGCTTCCTGGCTGCTTTGTTTACCTACTCAAGCCTCACAGTGGTGGGCACCCCTCCCCCACCCTCGCTGCTGCCTTGCAGTTCCATCTCAGACTGCTGTGCTAGCAATGAGTGAGGCTCTGTGGGCGTGGGACCCTCCAAGCCAGGTGCAGGATATAATCTCCTCTTGTGCCGTTTGCTAAGACCATTAGAAAAGTGCAGTATTAGGGTGGGAGTGACCCGATTTTCAAGGTGCAGTCTGTCACAGCCTTGCTTGGCTATGAAAGGGAATTCCCTGACCCCTTGTACTTCCCTGATGAGGCGATGCCTCGCCCTGCTTCAGCTCATGCTCGGTGCACTGCACCCACTGTCCTGCACCCACTGTCCGACAAGCCTCAGTGAGATGAACCCGGTACCTCAGTTGGAAATGCAGAAATCACCCATCTTCTGCGTCGCTCACGCTGGGAGCTGTAGACTGGAGCTGTTCCTATTTGGTCATGTTGGAACCGCCAACCAGTCTGCTTAAACTACTTTTAATTGGTTTTCTACTACTTGTATCTAAATAAGGGCTAAGAAGAGGGACCATGTGTTTGCACTATACTATCAAGTGAGGTAATTGCTATAAAAGAGTCCCAAAAGGAGAAGAGGTTAAATCAGGCAGAGGTTAAATTCAGCTGCAAGAAGTCAGGAAATGGATTCAGGATGAGCTGGTGTTTGATTAATTCTTGCAGATTAGCATGGTGTAAGTAGTTTCCTATGACTGCTCTACCACAAACTTAGTGGCTTGACCAACACAAATTTTTTACTTCCAGTTCTGGAGGTCAGAAGCTGAGAATGGGTCAGCAGGGCTACATTCCTTCTGGATTTCTTGAAGAGAATTCATTTTGTTGCCTTTTCCAGCCTCTAGAGGCCACCTATATTCCTCGACTTGTGGCCTCATACTCTTATCTGCAAAGCATCTTCTAATCTCTCCCTCTCTGATTCTGACTCACCTGCCTCCTTTTTCCCTGATAAGGATTCCACATCGTGATTACACATTGGGCCTACCTAGATGATGCAAGATAATATCTCCCCTTCTCAAGACCCTTACTTAATTATGCCTGGTAGGTCCCCTTTATCACGTAAGGTAACTTGTACAATCTGGGGATTAGGATGTAGACATCTTTGGGTGACTATTAATGTCTGGCTGAGGCAATAGCATTGACAAAGGCACCAAGATAAGAGAAGTATGTTAGTTCTTGAAAATAATTTAATTTTCCTGGAAAATATTTGAGAGATCATTGGGATTGAGGCTGGAAAGTTTGGTTAAAATCATATTATCTTGTAGACAGGGAAGGAATCATACTTCATTTAGTACTTAATGAGGTGCAAAGCACTATACTTTTTGTATTGTAGAAAAAGGGATGACTAAAACATTATCTCTACCCTCAAAAAGTTTACAGTGTAGTAGGGAGAAAGGCGTCTATATGTAAAGTGCCCAGGATAGTCCTAGTTTATGCCTGTTGTGCCCCATAAATATTCATTGTGCCCCCTTTCACCTTCAAAATATCTTGGTCTGGATGATGAAATATGTCATCACCCTACCTAAATGGCATCATCATCAATATTTATTGAATATTACCATGTAGGAGCCCTGTGTTAGACCCTGGGAGAAAGCAAAAGATAGAGGCAACTTTTCTGGGCTCAAGGTGTTTACCATTTAGTTTCAGAGTTCAAAGATGTTTATAACATGATAAGATAACAAATAATATTTGGTCAACAAAGCAGCAGCATAAATGCTAAGCAAGAGAAACAGAAAATAGGTGCTACAGACAGCAAGAGCTGTAAGAAGAAGAGAGACATCCCTGCAGCCTGGGTGAGCTGGGCAGGCTGTGGCCAGTGAGATGCACAGTTGGCACTGGAGCTTCAAATGTAGGCAGGCTTGTGGAAATAGAGATGCACAGGAGGCACCCAGGCAAGGGCATAGACCACTTGTGATGTGTCAATAGAGTTGGAGAAAATTGTCACTGTCTTGTGTTTCAGTATTTCACTGAATCCAGAATACACCCTTTGTTAAGAAATCCTATTATTTTATATACCACTAAAAAAATTGTTGCTAATCAGCTTTAAGAAACATTCTGATTTCAGAGACATTAAAATGTGAAAAAAAATCTATTTTAGAATCAGTGAAATAAGATAATATTTCTTCTCAAATTTAAAGATTCTTGCTAAAGTGGCTCACCTCTGGACTTAATTTCTTTCAATTTTTTAAAATTGTTATTTGTTGTTTCTAATCATTGGTCATCCTATAGCTTTCCCCCAAGGATATTTATATCTCAAACTATGGTACTACAAAAATGTATGTAGAATTTAATAAACATTCTTCCTAATAGTGTGATTAAAAGAATTCTTTTTATTCACAAACCCTCCCTTGGATCCTACTTGAAATCTCCAGAACTAGTATAGCCCACTTAAGATATTAAAAGAGCTATACATTTTAATTGGGTTGAGTCCAGATAGAGTAATATATTAGTTAACCAACACATTTGCATGTATTAGTTTACTGTTTCCCAAACCTGCTGAATTACAGAATCACTTGTGGCTTTTGTTAAAAATGTCCCAAGCCCCTCCTTTGAAGATTTGGATCTAGTAAATCTTATGTGGTGTCTGAGGACTTCTATTTCTCACAGGCACTGGGTGTCTCATGATCAGGCATGTTTGGGAAGTATCAGATTAGGTAGTAAGGGGTAACCTGGTATCCTGGTGTGTTACATGGTGGAGTACAGCTGACAGGACACCATGGGGACACTTGCATGAAGGGGAGAAGCTATTGCATGAAACATGGGGCTCTGTGCACTAGGTAGAGAAGAGCCTCAGATTGGCCAGGGACAATTTGAGGTCACTAAATGCTTAAGTAAGGAAAGGAAGTCTGGAATAATAATTGAACTTTGAATGTGTTGAGTGCTTTGCAGCCTACAAAATGCTTTTACATTAGAGTCTTACTTGGTTTTCACAACTGGTCTGTAAATAAGCATGCCCTTTATATCCATGTTATTTCTAAATCACAGAGGTTAAGGTGTTCACCTAGGGTTCTATGGGAAGTGTCAGGACTGAGCCCTGCAGTGGATGCAGGAGCAGTGGATGAAGGGAGCCCTTCTCTTCTGATGCCATCAGCTGCTGACTTCACCACACATCTGACCTAGATGGTCAACAATTTTGTCCACCCTTTAAGCAACCAGGCACCTACTGAATGAACAAAGAGGATATGGACAATATCCCGCAAGTGCTAGAAAATTTAAGTTCTGCTAAATTGGATATTACATACATTCCCCCAGAGCTTGGCCTTACCCTATTGTTCAAATTGAGGTAAATTTTTCTGGTCATAATGATAGTAATCCCCAACACTTAACATGTGTCAGATACTGTGCTGAGTACTTGCTTTAAAGCTTCTCATTCATTCGACAGTAACCCCAAGAGATATGTACTTAACAGGGCCCTTTTTGCAGATGAGGAAATGAAAGCTCAAATAGCTCGAGACATTGGCCCATGATTGTTCTGCTGGTGAGTAGCAGAGTGAATACTCAAATTCAGGTCTGGTAGGTTCTAGGAATTGTGCTACATAACTTTTACCATCCCCCCAACTTTGACAGCCCATATTCACCAATGCACAGGCCAGCCTTGAGGCTTGAAACTGGAATTAACCGATCAAGGCACAAACTAAAAATCAGAAAAAAACAAATACATCTAGTGTCAAATTCTCTCCAAAGCTGCTTCCAGACTCTGTGGTCTTGCTAATGGTTATACCCTAAAGGCGTCAAATTCTCTCCAAAGCTGCTTCCAGACTCTGTGGTCTTGCTAATGGTTATACCCTAAAGACTTGATAATGATTCTATCATTATCATTCTGGTAATGGCTATACCAATGGGGTCAGGGCCCCACTCTCACATGTTCTAACAATATAGGTAATTTATAGAGGAGGATAAAAAATAGCATGAGTTTTTATAATTATATCCAAAATTTCCAGGTAATTTTACATTTGACTTGAACTTCCTTGAACTTTTTAAGGCCAGCTTCCATCCCTGAAGATACCGGTTCCCTCTTTTATGTCATGTGAAAAACTGGCTGGGCCCTGCCCTATTTCTGACCTGGCATAAATGCCATCTGATTTACTTAACCTAAGGCACCTGGGTGTAACTGGTTTTGTTAGACACATGTAAATATCTTTCCTGCAGATTACAGAAACCCAAGCATTATAATCTCTTTTGACATTCATTAAAAATAAAGGGTCTACTTGTTTCAGTGACATAATTTTTCAGAGATAAACAGAGGCTGCTTCTGTTGAAGTCACCTTTTGTAGAAGGTGAACAAAATTGGTTAACAGTACTGTAATTGTGTTAGTGCATTCTGAAGGTAAAAACATACAAACAAAATGGAAAGTTTTAATTAGTGTAACTCTTTATAGTAAAACCCAAAAGCTGAAAAAAGGGAAAAAATTATTATTATGACATTATAGGACTAGAGGAAGCACAGTTTGGAGCAGCTTATCTATGTTGCCTGCTCACACCCAGGATGTGTCCTACCAGATTCTGCAGACCCAGAAACAGATTAGGGAGCAAGAAATTTGGTAAATTAATATATTTGGTGAGATGGGAAAGTCAGAATCTATGCTCAGCCACAAGGTGTGGCCTCAGTGAAAATGGAGGTGGATTTCTGACCTCTTTTCTAGGAGCTAGTAGAGTACTGGCTTCTCACTGTTCCTGTTTGGATGATAGTGGTGTCATTGCTGACTGCCCATAAATAACCTCTAGGCCCAATTCCTCAAATTACTCTTAGCATCATGGTTTCCAACTATCCTCCTAAGCTCTCAACCAGAGGTCCAGAATCTCTCCAGGGTCACCTACTATGGTCCGGTCTCCAGGGATTCAATGGAGTTGCTAAGCTACTACTCAAATCCCCTGTCTTCTCCTTTTCTCTCCACATAACTCATCGTCAGTGCTTAGATATCCTTGTGTCAATGAGCTGTCTTGTTATCATCCCTGGATTTTTGCCCTGGTCACCCACTGGTTCATAGAATCTCCTAGCCACCCATGACCTCCATATCACTCTCCCAAGTCCCCCATATGCTCAGCAACCTCTTTCAGCTGCTTCTGTAGCCCTCAGACACATGCAGGACCTCTCAGAGATTTATACAAGTTGTCCATCTGTGTTAGTTTGCTAGGACTGCCATAACAAAGTACCAGAGACTGGGAGGCTTTAAACAATAGCAATTTATTTTCTCATAATTCTGAAGGGTTGAAGAACTGTTAGAATAGGCAGATTGATGCAAGCAGGCAGGAGGACCCCTTGAAAAAAGGGAGGTCTGGAAAATCTCACATGCCAGAGACCACCTGAAACACACATGCTACACAGGATCAGAGAGGAGGGCAAGTACCTATACAGGAAGGAACTCCCATTAAGATGCCCAGTAAGAGTATGCTCTGCAGTTAACCTGACAGAATGTAGCTAGATACATGCTGATAAGGAGGAAAGAGGGCAAAAGAGAAATTCCTAAGAGATACTCAGGTGCAATAAGTATAGGTTTGACTGCTATCCCATCTTCTGGGGGTGACGGTAATGAGCAGTGCTGCCAATAGGTAAAATTTGCAGCCAACACTGGGCTGCGCATGCACATCAACTGACAGTAAAGGAGAATCCCACAACCCTGGTATGGGAACTAGGTGGGGGAAAGGCAGGGACTTAAGGCAATAGCGGACAAACTAGACAAAGAAAAAAGGTAGAGACTTAAAGCAGAGCTGGGAACTTCAAGAAAGGGTTCCACATAATAAAAACTGCAATGTAGAGCTCTTGGGGCTGCTGGCCTACTCACTCTTTCAGGAGCCCATTCTGCCTCATCTTTCAGAGTGTAATGTCTCTTTAAATAAACTCTCTCCTCTCCATTTCCCTTCAATAAAGCTCTCTGCTATCTTTGAACTGTTTCTTCGCTGAAATCTTTCTCCCAAAATGACTAAGGACTGAAGATTCCCCCCACTTTCTGGTAACAGAACAATATCAAGGTATCAGCAGAGTGGGTTTCCTCTGAGGGACACTCTCCTTGGCTTATGGATGGCCATCTTCTCTCCATCTTCATGTGGTTTACCCCACTGTGCATGTTTATGTCCTCATCTCTTTTGATAAGGACGTTGGTCAGATTGGGGCCAACCTCTGTGGCCTCATTTTAAATTGATTACCTCTTTAAAGGCCCTGTCTCCAAATGCAGTCATATTCTGAGGTACTAGGGGTGAGGACTTCAATATATGAACTTTAAGGGGGCAGGGACACACAATTCAGCCCATACCATCTAATTAAAGAAGTGTCTGGTCCCCTTGCCAGCATGACTCACCTGTTTGCAGATTTGACCCACCTGCTGGTAAGTGTGCCACACCTGCTGGCCGGTGTCATATAACTGCTCACATCACTTACCTGCCTACTGACAGAACCTGCCTACTTGCTGGGCTGTAAGAAACCCCTGACTTCCTAATAGCCACAGCCTGATTCCTGACATCACCTGTTTGCAAAGCTGCCCCACAACTTGTTTCTTACCTCCTCCAGCAATGCCTCAGGCCACCCCCCTTCTTCCCGAACCCTACTCTACTCACCTTCTAGCTGTTTCTTTCCTTCCCACTTCTTACTCTCTAGTCTTCACTCAGCAGCCAGTTGGAGCTTTTGAGTTAGAAAATCATTTCCTGTGGCTCATTTGCTCAGACACTACAAATGTTCTCTCATATTCAGAATTAATCCAGTGTCCTTACTGTGGCTGATGGTGCCTCACAGGATCTGACCCCTGAGTAGTTGCGTATTTCCCAGACCTCAGTTCCCTCCAACTCACAATCTCATATACATCATCCTTAACAACCTGGCCTGGCCTACTACTTATTCTTTTTGTTTTTTGAGACAGATTCTCGCTCTGTCACCCAGGCTGGAATGCAGTGGCATCATCTCAGCTTATTGCAACCTCCACCTCCTGGGTTCAAGTGATTCTCCTGCCTAGCCTCCTGAGTAGCTGGGACTACAGGTGCCTGCCACCACACTCGGCTAATTTTTATATTTTAAGTAGAGATGGGGTTTCACCATGTTGGCCAGGCTGTTCTCAAACTCCTGACCTCAGGTGATCTGCCCATCTTGGTCTCCCAAAGTTCTAGAATTACAGGCATCAGCCACAGCGCCCAGCCTGCTTGTTCTTATTTCTTCTTCTCAGAGACCTTGATAAGCTCATTTATGCCTCAGAACCTTTGCTGCATCCCCACTGCCTAAACCACCCTCCACACAAAGCTTTGAATTTCTCATCCCCATATTCATTAAATCTCTGCAAGAGAAACTGTGTTTACTAATAAGTGTATACAATTGCTAATAACCCACAAAAGTCAGATTAATTGGAGAAAAGGCATACAAATTTATTAACATGCACGTGGGGGGCAAACCACAGAGTGATTACCCCCCCAAAGGCATTCAGAAGCCGATACACCATCTTGAAGATGCAGAAAGAATGGGGACTTGGATTGCGGCAAAACAGATTATGGTGGTAAAACAGGTTATGAAAGGGGGAAAAGATGGGAGTAGCTAGCAAAGGTGGTCTTGTTATATAATAAAACTCACAGGTGAAAGCTCTTAGAGAAAATAGATGGTAAATGTTTCTTTTAGACCTTTTAAGATAATCAGACTCTCAGGTAATTTTTTCTAGGTCCAGACAGGGGAAGGCCTCAGAGAAAAGCTGGCTGCATCTATGCAGATTATCTACTGATACAAATGCCGCCCACCAAAGACAGCTTTGCAGGGTTACTTCTGTTTGTTGGCTTTCTGACCAACCATCTCAAAATATGTCAAATAAGTATATTTTAGGATGAAATATTTTAGGGAGATTTCCTTCAGTCCTTATGTATTCGTCTGTTTTCACACTGCTGATAAAGACATACTTGAGACTGGTTAATTTATAAAGAAAAAGAGGTTTTATTGACCCACAATTCCACGTGGCTGGGGAGGCCTCACAATCATGGTGGAAGGTGAAAGTTTATATCTTACATAGTGGCAGACAAGAGAGAACTTGTGCAGGGAAACTTCTCTTTATAAAACCATCAGATCTCATGAGACTTATTCACTATCATGAGAACAGCACAGGAAAGACCCACCCCCATGATTCGATCACTTCCCACCAGGTCCCTCTCATGACACATGGGAATTGTGGGAGCTACAATTCAAGATGAGATTTGGGTGGGGACACAGCCAAACCATATCACCTTACTTTGAAACTTTAAAATGTTTTGTATATAGTTGATAACTTTGGAGAGATTTGGGTTAAATGTTGTTAGATAGAGAGGAAAAGGAAGGGAAAAGAAAACAAATGGTGATAAGCAAAAAAGACTAAATTTAAACATATCCCATATCTTCTTGAATCAACCTGTTAGACCTGAGAATAGATCAGGTCAATTGAATAGCTGTGTCCCATTTCAGGAGGTGGCATTGCAAATGGGCTAGGCCTCTATATATGGCAAACATCTTTAGTAAGAGGTATTTCTAAGGAAATAGAAGAAAAACAAAAGTGAATGTCTGAAGCAGTCTACACACTGGTTTTTCTAGAGGCTCTAAAGCATCTTCAGATGGCAGGGGCTATCTGACAGATTTTTTCTGCATTTGTAGTTTGAATTAGGTGTTTAAGTGAGCTTTCTGAGTAGTCCATACATCATCAGGCATGAAGGCTGTTTATAAGTTGCTGTGGTGATTTCTTCTAGAGTTTAATTCAAGTTGTCTGTTTCCAAAAAAAAAAAAAAGGACAGGTTTGATTTCTAGTGATTCCAAGTGAGAGAAATAGAAGAAAAATGTGAAAACATTAGTTTGGAGACTTGTAACAAGGAAAGAATTAAGGGTTCAGCCCAAATTGTAGGAAATTGTAAAAACTAAAAAACTACCAACAAGGCTACAATCGAATAACAAGTGTACTGTAATTTTCTTCTCAAACATAATTTTTTCTCTCCCCAGTTCCCCATTTCTACCAAGCGTAAGGAATAGTAGGACCAATTTATTTGCAAAATAAGTTTTAGTTTTATTGTATTTGGCTTCATTATTTGCATAAAATGCAGCAAACACAGTGATTGACTATGTAGGTTTTTAAGTTGGCTTTGCTGGAGAAAATCATGAAGAATCTAAGACTAGACTTTTAAAAGGCTTGAGGCTAGAAAATCAAGCCAAGAGTTTGCCAACAGACTGTGCTTGTAATATCCACATGAATTGGGTAAATTCTTTTATTCTTGAGGTCCCACAAGATCTTGAAGTTCCTGGTCCTATCAGAAAGTGACATTCTTTACCTACCTACCTACCTCTTATAAGGTCAAAGAAACCTTATAAGAGAACCATGTAGACAAGGTACCATATCAGTCTTTCCAATCTCAAAGCAGTCTGGTCATACCTGAAAATATGCCCTTCCAGTAAAAAACTTGGAAAAATAACCAGTGTCTCTAATCACATTCTGTTACAAAAGAAAACAGATTCTTATTGAAATTATGCAAGTAACTATGTTGCCATAAATTAAAAATACTCACAAATAGTTTCCTGTTGGGGTGATCAGACCCAACACCAGGTCGTGGGGGTGACAAAGTCCGGTGGAGTAAAAGGATTGAGAAAAAGACAGTTTGAGAGAGAAAGGTGGGACACCAGGGGAGCCATCACAATCATGGAGGCTACGAAGGCCCTGAGCTCTGGGAGCCCACGCTATTTATTGGTAATCCAACAAAGAAACAGGTGGTGAGAATGTGGAGGACAAAAGGTCAGGCGTATGATCTACAGCTGTGATGGTTTAGCATTTATATGGAACATGTTCTGCTACTTGAGGTAACGGAGAGCAGGTTCTTTTAACTCAAGATACAGTCGATCCTGGGAGAGCAAGGAGCAAGGAGCCAGCAAGTCTAGACCCGTTCCAGAGCCACAAGCCCTGGATTCTATCCAAGCCACGAGGGATTTTATGCCCTGGGCTTAGATTATGGTGGGTGAGGGTAGCCTTCCACCCTTTAGCACAGAATTTGGTATTCCAAAGGCCACAAGGGGTTTTAGACCCTGGACCCCAGACATGTTCCAAGACTCTTTTACATTATGTCAGACATGCAAGCCCTGCCTCAGCTTCTCCCAACGCTCAGCTTTTCCCAACAGTTTCCAAATTCTGGAGAAATCAGGTAAAGAGTAAGATAAACATTTCAACTTTGCTCACAAAAGTATACTTTACCCTATTGTTGTAAGCTACAAATAGCTCAAAAGAAAAAGTTTTCTTGACTCTGGAAAACTAAACATAAAAAGAATCAGCAATGTTTCAAACAAAGTTATAAAAAATTATTTCAGTCCTCTATTCATTCCCATGTAATTCATACTTGCTTTGATTGCTGTTGAGTTAGCAATCCTCATGAACGCATCAGCTTTTTTTTTTTTTTTTTTTTTTTTTTTTTTTTTTTAGTGGAGACTGTTTCACCATTTTGGCCAGGATGGTCTCGATCTCTTGACCTCATGATGCACCCGCCTCGGCCTCCCAAAGTGCTGGGATTATAGGCGTAAGCCACCGCACCAGGCAGAACACATCAGCTTTTTAATTAGAGTCCTGGAAGTTTTTAATCTAGTCCAATGTTATGGAATAGATTAAACTGTTATCTCCAAAGTTACCAGAAACCTGTATTCAAGAGTGTTAAATACTGGTCAGGATGCTTTCCAAAAATTTCCTTGAAGAAGAAGGAAATTTGGGACTATAGCCAATTATAAACCATTCTTCGAGAAAAAGTAAAAGAATAATTGTCTATGGGTGACAAAATACTTAGAAATATCTATAAAGACACAATTAATAAGAAAAGTTGGTTATTCCAGTGGCATACAACAATTTAATGTAATAATCATAATTATTACTGATGACATATCCTAAGACATGTAAGAATTTAGGGAATCTATATAACCTTGGGGCACATTAATAACGTATTTATACAAGTTAAACACCATTTCTTATTTGACAATGCTTGCCATATCACTTTAACATACTAAATTAGCCTAATAAGTCTCTCTTGGACTTTCAGGATCCCTAATATACAAAAAGTTAATTTTAGGCCAAAGATCAAATTTGGAATTTGAAATATGATTTTGGAAAGTGCTCAAAATGGGAACACAAGTCACTGAAAAAAAACATTCATTCAATTAGCCAAAGTGATAATTCAAAGCTTTCAAAAGGCAAAAATCATATAGAGTGACAGGAGACTCAGCTTTTCAAACAATTAAAAGACCTGATAGGCAAGGTGTGGTGGCTCACACCTGTAATCTCAGCACTTTGGGAGGTCAAGGCTGGTAGATCACCTTAGTCAGGAGTACAAGACAAGCCTGGCCAACATGGTGAAACCCTGTCTCTACTAAAAATACAAAAAAATCAGCCAAGTGTGGTGGTGGGCACCTGTAATCTCAGCTACTTGGGAGGCTGAGGCAGGAGAATCGCTTGAACCCAGGAGGTGGAGGTTGCAGTGAGCCAAGACCGCACCATTGCACTCCAGCCTGGGCAACAAGAATGAAACTCCATCTCTCTCTCTCTCTCACACACACACACACACACACACACACACACACAAAGACCCGATAAAGAGGCAAACAAAATCTCTCTCTTCCCTTTTTTTTTGCAGTTTATATAAAATGTAAACAAAAAATGTTTTACTATCTCTTATGAATATTACACAAAAATCATGTTCTAAAAAGAAAGTCAAATTTCACTTTTGCATCAGTGTATTATTAATGCTAACAATAATTTTAATAAAACCTTATAAGCAGATTCATGCAATCTCAATCAGCTTTGACCACACACAATAATATTTCCATAAACCCTTTTTAACGTCTTATAATTTTCCCCATTTTCTTTCTTTCCAACTTTCTGTATCCATTGAGGTTTTTTTTTTTTTTTTTTTTTTTTGATGGAGTTTTGCTCTTGTTGCCCTGGCTGGAGTGCAATGGCGTGATCTCTGTTCACTGCAACCCCAGCCTCCTGGGTTCAAGCAATTCTCCTGCCTCAGCCTCCGAGTGGCTAGGATTACAGGCATGCGCCACCACGCTTGGCTAATTTTGTATTTTTAGTAGAGACAGGGTTTTGCCATATTGGCCAGACAGGTCTTGAACTCCCAACCTCAGGTGATCCACCCACCTTGACCTCCCAAAGTGCTGGGATTACAGGCGTGAGCCAATGCACCCAGCCCCATTAAGTTTTATCTATTATTATTTTTATTCCTTCAATTTAAGACAACTTTTAAAATCCTCTAAACTAACCAAAATTACTTTTCCTTTAACGAAACCCACATTTTCCTGCCTCCTTATATAACCTTTTTTAAACCGAAAATACTTCCTACTTTTCTTATGTACTTTGTATACAGAACTGTTTATTTTATTAATATATCTAGCAATTTTAATTACACATATTAATCACAATGTTATCTTTTATTTTGGTAACCTTATTTTGTGAAAACCCTAGGAAATAAGCAATTTTAATTATGTACCAGATGCAGATCTTGGGACAAGGGACAGGGATGTGAAGACTATGCCTGGAGGATCCAACTCCTCCTAGCAAGGCCGGAAGGCACAACTGAGCCAGGGAGAAAGGGATTAGGCCCTGTTCCCAGGCCTCACCGTGGTCACTTGCCTAGACCTCAAAATCTAAAGGCTGAAATCCAAAAACATAAACTCACAGATTAAAAATGTCAGAGAAGCAACAGTTTTATCACTTTAAAACATCTATTAGAGACAGTATACACCTGTCTGACCAATAGAACCAGGCAAAAAAAAAAGTCTAAATTAAATTCTGAAGACATTTATATTTTACCAATAACTTTTAAAATCACTTTATTTATGAAAGATTACTAAAATCATGTAAATTTGATAAACTTTTGGGCTAGTTATTTATGAGCACTCATTTATTTATAAATTAAGTTGGGACAATATATAAACATAGATGTGTACCCACGTATATATAAAAATACAAACATAAAAAAAGACTTTATAGCTTTGACTTTAAAATTTTAGTCATGAGACCATTAAAACTCACTAGTTTAAAAGGCATTTGGATTCAAACTGTACCTTTGTAAATGCAAAAGGATAAAGTTTATCTTTCTCACATAGGTAAAGCCCTCACTGAGTTTTAGATTAAACGTGGTAGCAAATTTACATCTCAAAGCACAGAGAAAGAGGATTTAGCTTTTTCGAGGAGTTTGGGTGTGTTAGAGGAAGATTAAAAATAAATGCCAAGGTAACATAAAATCATAGGATTTCATAAGGAAACATGCAGATGGGCCTAGAGGAAATTTAGAAACCTTTTCAAAATAACCAGCTAAACACCAGAAAGTCATATTTTGGAGACCAATCTATTTGAATAGGTGGCTTTTAAATTTTGTCTTCATTCTTCAACTGGACCACTGACCTCAGGGCAAAGCTCATTAACAAATTGGGCCCCAAAAAAGCATTGCAGGTTTTATGGGGGACCTAATATTTAAATATGTGAAAAGCAGGCACAGCTGGAAAGTATATCTAGATCTTTAAAAATCAAGGATTCTGGCCTGGCATAGTGACTCATGCCTATAATCCCAGCACTTTGGGAGGCTGAGGCAGGTGGATCACAAGGTCAAGAGATTGAGACCATCCTGGCCAACATGGTGAAACCCTGTCTCTACTAAAAATACAAAAATTAGCTGGGCATGGTGGCACGCTCCTGTAGGCCCAGCTATTCAGGAGGCTGAGGTAGGAACCTCAATCACTTGAACCTGGGAGGCAGAGGTTGCAGTGAGCCGAGATCACACCACTGCACTCCAGCATGGTGACAGAGCGAAACTCTGTTCCACTTTTCCATTGAATTCCAGGTGCCAAAAAATAGACACACATCTTGAGATGAGGGCTAGGCAGACAGTTCTTGTTACAAAGACATTGCCCCTAAGCTGGTGGGCAACCCAGAATCATTTGACCCACTTTGACAAGCTCATCTCCCATGAGAGTCTCATCCCTCTGTGGTGAGCACTCTCATAGACTCCAAGTGTTCAAACTGCACCTTTCTCATCTAAACACAAAGAAATACATAGCCGCCTGTAGTGACAACCATTTATTGCAATCACTGTCAGAACTTCCCAAACTGTAGTTCTTGCCAGTGACCCACCAGCCATTGCACACATAAAGGTCAAGTTCTCTCTTAGAGTACAAAGTAATTCTTGGCATCCCCAAGGCCAAAGAGATCAGGTAACAGAATGTAAAATAGAGCAGAGCTTTAGATCTGAGAGAACCTGCCTGTGACTCCTGAAACTCCACAAGGAAAACAGAAGACTTCAAAAGGGGGTGAGTGGCACCTTTTTCTGAGTTTCTTAAGGGGCCTGAGTCACTAGCACTCCCTTCTAGATCTTTTCATGTGGTATCAAAGACAGTAAAGAGAAAGACAGCATAGGGAGGAGAATTAAATAAAATAATTCTTGAGAAAGGAAAAGAACAGAGGAACCAAGCACATATTTAAAAGAGGTTTCAGTTGACTGAAAAAAATCTCCCCAAACGGGCCTTAAAAAGCAGGAAGGCCTTTTTAGAAAAGTATATGTGTATATATAGCTTGAATATTGGCTTTTAATGAAGCTGACTTCTGACCATGGAGATCTTTTCAAAAAAATCCTTTTAAATCTCTAACAGATTTTAACCATGACAAACAACTGATATTTCTGGCTTTTAACTTTAAAAAAAACAAAAAACAAAAAATATTCTCCCACCTCATAAGATCCAGAACCACCTCAAAGACAGCTCAAAGAAAGGAGTTTTATTAGCCACAAATGTGTTACAACCCACATCTGTCCGGCTGCATTCTCTTAAGGTCTCAGCGTCTCAGCTGACCATTTTCACACAAATGCCCAAAAGCCCCATATGCCCCACTCAAAAGCTGCCCATGAAAGAGAAAAGGACCAATAAATGCCTACTCCCAAAAGCCAAAAGTCACACAAACTTCAAACCAAAAGAGATTGATTCCCTGACCAGGAATCAAACCAAGGCTGCAGGAATGAAGGCATGGAATTTTAGCTGTCACACTGCAAGCTGGACTAGACTTCATTGTGAATCCTGCAAAGGGTCCAAAGCAGGCAGTTTTAATGTACAAGGGCTTTTAACTTTGTTTCAGGTCAGATTTTTGCTCTTTAATTTAGTCAAGGAAATTTCTAAGGCTAACCATGATACTATTATGTGTCTTTCTTTCAATTTGGTCTTCCTACAGGTACAAAGAAGTCAATTATTTAGAATAAGTGATCTCCAAATTTCCTTTTTTTTTTTTTTTTTAAACATAGGAGTCTTTGCCTCTTTATGGAAAGCTCAGGGTGTATTATAATTTGCCAGGCTTGGAACAAAGTGGTGTTTCCTAGAGAAGGCATAGAAGAAGCAATCCCCCAAATCCCCCTCCCCCAAAATTCATTACCAGGGACAGTCTCAGATAGCGAAACACTCTTGTTGCCATAGACTAACAAGCAACAAGGTTGAGACAACAAAAGTCCCATGGTGATGGGACTTGTTAAGACAAACTCGCCTGAGAACTTGACACGTTCAGAACAGAAACTGTGCTGGCCTCAAGTTCCCAGCCATTTTTAGAATGGTCACCTGTCATGACTTGAAGATCATGCCCCCCAGATGGTGGAGACAAAAAGAATGTGCTCTCACTTCATCACAAGTCAAGCTCTCATGGACATAAAACAAGACAAGAGGAAACCTTATCCAGTACCCATCTTTCTGACAGAACAGCACAGAAAAACAAAGGCATAGGAAAATATTATTTCTGGAAGAAAAGGGATTAAATATGAATATGCATACCAAAAAGTACACCAGAGTTGTACTTGGCTACACCCAGAAAAACAAAGGCATAGGAAAAGATGATTTCTGGAAGAAAAGGGATTCAATATGAGTACACAGAGTTGTACTTGACTACACCAAGACTAGTCACACAAGTCCTTTTCTCCTATTAATCAAAACCTTGCAGGTGAAAAAGAAACAGTGCTTTTTACCATTTGCTCCACCAGAGAGAGACAAACAGAGGCTGGGAGCCTGATGGGTAAGAATCTCTTACCCTTCTGCTGGCTTGTCAGGTCCTGGGTTCCCTTAGCTGCAGCTTCCAGAAGAGTGGAGCTTTGGAATCCTGCTCACAGCAACAAAACAGTAGGAGCCAAAGGAAAACCTCCCCTTTGCCCTCTGAAGTTTTGCTGAAAAAAATCAACTCAGATGAATTGGAGAAAAGGCATACAAATTTGTTAATGTGCACATGAAGGAAAACCACAGAGTGACTACCCCACCCTCCAATGGAGTTAAGAAATGTATGCCATCCTGAGGTTGCAGAAAGAATGGCAGCTTGGATCATGGCAAAACAGATTCTGGTGGCAAAATGCATTATGGGAGGGCAAGGAGAGGAGGCCTGGCTAGCAAAGGTGGTCTTGTTATATAAATAAAACTTCACAGGTATCAGTCCTCAGAAAGAATAGATAGTAAGACTCTCATTAATCTTTCTTAGACAAGGAAAGGCCTCAGACAAAACCTAGCTGCATCAGTGCAGATTGTCTACAGATGTAAATGTCCCCTACGAAAGGCAGCTTTGCAGGGTTACTTCTGTTTGCAGGGTCTCTGAACAGCCACCCCACCTCGAAGTATGTCAAAGAAGTATACTTTGGGGTGAAATATTTTTATTTCCTTCAGTCGCTATTTATCTTATTTTTCAAAAGCCTACAGGAAAGGTTATATATAATTTTAAGAAGCCCATTTGTTTGCTTGAAGATCTTAATTATAAGTTTTGCTGCAACTAGTTACAGGACTATAGGCAAATTAGTTAATCTCTTCAAGTCTGTATTATTTTCCTTGTAAAATGGAAACACTGCTGTTTGTTATCCTCAAAAAAAAAAGCTGAGTGAAACTCGTGTGATATGATCCAATGAGATAATACTTTGAGAAAGAATTAATCAAAGAAGAAATTTTTAAACTCATCTGGATATCCCATGCTATATTTGAATATGTGTTTATCCGCAAGGGAGAAATGGAGAGCAATATTACCAATTCTTCACGAGGCATTCTTCATTGACGTTTGTCCCAGTCTTGTGTTTCTTTCTTCTCTGATTTTTACTTTTAGTTTATGTCACCTAATCCTTTCTGGAATCAGGGGACGTTACATATAAATACATTTTAAAACAGCACTCACCCTTTGTATGCTTGAATCATGCTTTAAAAAAACAATCCAGAAATTCAACTACCCTATGAGCTCTGTGATGCGTATTTTATTAACCCTTTCTTCTATATCTGTAATTTGAAGATGGCTGGAGTCAGCTGGCAAATACAGAAGCAGGAAACATTACACTGAAGCTCAGAAAATAATATCCCCAAATGAAGGCATCAGAAATAAAAGTTCTTCTCTGACCTTCTTTCTCTCAAGGTGAGTCATAAAAACCAGAATCCCTTTTCCCCAAAGCCAGCCACAAAATCTTAGAATATTACTCTAACTTTCCCTTTGCCTTTCTGTATAAAAGTTGGACATAAAGAAATTTTCTGACCTCCCTTATTTGGCTGTAGGTCATAAGACCTCCATTCCATAGAGGGCCCTGTGCCACACCCAGAAGGAAGGAACGCTGCTCAGAGAGGCCAAGATGAGTCTAGACAGGCAGGCCCTGCTGGGGTTTCCCAACTCCATCTATTAGCATTAGATCATACCCTTATTGTCCAATCATATTTCTCCATTGCTGCTCGTACTTTGTTGAACCTAAGCAAAAATCGGACAATTTTCTGTGTATTTTTGGGTCTTCATTCAGAAGGTTCCTGTGTGTATATGTTAAATAAATTTTTATGATTTTTCTCCAATTATTCTGCCTTGTATGAAGTGATTTTTCCATGAAACTTCAGGGGCTCAAGGGCCCTGGCCCGTGAAATTAATATAACCTAGGACATAAATTTACCCTTCTATTATCTCACTCCTCATACCACCCCCACCCCCAACACACACACTTCTTTTTTTTTTCTCAATATTCTAGAATGTACCTGGAATGAGCCTAAAATATTTTTTCCCCCAGGAATGGTGTAATGTATGGAATGGTTATTTCTAGGGGTATTTAGCTTATGAATGATTAAAGAAAAAGTCAAAAAGGACTTTGGAAATTATCAAATTTAAACCTGCATTTTACATTATTAAATAAACTTCATATGAGGTTGTTGGTTTAGATTGAGCCCCTGCACTAGGTTCAACAGACCAAACCAAAATGCAGTCACTCCTGCTGAAGTTCCATGTCACCAAGCCAAAAGTAAGTTCTCTACCTGACCTTCTGAGAAATCAGGAGAGTGAGAGATAATAGCCAAATCTCCACACAAGCCAGTTTTAGCTGGCATGATAAGGAAATCCCCTCTGTTTTAACCTTTACAAGGAAAGGAGCTTGGAAATAACCAACTTGCTTTTTGTCTTTTGATTCTGCTTTTCTCAGCCCTTTTCTGTCTACAAAACCAACCTCCTCTGCTCAGTTCATCTGAACACATTCCACTTTGTAGAATGAGATGTCGCCCAATTCTAGAATCACAAATAAAAGCCAATTAAGGTCTTTAAATTTATTGTAATTTTGTCTTTGAACAACATATATGAAGTTTTAATTACCTGCTTAGTTATAGGTAGCAAATTTGAAACACTCATTCCTTTCCCAAGGACATGATGAAGTGATCAGATTATTTTATACCCCTTTGAACAGCTTTCTGAGGCATGTTTGTATAGGCTTCTTGGTTACTTTAGAAACATTCTAAGCAGCAGAGCAGTCTTACAACCTGAGTATTTTCTATCTTCGCAGATTCACGTGTCTGGATTTGTTGACTTAGTGGGTTGGCACAGGGTACATGCAGACCCCAGGTCAAATGAGTACTGAGATTTTTCTCTTCTATGAGATGTATTTCAATCCCCTGAAGTTTCCACGGGAATTCTTTATTTCATGGTGGATGAGGTCGTATGTCCTGTCCCATAACTGTCCTGCCACCATCACCTGATTTTCAACCATAACCTGTTTTTGGTCATGCTCTGAGCCCCCATTTTTTCTGTAACCTCCAGGTGGTGTTTAAGCTGCTGCACCCCATTGAGGGGTTAGTGGTAATCGCTCTGTGGTTCCCTCTGTGTGCACACGAATAAATTTGTATGCCTTTTCTCCAATTAATCCTGCCTTTTGTGAGTTGATTTTTCAGCGAAACTTCAGAGGACAAAGTGGAAGTTTTCCCTTGGCCCCTATAATTCTTTCATATTGCCTTAATTTCTTACATTATGACTATATTTATGTATTTCTTATATAATTTAAAATAAAAGGTATATGATTAACATTAGAATACAATGATGTTCATGAATGGCACCCATCCACTTGAGCCCCAGTAAATTGCTGCCCCTGTGGTCTTAGCACTAAGACCGGGGAGTGGCATTTCGGCTGGGAGGGTGTTTGCAAATCTGTAGCTAGTGTAGCTCCTGCAGCTTGTGCCAATGCGGACAGCGTCATCAGCCATCCACTGACCCCACCAAGGTGCAAGCAGCCCCAGGGCAAAGTCAGGGAGCTGCTGGATAACAAAGGGCAAATTCTATAACTTTTCCAATTCTCAGTTTTTTCATCTTTAAAATGGGAATAAAGGCAATGATAGCAGTCCCAGCTCACTCATAGAGTTTTAGTTTGTTTTTGTTTTTGTTTGTTTGTTTGTTTTTTCCTGGCAATATCCTGCTTGATATTTCCATGCATTGCAGCTCTGACCTAGTGACTGAAGACTGAAACAAGGTAAAAGGTCAAAGGCGGATGATGAATGGCTGGAGCCAAACTGGGATGAGTTAACTAACTGATACATATCATAGTGACCTAGTTCTGCCTGGCATCTTTGCAGAACTAAAACTGGGACCTAAATAGCATTGTTTCCAGGAGAAGAAAACTGGTTGGCAATTTGTCAAAATAGTAGAAGCGAGGTCTCAGCCCCGTTTTTTTTTTTTATGGCCTTATGAATTTTAAGTAACCTCAGGAAGGCATTGGAAGTTTTCCTTGAGATAGAAATCTCTCCCTCTGTCCTTTTCAAAGCCTCCATGGACAAAATACTATCAAAATGATCGTTATTCTGCCAGTCATGTTAACAAGGAAGTGTGCATTTTAATAATTTTTCATTCCTTTTCCCCAGAGAGATAGACACAGGGAATGCCAGCTCAAAGGCCAATGTATCCACACATCCACCCTTAATTAAATAGGTGGGCAAGAGTATACATTTTGCAATTTAAAAAACTATTTTACTACAGAACTAGATTCCTACTTTTTCTGGGTTTAAAGACACACATGGTCTTAGCATATGTACATACATATATAAAGTGAGTAAGGCAATCTAGAAATGTACACAAAAGAAAGTAAAATTCTTCCCCAAACTCACCACCAGGAGATACTGCAAATGACAGCTTTGTGCATGTCCATTTCTGAAAAGTATGTTTTCCTTTATATATATTTAAATTTTTTTCCAGTACAAATACATCAGGGAAGCCAATGGCTGTCTACTGTTTCACTTGCTCAGTGTATAGTAATAATAGACAAAAATACTTTTTTCTCCCTTTCAGAAAGTCCTGCTTTCAAGGGAGGTTGATTCTCTGTTACCACAGTCGGGGGCTACATTGATAGAATTATTCCACAGCATTCCTGAAAACTCGGTCTGGTAATTTTTCTGCCCTTTTCACTTCCTGCAGGTCAAACATCCTAAAGACCAACAAGAGTTTTGACATTTAGGCTCAACCCCTATTCTGGGGGAGTGCCTGTACACTTAGGATTCAGTGGGACAACCTCTCTACCTTCTTCCCTCAGTTTTGTGTGTTGATTATTACTGGCCTGACTTTTTAGCCATTTTCTGTCCCTTTCTCTAATAAGATAAAACTTGGTGTGGAACCTACCCAGTAAGTTTGGTGAAGTTTCTAACCATCTATGAAGTAGTGCCTTCTGTGCTCCCTTCTACCCCCACCCCCGCAGCCAGTGCTGGTTCCCCACACCTGGTCACTAGGCTCTGTAAGCTTCTCAGGGCCAGCCAGTTCTGCGCTGGCACCAAGCCAGTCTCAGCAAACAAAGAACAATCGGCATGTTGTTCTCAATCCAGTTCACACTTAAAACCCTCTGGGCCAGGCACAACCTCCCTCCACTGCCCTCAGACTCTTTGACTTTCTGATTGACTGGGTGGTGACACCTGGGCTGGGGAGCAAAGCAGTAAGGAGAGGCAGCAGAAAGCAATAGTTATGCTTCCGTTGCAGAAGCACCTTCCACTCCCTGTCCAGGCTGGTGAAGATCTTCCATGACATTAATCCTTGCAAAGGCTATGTTTCCTCCCCACCTCCAATAGGTAGAATAAGTGGAAGAAACGCCAACACAATACTGATTGTTTTTTCTTTATTTGATTACTCTAAGGCTGCTTTTGAAATATCAAATGTGAAGCTTTTTCTAAAAACATATTTTGTTGTCTGCCCTAAGCACATGCTTAGCCTGCCTATAATGTAAACCAGCTATGGTGGCCAGACATACACACATCAGAATTTGGGAAACTGGTAGCATTTTCATTTACTAGTAGCATTTTCACTTCAATTTCAATAACATTCAATAATAATTAATAATTTCTGCCAGTGAAATCTTACTACTGGAAATCCAAAACTGATGTTTGTTCTACTTAAATGTAAATTTCTTGACCCATCACACTTTGATAAGTATTGCTAAGAGGTGGAAGAAAAAGATACCTACAAAACTTAAGAAACTTTGCCCTCAATAGCATATTTTTTAAAGTAAAACTTTATTTTCCTTGCAGTCCCTTTGAAGATGTTTTAACTTTTAGAAATCGAAGACCTAGTTATGTGACAAATATTAAAATCACCAGGAGAGAATTTTTAATGTACCATTGCCCAGGCCTCCCTCCTGCACACTCCTCCATGCTGAGTTGCCATAGGGTGGCTGTCATCTCTATTGCTTTAAAAGCTTCCCAGGTGATTCTAATATGAAGCCAGCTTTGAGACCCAGTAAGAAGACGTGTGTACACCCCATCAGATGGTCCAGGAGAAAATAATGCAGTGACTAACTCATCAGTAGTTTCCGTCTGTCTTCCATTAACAAAAACGGTTACCATTTCAGATTAACTCAGCAAAAAAAAATATGAATTAAATTATAACAGAAGGTACTAGAGATACCGATATAGAGAATTGTAGATATGTCTAGTAAACTATGTCCATGTATGTTAAATCTTAACTATCAAGACATTTCATTAGGGTACTTGTGAATCATGTATGGCCTGGAATGGTGAAATTCAAGTCTTGGAGTATCTCTTTCATACTCTTAGCTACTCTAGTTGCCACTGGCAACCTTAGACCATGTTGATTTGTGTCCTTCAGGAGGCTTAAGCCTCTGTAAGTAACTGATGGTCCAGCATAGCCAGTATTTCCAGTCCTTTGCCACAATTGCTCTCAGTGTGTCTGAACACAGCTTTTTCCCTGCACAGGGGTTGAGCAGCAGAGATCTGCCACTGCCTCTCCAAATGTACATCAATGGCATCTATCCCAAGCTGGGGTCAGGGCTACAGATACAGGCAGTAGTATCTCCTCATTGTTGTTGTTTTTTTCTTTTAGACATTGTATTATGAAAAATTTCCAGCATACAGAAAAGTTGAAGAACACCCACATGCCTGCTACTCAGATTCTACAATAAACATTTGCTATATTTGTTTTACCTACATATCTAGTCATCCATCCATCCATTCATATTATTTTTAATGCACGTCTTATTTTTTAATGCACTGTCAACTACAGACATCAGTACTCTTCACCTCCAAACATTTCAGCAACATATCATTAACGATAGTCAAAAATTTGTTTAGAGTTCCTTTTGTTTTAAATAAAATTTATAAAGAATGAAATGTGTAATTCTTAAGTGTACTATTCTTTGAGTTTTCACAAATGCATAGACCTATGTAACCTAAAGTCCTATGAAGATGTAGAATATCCCATCCCCCTAGGAAGTTCCCTCATGGCCCTTCCAAATAATCTCTGCTTACTCTGGTTTTCAAGTAACCACTGTTTTGCCTTTTAACAAACTATAGATTTGTTTTGCCTTCTATAGCTTCATATAAAAGAAATTAAATCGTATAGTAAGTACTCTCTTGAGTCTGGTTGTTTCATTCAACATCATGCTTTTGAGATTCACCCATGTTGTTGTTGTTGTTGTGTATCAGTAATTCACACATTTTCATTAGAAGTCTTTGGTCCAACATTAATCAAGAAAGACTCAAGGCAGGACCAGAAGCAGCTTGCAGCCAGCTAGGCCACAGGAGTATGCTCTCTTGCATCTCTCATATGTTGGAGGCCAGCAGCCATGTCATAAGGACACCAAGCAGCTACATGGAGAGGACTAGGTGGCAAAAGTCTGAGGCCTTCTGCAAACAGCCATATGAGCAAGCCCTTTGGAAGAAGAGTCTGTAATCCCAGTCAAACCTTCGGATGACTGAAGTCCTATCCTACATGACTGCAACAGCAAGAGAACCTGAGCCAGTGTTCCATGGTATAGAAGTAGTAGCCAGCATTGCACGGTGTGGATATACCACAACTTATTTATCCATTTGCTAGTCAATAGACTCCTGGGATATTCTCAGTTTGTGGCATGATATGGTTTGGATCTGTTCCCTGGCCTGGATCTCATGTCAAATTGTAATCCCCAGTGTTGGGGGTGAGGGCTGGTGGGAGGTGATTGAATCATAGGGGCAGATTTCCCACTTGGTGCTGTTCCATTGCGAGTGAGTGAGTTCTCATGAGATCTGGTCACTTAAAAGTGTGTGGCACCTCCCCCTACTCTCTCTTGGTCTTGTTCCTGCCATGTAAGATGACTGTTCAGGCTTTGCCTTCTGCCATGAGTAAAAGCTCCCTGAGGCCTCCCCAGAAGTAGATGCCACCATGCTTCCTGTATATATTGTAGAGCAGTGAGTCAATTAAACCTCTTTCCTTTATAAATTACCCAATGTCAGGTATTTGTTTATAGCAGTACAAGAACAGACTAATACAGAAAAATGGTACCAGGGGTTGGGATAAAGATATCTGAAAATATGGAAGCAGCTTAGTACAGACTAATACAGAAAAATGGTACCAGGGGTTGGGATAAAGATATCTGAAAATATGGAAGCAGCTTTGGAACTGAGTTGGAAGAATGTAGAAGGCTCAGAAGAAGATAGGAAGACGGGGGAAAGTTTGGGACTTCCTAGAGTATTGTTAAATTGCTGTGACTAAAATGCTGATAGTAATATGTGATATGGACAATGAAATCCAGGCTGCAGCAGTCTCAGATGGAGATGAGAAACTTATTAGGAACTCAAACAAATGTCGCTTTTGTTATGCATTAGCAAAGAGGTTGGCTGCATTGTTCCCCTATACTAGGGATCTGTGAAACTTTGAACTTGCGAATGATGATTTAGGGTATCTGGCAGAAGAAATTTGTTAGCAGCAAAATGTTCAAGATGTGACCTGGCTGCTTCTAACAACTTATGTTCATATACATGAGCAAAGAAATGACCTGAAATTGGAACTTATTTTTAAAAGGGAAGCAGAGCATAAAAGTTGGGAAATTTATAGCCTAGCTATATAGTAAAAAGGAAAAACCCATTTTCAGGGGAAGAATTCAAGCAGGCTGCAGAAATTTGCATAAGAGGAGCCAAGTGCTAATATCCAAGGCAATGGAGGAAAGGCCTTGAAGGCATTTCAGAGACCTTTATGGCAGCCCGTCCCATCACAGACCTGGAGGCGTAGGAGGGAAGAATGGTTTCCTGGGCCAGGCCCAGGGCCCCACTGCCCTGTGCAGCCTTGGGATACTGCTCCCTGTATCCTGGCTGCTTCTACCCCAGCCGTGGCTTAAAGGGGCCTGGGTATTGCTCAGGCTGCTGCTTCAGAGGGTGTAAGCCATAAGACTGGTGGCATCCACGTGGTGTTAAGTCTGTGGGTGCACAGAGTGCAAAAGTTGAGGCTCTACTACCTAGATTTCAGAGAATTATGGAAAAGTGTGAATGTGCAGGCAGAAGCCTGCTGCAGGGATGGAGCCCTCAGGGAGAACCTCTATTAGGGCAATGCAGAGGGAAAATGTGGGATTGTAGCCCCCACTCAGAGTCCTTATTGGGGTACTGCCTAGTGGAGCTATGAGAGGATGGCCACTGTCCTCCAAACCCCAGAATGGTAGAGCCACAAACAGCTTGCACCATGTACCTGGAAAAGCCACAGGCACTCAGTGACAGCCCATCAGAGCAGCTGTGGGAGCTGAACCCTGCAAAGTCACAAAGGAGGAGCTTCCTAAGGCTTTGGGGGCCCACCCCTTTCACCAGTGTTCCCTGGATGTGAGAAATGAAGTCAAAGAAGATTATTTTGGAGCTTTAAGATTTAATGACTGCCCTGCTGGTTTTCAGACTTGCATGGGGGCCTGTAGACCCCCTTTTTTGGGCCAATTTCTCCTTTTGGAACAGGAGTATTTACCCAATGCCTATATCCCCATTGTATTTTGCAAGTAACTAACTTGTTTTTTATTTTACAGGCTCATAGGTGGAAGGGACTACCCTTGTCTCAGATGAGACTTTGGACATTGGGCTTTTGAGTTAGTGCTGGAATGAGTTAAAACTTTGGGCAATTGTTAGGAAGGCATGATTGTATTTTGAAATATTACCAGGATATGAGATTTCGAAGGAGCCAGGGACTGAATTATATGGTTTGGATCTGTGTCCCTGCCCAAATCTCATGTCTAATTGTAATCCCCAATGTTGGTGATGGGGCCTGGTGGAAGATGATTGGCTTATGGAGCCAGATTTCCCATTTAGTGCTGTTCTGGTGATAGTTAGTGAGTTCTCATAAGGTCTGGTCATTTAAAAATGTGTGGCACCTCCGCTACTCTCTCTTTTGGTACTTTCCCTGCCATGTAAGACACCTGCTCCTGCGTTGCCTTCTGGCATGAGTAAAAGCTTCCTGAGGCTTCCCCAGAAGCAGATGCTGCTATGCTTCCCATACAGCCTGCAGAACTGTGAGCCAATTATACCTCTTTTCTTTCTAAATTACCTGGTGTCAGGTATTTCTTTACAGCAGTGTGAGAACAGGCTAATACAGGGGGTTTATGTCAACATTCTTGTACAAATCTTTTTGTGAACATGTGTTTTCATCTTTCTTTGATAAATACCTAGGAGAAGAACTGCTAGATCATGGGGTAAGTATATGTTAATTTTACAAAAAAACAAAATCTGCTAGATCTTTTCCCCAAGTAGTCATATTATCTTACATTCCTACCAACAGTTTATAAGAATTCAGGCACTCAGACATCCTCATCAATATCTGATGTTGTCAGTCTTTAATTTTAGCCATATTAGTGGTGTGTAGTGGGATCTCATTGTAGTTTTAATTCATATTTTGCTTTTCCTCTGTTACATGTGAGTTAACACCTGCCATGTGCAAAATGTTATGCAAAATATACCAGGACTTTCCTAGTCAGACTGTGGTCCATGAATCAGTCATATTAGTATCCTTTGGGAGCTGGATATGCCGAGAAATACAGAGTTCCCGCCCCATCCCAGACCTGCTGAATCAAAAATCTGCATTTCAACAAGAACCCTAGATGATTCTTATGAATATTTAAAGTAAGAAGTTCTGTATTGGAGATATAAAGGTAAATAAGATGTGGTTATTGACCTGGAAAAATGGGGCAAGATAGAAAAGGTGGTAAGCCGGGACCAGGTATAAGTGGAGCAAAGTTATTATAATAAATATAATGTGATGCCTGACCCAACAGACATGAAAACAAAATTTGAAAGGAGATGGAGAGAACAGATGGGGCTTCATGGGGAAGGCATCTCTTATGTGGGTCATGAGCAGTAGATGGGGAGGAAAAAGGAAGAAAGATATGTATTCTTAGCTGTACTGCGAAAAGCTTAGTCTGATAAAAGGCAGGAATTGGATTGGGGAGGGGTAAGAGACAAAGATAAGTTTTTGGATTAGAGTGACAATTTAAATAAGAGAAATTGAAAGTAAAGTGACTGCAAGATCCCTAATCTTGTACACTGTACACTGTAGACAGATATGTTCATTTATTAAAGGAGAGTTCTTAGTATTTGGTTGGGACTTCAGGACATGGAAGTAATAGGGCAGAAACAATGTGCTATGATTATTAACAATGACAGAGTAGATTTTCCTTATCAATAATAAAGAAACTGAGAACAACAAGATATAGTAAAGTCACCAAAGGTGCAACAAATACTAGCAGGGAAATTGATTGCAAATATAATTTCACGTGTATAAATACAGATATGTATACACACACACACACACACAAAAGGGAATAATTCTGATTTTGGTGTGGATTATCTGGAATTTAGAGATACGCCACTACTTATTTTCTGTTTAGTTTGAATGTTATGAATGGTAGGAGCCAAGACTTGAGTTAAAGTTTTATGGATACTTTATTACTTAGGTAGAATCAGGGCAGGAATAAAACACATTTTAGGTTAGTCTGTAGATTGACTCTAGAAAAATAAACATTAAAGAGAAAAAAATAATAATCATGAGGAAGACTTGAGAAAACCTGCAAAATACTTTTGTAATTGGCATTGTTTAAAAATGCTTATCTTGTTCTTGTTTCTCTAGCAAGTCTCAGAAGACACCATTAGAATTTAATAATCATTTCCTGTAGGAAACTGAGTTATTATAGTGTGAAAACGTGGGTTTTGGATTCAAATACTCTTGGATTCAGGTCTGGCTTCTCTGCTTATTGTCTGCCTGACCTTGGACAAATCAATTTACCCAAAACTCAATTTCCTCAGGTGTACAATAGAAAAATGAATTGCGTATAGAGTAGTTGTGAAGATTGAATGTTCTTCACAAGCTCCTAAGAGTTGTTATCACCTCACACCGGCTAGAATGGCTATCATCAAAAAGAGGAAAGATAACAAGTGTTGGTGAGGATGAGGAGAAAAGGGGACGCTTGCCCACTGTTGGTAGGAATGTCAATTAGTACAGCCATATTGAGAACAGTATGGAGGTTCCTAAAAATATTAAAAATAGAACTACCATAAGGTCCAGTAATTCCTCTACTGGCTATATATCTAAAGGATATAAAATCAGTATGTCAAAAATATATCTGCACTCTCATGCTTATTGAGGCATTATTCACAATACCTAAGATATGGAATTAACCTCTGTCCAACAACAGATGAATGGATAAAGAAAATGTGACATATATACACAATGGAATTATATTTGGCATTTTTTGGTATGAACATGGCTCACTGCAGCCTCGACCTCCTGGGCTCAAGCAATCCTCCCTCCTCAACCTCCCAAGTAGCTGGGACCACAGGCATGCACTGCCATATCCAGTTAATTTTTATTTTTTAATCTTTGCAGAGATGGGGTCTTTCCCTGTTGCCCAGGGTGGTCTTCAACTGAGCTCAGGTAATCCTCCTGCCTTAGACTCCCAAAGTGCTGGGATTACAGGCATGAGCCACCATGCTAAGCCCTGTTTAGCCTTTAAAAAAAAGGAAATCCTGTCATTTGCAACCACATGGATGAAACTGGAGGACATTATGTTAAGTGAAATAAGCCAGGACAGAAAAACAAATACTACCACATGATCTCACTTATATGTGGAGTGTAAAACAGTGAAACTCATAGAAACTGAGAGTAACATGGTGGTGGCAAGAGGTTGGTGGGTTAGGGGACTTGGGAGATGTTGGTCAAAGATGCAAAATTTGAGTTAGACAGGAGGGATAAGTTCAAGAGACATATTGTACCCATCTAGTACTACAATACATGTGTTAAAATACCTTAAACAAATTAAATTCAGTAGAGCTTAATCGCTCAAAGAAGATGTGTGAATCAGGCAGCATCCCCAACCAGAATAGGTTCAGAGCAACTTCGCGCTGCCATGTGGTTGGAGAGGATTTACAGACAGAAAAAGGAAAGTGACCTCCAGAAAATGGAGGTGAGGTACCTAAACAGCTGGATTGATAACAGCTTGTTGTTTGCCTTATTTGATCACAAGTTTGAAGAGTTGCCCATCTTTGGCCAAAACTTGCTGATTGTTGCAAGAGTAGGTTACAGTCTGTTTACACACCACATTAGGTTACATTTCACTATGTACAGAGAAACCTTTAGGCTGAACCTAAAACATGTAAGAAGTCAGCTTTAGGTTAAACTTAATTTAATGCATTGTATATTTGAAAATTTCTAAAAGAATAGATTTTAAGTGTTCTCATTGCACAGGCAAAAAATAAGTATGTGAGTTAATACGTATGTTAAGTGGCTTGATTTGACTATTCCACAATGTATACACATATTAAGGCATCGTGTTGTGCATCATAAGTATATACAATTTTTACTTGTCAATCTAAACATTTTTTAAAAATTAAATGTGGGTTGTTAAATGAACTGTAAAAAATAAGTAAAAGGCGAATTGAGCTCCAAACTAAAGTGACACATAGATCAAATATTTTTAACATAAGTTTAGAATTTGAGGCATTTTATCTTCAAAGCAAAATAATTGGGAAGTGGAAAAAAAAAAAAAACCCATCAAGTTGACGAATCTATGAACTAGCTCTGACCTAGACCTAAACAAACTCAGCTCTGGAGGAGGCGTTGGGGTCGGAGCCGAAAGCAGGCAACAGTGCCACCTGGTGGATTATACATGCAGAAAAACATTCAGAGTTTTCAAATCCTGAAGGTGATTTCACACCTGATCCCTTCTTGGATATTTCAAGTTTTTACCTTTGATATAAAACGTGTTCATTTTTATTGTATTATCTGCCATCAGCTTCAATTATAGACATCTGGTATTTTTCTAACTCTACAGACCTACTTTTTTATAGAGCATATATTTCGTTTTTTGTTGTCGTTTTTAAGTAATGGAAGCAAATTTTAGTGCTAGAAGTTTAGTGTCAGCTGTTGGGGGACATGCACCCTAATCTTATTACAAACAGCAGAAAGCAGCCTGGCTTACTGCATTCCTGTGCAAATCACGAAAAATACTGTCTGTTAATGTCTTTTGAAGGTGGCAATTACTGCAAAATGTAATCATCAAGATTTAGAGTAACTATCAGCGTCGTTAAAAGAAAATATGTCCCAAAATGTATAATAATAAATGGAATACAAAGCAGAACTAAGTTCCATTAATATGCTCACATGTTGAAATTACTCATGTTACCCGTACATTATTTTTTCCCCTCCAGAATCTTCATTGTGAACTCATAAGAAAGTTGATGTGGCTTAGTTGTGGGAGAAGGGGAGGAAACAGTCACTGAACACACCTGTGTAATCTGCCAGGCTTCAAGATTTTACATATTGTATGTCATTTAATCTTTCTACCCACAATAAAGAAAAGGATTTGTGTCACCCGATAGCAAATTCTACCCCTCCCACATGGGCATGCGAGGTGTGAGTATCCAGGCAGGGAAAGTGGAATGAATCACAGTGATAGTTAACATTTCTGAGAGTTCATGGACCCTCCTGAAATCGTCTGGCCACAAACATTATTGCATAGGGTTCTAGAATGTTCCTTAACCTCCTGAAGCATGTTACCTTCATTTTTACAAATAAGAAAATGAAGACTGGGAAAATTTAGATGATTGTGCCCAAGGTCACCTGCATAAGCAAGCAGTAGAGGCAGCATTTACACTGAGATCTGTTTGGCACCAAAGTTTTTCTTACTCCATGTTGCATTTTGCTAAAACAATATGCAGTTCATTCTCCCTTCATCTTCATGACTTCTGTTAAACAATAAATACTTCACTAAAACCTTGATGGTTGCTTTTTCTAGTGCCACAATTCTGTAATTTGCCTTCTTTGTCCCCTACTTCTACCCACTCCTTACCCAAATGTAAACCAACACCAAAATAGAATTTAAATATGCATAGATCAATTGAGTACAGTATCTATTAATAGGTAAATTTAAAGGAAAATTAGACAAAATCTTAAGGCACCATGCAAAACATTAAGTGAGCCCTTCCCTGCTGCAAGCATTAATTACCCTTTGTGCTTTGTAAAGTCACCATATCACAGCCTGGGAAGTGCATAGGGACAAGAATGAGAGAAGATGTTCTTATTTATTACCTGATTTGTTGGGACGATCACTTGTTCAAGCAAAATCCTCTGCCTTTTAAAAAGTCATTTGGCTCAAAAATAAAGAAAGATATCTTTGAATCTTCTAAATCAACAAATGAGATTAGCTAGTATTTGAGTATTTACCATTTGAAAATATTTGCTGGTCTTGTATAAATGCTTAAATTTAATGTATACACATTATATAATGTCTTCTTTCTTTTTAAAAAAGAATAAAAATGTACATGATTTCAATTTTAAAAATATAGATACTTATGGGTAGAAAAGGAGTTAGAGAATGTTAACATAATTATCTTTGGGTAGTGGAAATGCAGATTATTTTTCTTATCTTTTTCTATAGTAAACATAAACTATCTTCATAATCAGAAAGAAATCTTCTTGATATAAAATACATACATCTTTGACACTACACAGGAATCCAAGAAATTCAAAATGACAGCTGTGTATATATTTCAAGCTAAATGTGTGTTTCTTGTGGAGTACTATAAAACTGAAGTATGAAGGGACAGATAATTTGGGGCATGTGTCCCCATACCAGTGAAATTATAGGAGTCAAGTGGTATTTCCAAAGCCTTAAGTACTTTCTTTATCTTTCCTGGATGGTTCAGAGTAACAATTTTTATAATATATACTATATTGAGAAGTATATATTATACAGTGTCACACACACACACACACACACACACACACACACAGAAAGAGAGCGAGAGAGTACGCTGATAGAGTTTGCTTTGGTTTTATAATATAAGACCAAACTTCCCAGATGTCTTTGGAGAAGAAAATCCCTAAATGATAAAATCCCAAAACCCTTCAAATCACAAAATAAAACTGTCAAAGGTAGAGAAACATAATTAAAAAGAACCTGGGGTGAGAAAGCTCAATGGACTCAAATTGGCCATAGCAGAAAGCACATTTCCTTTAGGCAGAATGATAGTGATGACAAATATGCAGCTCGTTTATTCTTCATTAGTTATTTAGTACACTTAGCATTAACACCAGTTCCTTCGAAACTCATCAAAATGTAGCATTGTCTTTATCTGCAACACCCTGACTCAGAGGATGCCCACTCTCTCTTTCCCTCTTTGAAGTTGGCTATCTGGGCTCCTCAGTATTTGGATATCAGGTATCAGCAGGTTCATCTGCTTTGAGATGTTTCTCTTCTATACTGGAGGTTCTAGAGAAGTGTTAGAGAGCTACTAAAGTGGTCAGACAAGGAGGATTTGGTCATGATGGAGTCCGCAGAGAGGGGATGAGAAGGGAAGAAACTAGACCCACCGTGAATAAGGAAGGACTTGGGCCAGGTGAAGGTCATTTCTGAGAGTCAGGTGCTGGGGTTGGGTCCCAACCTAAGTAAGATGACAGTGCCAGGGCAGAGCAGTAGGGGCAGGGAGAGGATGAAGCAGGGGAAGCCCTGCCTCAAAGCTTGAGGGTATTTAGTTCATCCTATCATATTGTTTTGGTGTAATGGTGGTGTTTGGGTGCTCAATTTCTTTATTAAGTTTATTTAAATAAACCTATCAAACAAGATGGTTTCAGTGAAGAAGATTCCATCTGTCTCAGTTTTGCAATATTTAATGTCCCCTTTTGTGTTTTCCTTCCTCATCTCCTCTAAGTAATAAAACAACATAGATGAATTTTACCCAAGCTCCTCTAGGACCTCTTCCAGATTGTATAATCTAAAATAGACAGCACTGAGGTGGGCCAACCAATGTAATCATGAGGCAAAATATGGATGACCATGTTCAATTTGAGAAGCAAGAAAGTATGGTGAAATTTGGGGATCATATGCAAGTAAGCATTTATGAAGAGATGTGTATGGTGAGCTAGGATGGCAGAGACAGCATTGTGAAGAATAAAATTCAGAAGGTTGTGAGATGAGGGTTATGAAAACCAAGGCCACTCAATGACTGGCTGTGAATGGCATTTGATGGAACTCTAAGGAAGAGAGAATGCCAGGAGAGGTAGATGGGAGAGTGGCATGTGCACAGTGACTGAAATGACTCTGCCAAACCATCTGACATTATCAGGTGGCTTACACACAGTTCCCTCCCTGTGCCCATATCAAAATGGGGGATATCATGCTACGATGTGCCAGTGGACCAAGTTGCTCCAATAAGCAATACCAGCTACTAGAAATGGTTTTCTGTGAGCATCTGTCTTTGTCTGGAATCCAGCTGGAATTTAAATGGTTGTGGATTGAACTGCTATCTGTGTTATGTGGCTGCTCATTTTCAGTATCATCCTATGAGCATAAAATTCAGATTTCTGATCTTAGCATTCAAGGCCATCCACAGTCTAGCCCAGTACTGTCCTCTTCTCTACTTTTCCCACAATCCACACACTCCATCCAATCAGGATTACTCTCCATCATTAAGAATTCTCAACTCTGCATCATACTTCACAACTTAACTTCCCTCTTCCACTCTAATTGTCCACTTATCTATCACTTAAGACATTCACGAAGGGCAGCCAAGATGGCCGAATAGCAACAGCTCCGGTCTACAGCTCCCAGCGTGAGTGACGCAGAAGACGGGTGATTTCTGCATTTCCATCTGAGGTACCGGGTTCATCTCACTAGGGAGTGCCAGACAGTGGGCACAGGACACTGGGTGCAGTGCACCGTGCACGAGCCGAAGCAGGGCGAGGCATTGCCTCACTCAGGAAGCGCAAAGGGTCAGGGAGTTCCCTTTCCTAGTCAAAGAAAGGGGTAACAGATGGCACCTGGAAAATCGGGTCACTCCCACCCTAATACTGCGCTTTTCCAACGGGCTTAAAAAACGGCGCACCAGGAGGTTATATCCCACACATGGCTCGGAGGGTCCTACGCCCACGGAGTCTCACTGATTGCTAGCACAGCAGTCTGAGATCAAACTGGAAGGCAGCAGCGAGGCTGGGGGAGGGGCACCCGCCATTGCCCAGGCTTGCTTAGGTAAACAAAGCAGCCGGGAAACTTGAACTGGGTGGAGCCCACCACAGCTCAAGGAGTCCTGCCTGCCTCTGTAGGCTCCACCTCTGGGGGCAGGGCACAGACAAACAAAAAGACTGCAGTAACCTCTGCAGACTTAAATGTCCCTTTGAAGAGAGCAGTGGTTCTCCCAGCACGCAGCTGGAGATCTGAGAACGGGCAGACTGCCTCCTCAAGTGGGCAGCCTAACTGGGAGGCACCCCCCAGTAGGGGCAGACTGACACCTCACATGGCCAGGTACTCCTCTGAGACAAAACTTCCAGAGGAACGATCAGACAGCAGCATTTGTGGTTCACGAAAATCTGCTGTTCTGCAGCCACCACTGCTGATACCCAGGCAAACAGGGTCTGGAGTGGACCTCTAGCAAACTCCAACAGACCTGCAGCTGAGGGTCCTGTCTGTTAGAAGGAAAACTAACAAACAGAAAGGACATCCACACCAAAAACCCATCTGTACGTCACCATCATCAAAGACCAAAAGTAGATAAAACCACAAAGATGGGGAAAAAACGGAGCAGAAAAACTGGAAACTCTAAAAAGCAGAGCGCCTCTCCTCCTCCAAAGGAACGCAGTTCCTCAGCAGCAATGGAAAAAAGCTGGACGGAGAATGACTTTGACGAGTTGAGAGAAGAAGGCTTCAGACGATCAAACTACTCCGAGCTATAGGAGGAAATTCAAACCAAAGGCAAAGAAGTTAAAAACTTTGAAAAAAATTTAGAAGAATGTATAACTAGAATAACCAATACAGAGAAGTGCTTAAAGGAGCTGATGGAGCTGAAAGCCAAGGCTCCAGAACTACGTGAAGAATGCAGAAGCCTCAGGAGCCAATGCGATCAACTGGAAGAAAGGATATCAGTGATGGAAGATGAAATGAATGAAATGAAGTGAGAAGGGAAGTTTAGAGAAAAAAGAATAAAAAGAAACGAACAAAGCCTCCAAGAAATATTGGACTATGTGAAAAGACCAAATCTGCATCTGATTGGTGTACCTGAAAGTGACGGGGAGAATGGAACCAAGTTGGAAAACACTCTGCAGGATATTATCCAGGAGAACTTCCCCAATCTAGCAAGGCAAGCCAACATTCAGATTCAGGAAATACAGAGAACGTCACAAAGATTCTCCTCGAGAAAAGCATCTCCAAGACACATAATTGTCAGATTCACCAAAGTTGAAATGAAGGAAAAAATGTTAAGGGCAGCTAGAGAGAAAGGTCGGGTTACCCACAAAGGGAAGCCCATCAGACTAACAGCGGATCTCTCGGCAGAAACTCTACAAGCCAGAAGAGAGTGGGGGCCAATATTCAACATTCTTAAAGGAAAGAATTTTCAACCCAGAATTTCATATCCAGCCAAACTAAGCTTCACAAGTGAAGGAGAAATAAAATACTTTACAGACAAGCAAATGCTGAGAGATTTTGTCACCACCAGGCCTGCCTTAAAAGAGCTCCTGAAGGAAGCACTAAACATGGAAAGGAACAACTGCTACCAGCCACTGCAAAATCATGCCAAAATGTAGACCACTGATGCTAGGAAGAAACTGCATCAACTAACGAGCAAAATAACCAGCTAACATCATAATGACAGGATCAAATTCACACATAACAATATTAACTTTAAATGTAAATGGACTAAATGCTCCAATTAAAAGACACAGACTGGCAAATTGGATAAAGAGTCAAGACCCATCAGGGTGCTGTATTCAGGAAACCCATCTCACATGCAGAGACATACATAGGCTCAAAATAAAAGGATGGAGGAAGATCTACCAAGCAAATGGAAAACAAAAAAAGGCAGGGGTTGCAATCCTAGTCTCTGATAAAACAGACTTTAAACCAACAAAGATCAAAAGAGACAAAGAAGGCCATTACATAATGGCAAACGGATCAATTCAACAACAAGAGCTAACTAACCTAAATATATATGCACCCAATACAGGAGCACCCAGATTCATAAAGCAAGCCCTGAGTGACCTACAAAGAGACTTAGACTCCCACACAATAATAATGGGAGACTTTAACACCCCACTGTCAACATTAGACAGATCAACGAGACAGAAAGTTAACAAGGATACCCAGGAATTGAACTCAGCTCTGCACCAAGCAGACCTAATAGACATCTACAGAACTCTCCACCCCAAATCAACAGAATATACATTTTTTTCAGCACCACACCACACCTATTCCAAAATTGACCACATAGTTGGAAGTAAAGCTCTCCTCGGCAAAAGTAAAAGAACAGAAATTATAACAAACTGTCTCTCAGACCACAGTGCAATCAAAATAGAACTCAGGATTAAGAAACTCACTCAAAACTGCTCAACTACATGGAAACTGAACAACCTGCTCCTGAATGACTACTGGGTACATAATGAAATGAAGGCAGAAATAAAGATGTTCTTTGAAACCAACAAGAACAAAGACACAACATACCAGAATCTCTGGGACACATTCAAAGCAGTGTGTAGAGGGAAATTTATACCACTAAATGCCCACAAGAGAAAGCAGGAAAGATCCAAAATTGGCACCCTAACATCACAATTAAAAGAACTAGAAAAGCAAGAGCAAACACATTCAAAAGTTAGCAGAAGGCAAGAAATAACTAAAATCAGAGCAGAACTGAAGGAAATAGAGACAGAAAAAACCCTTCAAAAAATTAATGGCTCAGAAAACTGAGCCAGGAGTAAAAGGACATGAATGCTAGATACATCTTCTTCCTTTAATTTATTTATCCAACAAATATTTAATAGGCAGCTATTACATATCAGATATCTGCTAGACTTTAGCTATATAGCAACGTGAAAAAATAGGCATGGGCCTTGTTCTCGTGAAACGTAAGTACCCAATGAAGGATAAATATGTCAGCAATCTTAAAAATTCATTCAACAAATACGTATTCATTCAACATATATATAATATGTACCAGACACTGTTCTAGGTACTTGAGATAATGATGAAAAAGTAGACAGAGATTCGCCGCCATATAGGGTTTACATTCTAGTAGGATAAGACAGAAAATAAAACCTCTAGACATAAAAAATAAGTTATGTATATATCTTATTAGAGGGTGATAAATATTATGGAAAAGGGGGGGAAAGTAGGGTAAGGGTTTTTAGTAATGGAACAGGGATTAAGATAGGATTTGGGATGGGTTGTCATTTTAAACAGGACAGTCAGTGTAGTCTCATTGAGAAGGGGACATTAAAGCAAAAATTTATAGGAGTTGGGGGAATTGACTATGCAAATATCCAGGGAATGTGTGTTCTCTTAGAGAGAATAGCCAATGTAAAAGGTCTAATATGGGAATATCCAGGAGTGTTCCAGGTATAGAAACAAGGCTCAATTGTCTGGAGCTGGGTCGGCAAGGGGTGAAAAAACAGGTATAGGAGAGTGGTTGTGGATTATGCAGGGCCATGTGGGCCGTTGTAAGGACTTTGGCTTTCACTAAGATAAATGGGGAGCCATTGTAGGGGTTTGAGCACAGAGCAATATGACCTGACTTACATTTTAACGGAAGGACTTGTTTCATATTACAACCTGTAACTGTAGATCATGATAGATGTGTTCTAAAATGGGATAAGAGAGGGACCTAATTTGAAATATCTGTTTGATCTTGGGCCCTAAGCTTAGCCAACCTCAGCCCTGCCTCACTGGGTCATTGTGGTGAGGACTTGACAACATGCTGTATCCATATGCACATGCTGTATACTATTCTTTGTAATAATGCAGAATGAAACAGAATCCAGTGTTAGATTATGAGCTACACACTGCATTAGTAGTAAAAGCATGAGTTGCATTGTGGAAAGGAGTAGTGTCACCCCCCAAGGGGTGAAAATTGGTTCTTGGGAAGCAAAAAGAAAAAAAAGTTACTCTTTTAATGTACAAAATGCATATGTATATACAATATGCAAACAGATATGTAGTATATCTGCAGCATTTTTATTTCATAGAGAAATATCTGAAAAGGCTCCTTTGGGAGCAGGGAAGGGACAGTGTGTGATCATGAAAAAAAGATTGGAAAATACTGAGTTAAGGAAGAGATTTAGTAGCAGAAATATTACTGAGCTGGAGGTTCAAAAACCACAGCTAAAGTCAGCTCCGCCATTAAGTTTTTGTGTAAACTTGGACCATTCACTTCCACTTTCTAGGTTTAAATTTTTTTCAAATGTAAAATAAAATGTTTGAATGATCTCTTAGGTTTTCACCAGCTGTAAAACTAGGAGGAAGATTTGAACTGGAATCCATTCAATTAAAAACACCTGATTATAGAACCTATCAAAATGTGTAAGGTATTTGGACCCATTGAATGTCACTTTTCAATAAGATAAATGTCCAGTGTCAATAGCCTTTGAAGTCTCTGACCTCTTTTTCCTTACCCATTCTTTAAGCTAGAATTCTAGAAATGCTGCTCTAATTCCCAGTAGAAGATTCCTGGATACAATATTGAAGTCTAAGAGTACAACGAAGTTTTGCCAAGATGCCCATCAAATGTTCTGAAGCTTGTCAACAGGAGTTGCATTGCTTCACAGTTTTCACATGATTTCTAGACATTAAAGTCCCTTTACAACCTAGCTGGGTTGTCACTTCAAGGAGAAAGATGTATGTGGTGTGGCAAAGGGAAGCAGGAATTAGCAGGATAGAGTACCAGATTAAAAAGAATTTGGGGGGCACACATATTCACAGCATCTGTGGATGGCATTGACTGAACAGCCTTGTGCATACAATTTTTTATTGCTTATCCAGACCTGGGCTTATTGCACTAAGAAAACTTTAAATAGTTTTTCCTCGGTTTTATTTTTCTCTTCTGGGCCCTCCAGCTACATTTAAAAGCCCCTTTGAAGACAGAGAATGTGTCTTCTAACGCTTTTGTTGTGCTCAATTCAGCATTCTGTATATGATAGGATTTTAGTGAATGTTTGTTGATGGTGATGATCATGCAGATTTAAGGGGGAAAAATAAAAATTAAAGCCATAAGTCTTTGAGTCCCTAATTTGGGTGGTCTATACTGATGTGTCTATAGGCCAGAGCATTTATCTTCTTTTCCTTCTGCTGTTTAATCACCTAGTGGTGTTTCCAGATAAGAAATGTAAATGGAATTCATTACCTAACCAGGGCATGTAATTCATTTATCACAGGGTATCAATAGGCAAATAATTGTTCTATGTGATAAATTCAGCAGTAAATAGATGAGAGGCCATTGTGAAGAATTGTAGCTCTCCACTGAATTGCAGGGGTTCTTGAATGTTGTCAACATTTGGAGGCAGTTGGAGGAGGGAGCTCTATTGATGAAAAATGGCTACATATTCAAAATTTCAGTGTATACCAGGAAGATAATTCAATTCAATCTCTGGCTTACCCAAAGAATCTTGGAGTTACTGCCAATGAGGAAATCCCCAGGGTCTAATAAAAATATCTTTAGGAGTGAAGGAGTTAACTGAGTGTGTAAGCTTTATCTTCTGTCCAATGGACTTGTGGTTTGCTTATAAAACTCTCCAGTAAATAATTGTTAGAGACCTGTCATTGATAGCAGTTGCTAGTTGCTGCCTTTTAAGAGCTCGTTGATTCCTCTGCAAGGTGGTGCAGCATCCTCTGTCCCTTCATTCATTTCAGATCTACTCAGGTCTCCCTGTAAACAGATCTCTCGGATCAATAAGCATGAATGACGAAGACTACAGCACCATCTATGACACAATCCAAAATGAGAGGACGTATGAGGTTCCAGACCAGCCAGAAGAAAATGAAAGTCCCCATTATGATGATGTCCATGAGTACTTAAGGCCAGAAAATGATTTATATGCCACTCAGCTGAATACCCATGAGTATGATTTTGTGTCAGTCTATACCATTAAGGGTGAAGAGACCAGCTTGGCCTCTGTCCAGTCAGAAGACAGAGGCTACCTCCTGCCTGATGAGATATACTCTGAACTCCAGGAGGCTCATCCAGGTGAGCCCCAGGAGGACAGGGGCATCTCAATGGAAGGGTTATATTCATCAACCCAGGACCAGCAACTCTGCGCAGCAGAACTCCAGGAGAATGGGAGTGTGATGAAGGAAGATCTGCCTTCTCCTTCAAGCTTCACCATTCAGCACAGTAAGGCCTTCTCTACCACCAAGTATTCCTGCTATTCTGATGCTGAAGGTTTGGAAGAAAAGGAGGGAGCTCACATGAACCCTGAGATTTACCTCTTTGTGAAGGTAAGGTCTGCCTCTGACAGGCATACCCTGTTCATGCAGATATTATGGCTGGTGTTTTATTTTGCTCTGAATGACCAGGGAAAGATTCATAATGCCATGGTCCTTGGATCTCAATACATATTCAGGAGTCGGAGGGACTAAATCAGTCATTAGAGTGTACTCAGCTCTTCACAAAATTAGAGGAATTGGAAGGTGCATTTAAAGCACGTATTTAATCACTGACTTTTACATACCATGGGCAAAGTATTTTTCAAAACGGTTCACATAAGTGAGCCATAACTGCTGCCCAAATCCTTGCCATTGTGGCTGACATTAAGTACATTTTTCTGTCTGGTTAAATTTCCTTTGTCAACATGTTTAAAAGTGAAACCAAAGCTTGTGAAAGAAAGACCTTCTTGTGCTTCTAAGGTCACAGATTTGTCAGATAGGTGGTCAATAAAGGCTATCTCTGTCACTAGCTTGCCCCTTTGGCACCAATATAACTAAAAATTTGATGAAGTCAAATGATTTCAGTAGTAGTAAGACACTACCAGTGTTAATGTTTAATGCTTACGATATCTAAACAGAACCTTGGTGATCTTTGTATTAGATGATAAAGTAATAAAGTTATGGTTATAAATATTATCAAAATGTAAAGTGTTTCAGACCTAAACAAATCATCTTTATTAATCAAGATGGCAGGCCCTTTTTCCCCAACATCTCCCCCACAATATTCATATTTATGTGATTTTTAGAAATGTTTTCACATTTATTATATAAATATATTTGTAAATGCTGCTCTTTCCTGCCAATAAAAATGATTATAAACCTACAGAAACCATAGTTCATACTCATTTCTCTCTTCCCCAGTTCCCAGTAACATTTCTGATGAAACACACTTTACTAATTTTGCCCTTTGTTGTCTTGTAATTTGTTCTTTTCTCTAATTGTTTTGTGTGTAAATCATGGATCACTTATTCTACTACAAGGTCCTTTTAAAAATAATCTAGTATAGTGCTTGGTTCACACATACATACCAGACACACATTGCCTTGTACTCTGCTGAGCATTTGGGGGGAAAGGGCTGTGCAAGACAAGGCCCTTGCTCTTAAGTAATGAATAATATGGTGACAGAGACAGACTTGCACTCAATGTATTCTAATACAATATAGTAAGAGATGAAACAGAGGAGTGGGTGGAGTGTGTGGGTGTTCAGAGAAGGAGTGCTGAGATGTGTACTGAGTTTGGAGCAGCTCCACGGAGGAGGTGATGTTAGAACAGGTGCATTCACGCAGTTTTCTGACCTCCATATCCACATCATCACTGTCACACTGTGCAAACAAACTTTTTTTTTTTTCTTTTTTGAGACAGAGTCTCACTGTGTCACCCAGGCTGGAGTGCAATGGCATGATCTCAGCTCACTGCAACTTTCACCTCCCAGATTCAAATGATTCTCCTGCTTCAGCCTCCCGAGTAGCTGGGATTACAGGCATGTGCCACCTGGTCTGGCTAATTTTTGAATTTTTAGTAGAGATGGGGTTTTGCCATGTTGGCCAGGCTGGTCTCAAACTCCTAACCTCAAGTGATCCACCCGCCTCAACCTCCCAGAGTGCTGGGATTACAGACGTGAGCCACAGCTCCTGGCCACAGACTTTTTTAAAGTGAGGACTAGATGTATTTTTTTTTTCTCATGGCAGAAGCATCCATGCAACCTGTGACAGGCAAAGTGGGTCATCACCATGATCATCATCATGGACCCATCTGACATTATTTCTAAATTTGGCTAAGTGTTTATCTCACTAGAAATTAGCCTATGGCTGGTATTGAGCAAAAACAGAAGTAGTAGGAAAAAGAAGTGTTGGTACTTCCTGGCAGTACCAGCAACAGGGAAAATTGATTGACTATAACATGTAATTCCTAAATTACTTAAAATTTCCTAAAGCAAATATTAGATTTAACTCTTTAAGTTTACATTCTTTTTAGCATAATTGTGTGAACTGAAAGGCCATAGAGTGTCCCACTGACCTCAGCTTCTATGCATAAACTCCTTTTTAAGGATATTCAGTAATAAAAAGAGCGGCAGTTATAATCCCTGCTTCCTAGCTCCACACTCGGCCCTATCTTCACTGAAGTTCCTTACCCAATGTTGAATGGAAGTAGAATATATAAAATCGAGTAAAACAGGGCCTTCTCTGCTTGAGTGAAACTGTAGGGTGTGAGTGTGACCTCTCAGGCCTTTTCCTCTTCCCTGCTCTGTGGAAGGGATGTTGGTCCCCCACACTGGAGGGAGCTCTGTGGCTCACTGTCTTCCTAGTAGGGCTTACGGCTTTTCAGTTCTGGATGTTCTTCTCCTGGGCTGTTTTAGTGTGGACCACTGGGCTGCATTGATACTTGTATTCATTTGTGTATGTTTTCACCTGTTCTAGACATGTTGGTGAGAATGTCATGCAGGTTTGTAAGTATATGTTTAACCAACATTTTATTGAGGCTTAATCATTTCAGAGTGTTGACCAATTATTTAATTAAGTAACATATGTCATTCATTTATTCATTCAACAGATCTTATGTCAGGTGCTGGGTTTACACCAATGAAGAAAAAAAAAGTCTCGTCTCCCATGCACTTTTTTTTTTTTGGGACGGAGTTTCACTCTGCCACCCAGGCTGGAGGGCAGCTCACTGCAACCTCTGCCTCCCGAGTAGCTTAGATTACAGGCATGCGCCACCATGCCCAGGTAATTTTTGTATTTTTAGTAGAGACGGGTTTTCACTATGTTGTTCAGGATGGTCTCGATTTCTTGACTTCAGTGATCCACCCACCTCGGCCTCCCAAAGTTCTGGGATTACAGGCATGAGCCACCGCGCCCAGCCATGTCTCCCAGGCACTTTGCATTGTAGTGGGAGAGACAACTGATAAACAAATAAACAAATAAATATAAAATAGGGCTAATGGTGAAAATGCTATAAAACAGGATATGGGTGTATTAATTTCTTATTTCTGCTCTAACAAATTACCTAAAACTTAGTGGATTAAAAGAATACAAATATTCTCTTACAGTTCTGGGGGTCAGAAGTCTGAAATGAGTCTTATGGGGCTAAACTCAAGGTGTCAGCAGAGCTGTTTTCCTTCTGGAGGCTCTGGGGAGAATTTGTTTCTTTCTCTTTTCCATCTTCTAGAAGCAGATCTCATTCCTCGCGCATGGCCCACATCACATCACCTCTTCTCGCCCTGTTTCCATCATCCCATTGCCTTCTTCCGACTCTCCTTGCATTTCTCTTGTAAGGAACTTTGCGATTAGATTGGACCCACAAGGATAATCCGGGATAATCTCCTCATTTTAAAATTCTTAGTTGAATCACATTTGCAAGTCCGTTTGTCACATAAAGTAATCTGCAGCTTCTGGGAATTCGGACATGGCCATATTTGGCGGATGGAGAGTGACGGTAAGTAGGCGCGAGGCAGTAGTGTGGCTGCAGTGGGTGAGCCAGGGAGGCAAGGTGGTAGGAGATGAGGCTGGAGAGGTGCAGAGGCACAGACCATGATCACAGCAGTCCTTAGGGGCCACTAGGGGAACCTCACTCACTCTGAGTGACAGCGGGAGGCATTGGGCGATTTTGGAAGGAACAGTATGGCCACCTTTTTATAACAGGCTGTAGCTGGGACGGGTAGACACAGTAACAGGGAAAAACAGTTTAGAGGCAACTGACAAACTTCAGGCAAGAGATGAGGGTGCGTTACTGTGACAGCAGTGGAGCATTGGGATTGTTTTGAAGGGAAAGCCCAAGCATTTTGCTGAAGAATTTGATGTGGGTGAAAAGAAAAATAAAGAGCCATGGTTGACTCTAGAGATTATAGTGAGCTATGGACCCCTTCTCAGAAAATGTGCGAATGAGAAAGCTGATATTCGCTAATGTGTCTGTATGTATGTATGTTAAAGAGAGGGGATGGGTGGTGAGAGAGATGGAGAGAGAAAAAAGCATTCTAGTATTTTGTTTAATGCAAAGGAAGAAAGTATTCTGATAATGGTTATTGCAAAAGAAAATGGTACAAATAAACACCATTTGTCCTATACATAATTTATGTCATTTATTATGGAAGCGGAATATGTCTTAGAGCAGGTTTTTGTTTTCGTTTTTGTCTTGAGACAGGGTCTCACTCTGTTGCCCAAGCTGGAGGGCAATGGTGCAAACACAGCTCATTGCAGCCTCAATCTCCTGGGCTCAAGCCATTCTCCCGCCTCAGCCTCTAGAATAGCTGGGACCACAGGTGTGCACCACCATACCCATCTAATTAAATTTTTTGTTTGTTTGTTTGTTTGTTTGTAGAGACAGGGTCTTGCCCCGTTGCCAGGGCTGTTCTTAAACTCCTGGGCTCAAGTGATTCTCCCACCTCAGCCTCCCAAAATGCTAGGATTACAAGCAGAAGCCACTGTGCCCAGCCCCTAGAGCAGGTTTTGAAGTCTGGTTGCATGGATTTGAAACCTACTTTAGCAGATTAATTTCTGTTAAATTATTGAGCTTCTCTCAGCCTCAATTTCCTCATTGATAAAATGGACATTATGATACCTTCCTCATAGGGTTATTATAAAGATTAAATAAGATAATGCTTATAAGTTGCTTAATATAGTATCTGACATATGGTAAATGTCAATATATAGGAGCCTAAATTATTACTTATTGTGATAAATTGGAACCATTCAGGAAATGACGTTTTATTTTAAGCATAGTGCTTTGCAGCAAGCATTCAGTAAATATCCTACTGGGTTTTTCAAACATGAGCAATACAATATTGTGGAAAGAGCAGTGGTCAGGGAATTCTAACACAACTTTGTCAATACTTTTGCATAAAATGTCCCTGGACCCAAATTTCTTCATCCTTGAAAGGAATCTTTCCTAGATCTTACAGTCTTAGATTCCAAGGTGTATGGCTCCAACTCCTGGTCAGTGTGTACATGTGTATATGGCACCACCTATTATCCACTCTAAGATACTGCTCAACACTGACTATGGTTTCTAGATTTGGCTGTGGTTGGAAAAGTTGACATAAGAACAACACTCCTGTCCACACTCAGCTCACGTGAAGCCTGTCCCTTGGAAAGTATCTGCAGCTTCAGAGCCTATCTCTGATAGAACACTTATAGGGCCCTCATGCGGGGATGCACAGGTTGTGCACTGAACAAGTTTAGGGGGCACTATTCACAGAAAATGTAAATGTCCTGTTGAAGTCAGGCAACAGAACAACACTGGTTAATACTTTTTAGACTCATAGCCCATAATTATTCTAAAGGAATTATTCACTATAATTTGGCTCAGCATAGTAAAGTGCTCCAGAATTGTCGTAATTACTATTATTGCCATAGCAGAGGTGCCTGATGTGGTTATAGGGGTCATGGTATTCAAAATGGGGCACTCAACATAATCCATGTGGTGTTAGAATACTATAATTAGAATGAAAAATAATAAGCAACATTTCTATTGAACTTTTATCTAACCACCTTAAATGTTAATATTTTATATATTTTACAATGAGCACAGTGTACTCTTACAGTAGTATATACATATATAATTTGTAAGTGAGTAAATATACATATATTGTGGGTAAATGTTTTATATTGATAGGGATATGCAATTTTAAAAAAACATTACTGATTTGTAGGCTTTCCTTCCTTTTCTGCTATGATCTGTGGGCCTGGACCTCTTTCCTTGGCCAAGAGCTGATGAGAACAGATCCCCTTACTTCCTAGGTTCTTCCTGGATGCTTTCATAAGCAACACATTTAGTGCATTTACCTTGGAGGCAAACAAAGTTTTATCATTGCAGGTGAGAAACTTATAAAATCCCCTTGAGGAAATGAGATAAATGAAGCTGGATTGGGATGTTGAGATGTGGCTCAAAGGACGTCCCAGGCAGTGGGCTCAGCAGAAGCAGAGTCACAGCCAACACTCACATGTGTATGGCAAGGTCCATTTGGTTGAGTGGGTCAGAAGGCCCACATAGGTGAAGAGCAGATGACGAAGTTGAATAACTAAGAGTGCTGCCTTTCACTGCAAACTAAGGGGCTTGGATCTTATCCTGAGAGCAACCAAGAGTAATAGAATGTTCTGAGGAGGATACCATGAGCAAAACAATGTTTAGGACAGCAAGCAAATTAAAAAGAATTTCCACCTACCAGCTAGAACAGAACCAAACAGACATCATGCTTTGTTTCAAAGATTAGTTCAAGTATTTAGATATAAATATATCATATATCATTAACACTGTATCTCTTCAACTGATCATCTGGATGTGTCCACGTATTTAAATCTGTGGCTTCATATAAACCAATTTTCGTGGAAAAAGCTAGCTGGTGTGATGCTGATTTATATATTATCTATCTGTGTATCCAGCTACTTTATATTTTGTGAGGGTAAGGGGGAGATATATGGATTCAGCACAAGGTTTTGATTGTTATTTTAGTATAGTTTCCAGTTTAAAAAGTGTGTTTGCATGGGGTGAGATAGCCTGGCTGGACTCACTTAATTAGAGTGCTGGGAACACAATCAAGGCCCAGTTTTATTCAAAATTATTTTCTAGGTGCCCATATGAACTGGTTTGCTTTGTGAATCAATGCCATTAATCAAAGACTCTCAGAATCTTAGCACTGTGCCAAGAATGTGGAAAGTCAGAGGAGTGAACCAACCTTCCTAAGGCTGCCTGCAAATCACTGGCAAGCTAGTACATTGGGCTGTCCATCCAGGGGATTTTTCTTTATATCGGCATTCCTAGCCTGGGAATATATTCATATGTTCATGAATATGCTTCAGAAGGTTGAGGAACATTCTAGAACCCTATGCAAAAATATTTGTGCCAGATGATTTCAGGAGGGTCCATGAACTCTCAGAAATGTTAACTATCACTGTGATGCTTTCCACTTTCCCTGCCTGGGTACTCACACCTTGTGTGCCCATGTGGGAGGGGTAGAATAAGCTATGGGGTGAAACAAATCCTTTTCTAAGCCTTTTAGCACCTTTAGGAACCATGGGAAGAAACCTTCATGAAAGAATAATAAAGAAGCATCACCAAATAATCATGTGAGAGTTATGTTAACTCTGAAAATGAAAGTGATGTGATACTCTGAAATACATATCCCCAAATTAGGGCCCATATTTTTTTCTAAAGAATGTTTTGCAATTTTTCCCCCAAGAGACTACAAACTCAATGTCAATGCATGCACTACTAATCCCATCATCCTGGACAGCATCACTAATTGTACAAACTAAAACTTCTGAATAACTTGGATTTGCATTTCTCCTTTACTTTCAATAGTGCAATCGATTTCACCTCTGAAAATATTCTCTCCTCTTCATCTTGGCCACTACTGATCAGTGTCATCTTGACCACAGCTGTTTAACTGGTCACTCTGCCTCTAGAGTCATCCATCTCCCTAGGATCCCCCCTCCCCCCACCTAGCCACAGGAATGATCCACATGTGTTTCTTTTTTTTTTTTTTTCTTTTAAGTTCAGGGGTACATTAGCAGATTTGTTATATAGGTAAATTTGTGTTATGGGGGTTTGTTGTACAGATTATTTCATCACTCAGGTATTAAGCCTATTCCCATTAGTTATTTTCCCTGATCCTCTCCCTCCTCCCACCCTCTACCCTCCGATAGGCCCCAGTGTGTGTTGTTCCCCTCTATTTGTCTGTGTGTTCTCATCATTTAGCTCCCACTTATGGGTGAGAGCATGCGGTGTTTGGTTTTCTGTTCCTGCATTAGTTTGCTAAGGATAATGGCCTCCAGCTCTACCCATGTTCCTGCAAAGAACATGATCTCGTTCTTTTATGGTTGCATAGTATTCCATGGTATATATGTACCACATTTTCTTTATCCAGTCTACCATTTATAGGCATTCAGGTTGATTCCATGTCTTTGCTATTGCGAATAGTGCTGCAAAGAACTTATGCATCCATGTGTCTTTATGATAGAACAATTTATATTCCTTTAGGTATATACCCAGTAATGAGATTGCTGGGTAGAAGGGTCATTCTGTTTTTAGGTCTCTGAGGAATCACCACCACACTGCTTTCCACAAAGGCTGAACTAACTTACACTCTAATCAACAGTGTATAAGTGGTCATTAATCTCTGCAACTTTGCCAGCACCTGTTATTTTTTGACTTTTTAATAATAGCCATTCTGACTGGTATGAGATGGTATTTCATTATGATTTTGATTTGTATTTCTCTAATAATTAGCGATAAGCTTTTTTTCATATGGTTGTTGGCCCCATGTATGTCTTCTTTTGAAAAGTATTCATGTCCTTTGCCCACTTTTTAATGGGATTGTTTTTTTCTTGTAAATTTGTTAAATTTATATGAAAAAAAATTTAAGTTCCTTTTAGATGCTGGATATTACATCTTTGTCAGATACATAGCTTGCAAAATTTTTCTCCTGTTCTGTAGGTTGTTTACTCTGTTGATAGTTTCTTTTGCTGTTCAGAAGCTCTTTAGTTTAATTAGATCCCATTTGTGAATTTTTGCTTTTGTTTCAACTGATTTTGGCATCTTTGTCATGAAATCTTTGCCTGTTTCTATGCCCAGAATGGTATTGCTTAGGTTGTCTTCCAAGGTTTTTATAGTTCTGGGCTTTACATTTAAATCTTTAATCTATCTTGAGTTGATTTTTGTATATGAAATAAAGAAGGGGTCCAGTTTCAATCTTCTGCATATGGCTAGACAGTTATCCCAGCACAATTTATTGAATAGGGAGTCCTCTCCCCATTGCTTGTTTTTGTCAGCTTTGTCGAAGATCTGATGGTTATAGGTGTGCGGCCGTATTTTGGGGCTGTCTATTCTGTTCCATTGGTGAATGTGTCTGTTTTTGTATCAATACCATGCTGTTTGGGTTACTGTAGCCTTGTGTATATTTTGAAGTTGGGTAGCATGATGCCTCCAGCTTTGTTCTTTTTGCTTAGGGTTGCCTTGGCTATTTGGGTTCTTTTTTGGCTTCATATGAATTTTTAAATAGTTCTTTTTTTTTAGTTCTGTGTAGAATGTCACTGGTAGTTTGATAGGAATAGCATTGAATCTATAAATTGCTTTGGGCAATATGGCCATTTTAATGATATTGATTCTCCTTGTACACAAGCATGGAATGTTTTTCCATTTGTTTGTGTCCTCTCTGATTTCTTTGAGTAGTGTTTTATAATTCTCATTGTAAAGATTTTTCACCTGTCTGGTTAGCTGTATTCCTAGGTATTTTATTCTTTTGTGGCAATCATAAATGGGATTGCATTCCTGATTTGGCTCTCAGCTTGACTGTTGTTGGTGTATAGGAATACTAGTGATTTTTGTACATTGATTTTATATCCTGAAACTTCACTGAAGTTGCTTACTAGCTTAAGGAGCTTTTGGGCCAAGACTATGGGGTTTTCTAGATATAAAATCATGTCATCTACAAACAGGGATAGTTTGACTTTCTCTGTACCTATTTGGATGCCTTTTATTTCTTTCTCTTACCTGATTGTTCTGGCAAGAACTTCCAATACTATGTTGAATAGGAGTGGTGAGAGAGGGCCTTCTTGTCTTGTGCTGGTTTTCAAAAGGTATAGTTCCAGCTTTTGTTCATTCAGTATGATGTTGGATCTTGCCTTGTCACAGATGGCTCTTATTATTTTGAGGCATGTTCCTTTGATACCTAGTTTATTGAGAGCTTTTAACATGAAGGGATGTTGAATTTTATCAGAAAGCCTTTTCTGCATCTATTGAGTTAATCACGTTTTTTTGTCTTTAGTTCTGTGTATGTGATGAGTCACATTTATTGATTTGCATATGTTGAACCAACCTTGCATCCCAGGGATAAAGCTTACTTGATCATGGTGGATAAGCTTTTTGATGTGCTGCTGAATTCAGTTTGCCAGTATTTTGTGGAAGATTTTTGCATTAATGTTCATCATAGATATTGGCCTGAAGTTTTCTTTTTTTGCTGTATCTCTGCCAGGTTTTGCTATTAGGATGATGTTGGCCTCATAGAATGAGTTAGGGAGGAGTCCTTCCTCTTCCATTTTTTGGAAGTTTTAGTAGGAATGGTACCAGCTCTTCTTTGTACATCTGGTAGGATTCAGCTGTGAATCTTTCTGGTCATGGGCTTTTTTTTCTTTTTTTGTTTTTTTGGCAGGCTATTTATTACCGATTCAATTTTGGAACGCATTATTGGTCTGTTCAGGGATTCAGTTTCTTCCTGGTTCAGTCTTGGGAGGGTGTATGTGTCCAGGAATTTATCAATTTTCTTCTAGATTTTCTCATTTGTGTGCATAGGGGTGTTCATCGTATTCTCTGATAGTTATTTGTATTCCTGTGGAGTCAGTGATAATATCCCTTTTGTTGTTTCTAATTGTGTTTATTTGGATCTTCTCTCTTTCACATGTGCTTCTTTAGAGCACATCAGACCATGCCATTCCCCTGATTTTAGTTATGCAGTAGCTCCCTATTGCTCCAGGAAAAAGGCCAGGATGGAGCGAATGCATAAAAGTTTTTCATGATACTCAGACTTTTAGCTAAGACTTCATTACTTGTCACTCCTCATTCACCCTGTGTCTTAAAAACATTCACTAGCCTGTACTTCCCTGCACACTTCATGGTTCTGGGCCTTTGCTCCAGTTGCCCTCTTTCAATGCTTTTCCTTCCTGTCCTTTCAAATGCAGCCTAGAAGTCACCTTTTCAGGAGGGCTTTCCTCGTCCCTCCCTAAAAGGCTGGGCTGTGTTGGCTCTGCACTCCTTCATTGTTCTTACCTTAATGTATTAGTTTGCCAGGACTTCTGCAATAAAGTATCTCAAACTGGGTGGCTTAAACAACAGAACTTTACTTTCTCACAATACTGGAGGCTAGAAGAGCAAGATCAAGGTGTTGGCAGGGTTGGTTTCTTCTGAGTCATCTCTCCAAGGCTTGTAGATCACCATCTTCTTTCTCTCTGTGTCTTCACATGGTCTTCCCCCTGTGCATGTTTGTGTCCTAATCTTCTCTTCTTATAAGAACACCAGTCATTTTGGATTAGGGCTCACCCTAATGACCTCATTTTAACTTAATCACCTCTTTAAAGACCCTATCTTAAATGCAGCCACATTCCAAGGGTTTAGGATTTCAACATACAAACTTGGGGGGTATGTATACAATTCGGGCCATAACATTAAATGCTATGATTACTTGTTTATATCTTTATATCTCCCTAGCTGTGAACTCCTGAAGGAAGATCTGCCTCCATTCTCATATACTTGGTCCATTGGCATACTTAAAATGATGGTTGAATGAAGGAAGGAGGGAGGAAATAAGTTACCCCCAGGAATCTCCAGGGTAATGAGGGAGGAGGAAGCCTTGGGCCAGTGGCTGGCAGCAGTAGTAAGAGTGGTAGTCCAAGCCCTCTGTATCAGCTTTGTAGGGTTGCTGTAACAAATTACTGAAAACATGGTGTTTTAAAACAACAGAAACTTATTCTCTTACAGTTATTGAGGCCAGAGTCTAAAGATAGGGTATTGTCAGGGCCACACTCCTTCTGAAGGCTCTAGGGGAGAGTTCTTTCTTGTACTTTTTAGCTTCTGTTGGCTTCTGGCAATCTTTGGCTTGTGGTTGCATCACGCCAGTCTCTGCCTCCTTCATCACATGGCCTTCTCCCTGGTGTTCCTGTATCTGTTTCCCCTTATCTTCTCTGATAAACACTTGGGATTGGATATAGGGCCACCTTAACTCAGGATGATTTCATCTCAAGATCCTTAGCTTAAATTATATCTACAAATACGCTTTTTCCAAATAAGGTCATATTTTCAGGTTCCAGGTGGACATAACTTTTTTAAGGCCACTCTTCAACCCACTACTGTCTGAAGGAAGAATGAGTTGGATTGAATGGGAACCCCCAGACATGGGCAGCCAGTTCCAGAATCCATATTTCCCCCTTGATGCAAGGGACTATGTAAGAATTTAGTGGACTGTTTGTATCTTCATCTCTTTAGTTCTCAGGCACTCATTAGAATGCCTGGCACATTCCTAGCATCATCCTGAAGTTGGACAGAAAGCCAGTACGCTGAGTGCTTATTTGATCTTTTGAGCTCTAAAGGGACATTGGAGTCAAAGGGCTTGAGGATTTGCACAGCAACTGGGGTTAGACACTGCAAGGAGCAGCCTGTGGAAGCCATGTGGCTAGAACTAATTCAGTGCATCCTTGTTCCTGGGCCTGCCTTTGTATTTCTGCATTAATATGATTTACTGAACACTGTTTTGTCAACAGACACAGAAGCCAAACTAGACGTGGTGATCAGGAGAAAAGGTTCAGTGTCAACCCTGCGGGAGAGAATATCAGCTGGCCAGGATGTGGCTTCCAATCAGAATATCAAGGGGGAGATAGTGTTAGACTAGTCGGTGGGGGTCATTTTTTGAACTCCCATTTTTTAAAGGGCAATTTACCAGACTATCAGCTCCTTGGGGAACGAATCTTGTTTCTTATCTCGGTAGCTCCGTGTCCTGTGGGGGCACTGAGCTTGTTGTAGTGGGGACTCGGTAAATTTGGTCAAAGTGAACTAAACAGTTATCCCTGAGACCCTCAGCTAGCCTTCATTCAACCAGTGGAGTAAAGACCATCCCTTGGAACGAAATTGCAAATTGGATACTCAATTCCCCTGCTGTAAACCTTCCCTATTGCCAACATGATCAAGTTCACCTTTGAGCGTCCCATTACAAAGCCTTTGCATGTTCTGCCCCTAGCAACCTAATGGCTTCTCTAATTCCATCTCCCACCATGCTCTACCTCACTCACCGTGTCCCAGGAGTACTGAGCTCTCCACAAATAGGATGCTGTTCTGCTCCATCCAGCTTTGCCCATGCTGATACCTCTGCCTACAACACCTTCTCCTCTCCTTCATCTGGTTAAATCCTCATCTTTCTGAACTCATTTTCCCTGGGAAGCAGTTTCTGAACCTTCAGATCATTCTAGGTATTCTCCCTCAGTGCCTGCCTTCATTTTAGCACCTCTTACCTCATTTTAAAATTATCTGGTTAAGTGTGTATCTCCCCCAGTCTATTACAAGACTGAAAGCTCCACAAGGAAAGCACTTTCCAGCTACATCTTATTCAACCATGTACCCCCCACAGTTAGCACAAAGTCTGGTCCATAGTCAGGGCTCATAAATATGTGTTGATTTAAACCAAATTGGTTATGGGGGGCGGGGGATAGTTCAGTTTGCTTTTGGAAGGAAAGCTTCTTGGTGTGTTCTGGGAAATTTGGTCAGTATTCAAGCAAAGATCCTTGAGTACCTGCAGCTATTGATATTTGACTTTAGGGTAGAGTGGGGTCTATGGCAAGTCCTGGTGACAAACCAGCTAGTCAGGGAGAAAACAGAGAAGGAAAATTCATACTCAGGCATCCTGTGATTTTGTAAATGGGAAAAAGGGGATATAGTGAGTAAAAAATAGAGGTGCTCCCACATAGAAACAGGATTTTGACAAGTCCTGTTGAGCAGCAGCAGGTTTTGGAACCCAGCTGACATTGCCCCCTGCCCCCGCTTTGAATAGGTTGATTGTTTGCCTGGTTCTAAGTTTGAAAAGTACAAAAGATAGAGTTGCTTCCCAACCATACTCCTTCAGACACCTCATTTCCATTTTCAGAGGCAGTCCCTTCTACACATTTCATTAATATGCCCCTTGAGACATTTTATGTGCATTCCAGCAAATATGTGTACAAGTTCGTATATTTGGAATTCTCTCCTTTTTTAATTTTATTTGACACAAATGCATTATACCATATGCCCTAGTATGTATGTTGCTTTATGGGGCCAACAGTATTGGGATATAATTTACATACATTAAAAGTCCACAATTTTAAGTGTGCATTTGAGGGAGTTTTGACAAATGTATACAGTCATCTAACCATCACCATAATCATGATGTGGCACATTCCCATCACCTCAAAAGGCTCTGTCTTACCTCCTTTGCTGTGAGTCCCTTCCCAGACACCTCCTGCCTCCTAGAAGGATCTTTCTATTATTACAGTTTTTGCTTTTAAAACATATTGTATAAATAGGCTTAAACTCTGTGTAATCTTTTGTGTGTGGTTTCTTTCATAATGCTTTTGAACTCACCATGTTGGTACGTAAATCAGCAGTTGGTCCCTTTTTATTACTGAGTTGTATTCCATTGTGTGAATGTATTGTGCTACAACTTTTTATGCATTCAGCAGTTGAGGGCACTTGGATTCTTTTCCAGTTTTTGGCTGTTAAAAATGAGGCTGCTATAAAGATTTATGTGTAAGCTTTTGTGTTGATTATGTTTTATATTTCATTTGGGTAAATATTTAGAAGTGGAACTATTTAGTTATATGGTTAGTGAATGTTTAACCTTTTTTTTAAAAAAAAAAAAAAACCTTGAAAATTGTTTTCAAAGTGGCTGTCAAAATTTGTATGAGATTTCTAGCTACTGCCTTTCCAGGATTCAGCATTGCCAGTTTTTTAAGTTTGAAGCATACTGATAAATATATCACGGCATTTCACTAAATTGTAGCTTTAATTTTTATTTTTCTAGTGACTAATTAGGCTGAGCATCTTTTCATGTACTTATTAGTCATCCTTCTGTCTTCTTTGGTGAAGCACCTATTCAAATATTTTGCTTATTATTTTAGCATTTGATCTTATTACTATTAAATTTTAAAACCTCTTTATATAGTCAAGACAATTTCTTTATACATGTTTTGCAAATAGTTTATAAGTATGGCCTGACTTTTCATTTTCATGACAGTGTCTTTTGAAGAGCAGATCTTTTTTGTTTCGGTGAAACCCATTTATCAATTCTTTAATGCTATGGTTTGTGTTTTTTGTGTGCTATCTAGGAAATGTTTGTCTAACCCAAGGTCACAAAGATTTTTTGTTTTCTTCCAGAACTTTTATAGATCTGGTTCTATCATCCACTTCAAGTTTATTTTGTATATGGTACAACATATGGATTTATTTTCTTCCCTTTCCTCCCTCCCTTCTTCTCTTCCTTCATTCCCTTTAATGTCAAATACATCGATTAATTTTCAAATGTTAAACAAATCTTGCATTTTTGGGCTAAACCCCACTTAGTAATGATTTATTATTATTTTATAGACTTCTAAATTTGACTTGCTACAATTTTGTTGTTGAATTTACAACAATGTTGTTGATATGTTGTTGATATGTAGAATGTTGTAGATATGTTTCTAGATTTGATTTGCTACAATTTTGTTAAATATTTTTGCATATTCATGAGAAATATTCAGGTGTATTTGTCTGGATTTAATATTAGGATAATGCCCACCTAGAATGAGATGGGAATGTGTTTCCTCTTCTATTTTCTGAAAGAGTTTTTGTGGAAGTGATACTATTTCTTCCCTAATAGTTTGGTAGAATTCACTAGTAAAACTATCTTTACTAGAGATTTCTTGGTGGGAAGGTTTTTCCCCTTGCAAATTCAGTGAATTTAATAGATATAGGGATATTCAGGTTATTGCTTTCTTTGTCACTGAGTTTGATAATTTGTTTCCTTCAAATTATTTGCTGTTTAAATTGTTGAATTTATTGTCAATTCTCTCTTCATATTTTCTTCTATCTTCTTAAACATAAGATGTATGTTTATATAGCAGTTTTAATGTCCTTATATACTAATTTTGATCATTTTAACCATATATGGGTTTATATTGATATTTTTCATGCTTGGTTATGAGTTGCATTTTCTTAGTTATTTGCATACACTAGTAATATCTTTTGGCTGCCAGACATACTGAATTTTATGTTGTTGTATACTGGATTTTGTTGTGTTCCTTTAAAAAGTGTCAGGCCTCATTCTGGGATATAGTTAAGTGACATAGAATGAATTTAATCCTTTTGAGCCTTGCTTTTAAGCTTTGTAGAAGTGGGTCCAGAAACGCCCTAGTCTACAGCTCATGTGGCTTCATTACCGAAGCAATGGCCTTCCGAGGACTCTGCCCAATGCCCTGTGTACTAGGAGGTCTTTCCACTCTTCCTACTGGGAACACAAATTATTACCAGCCCTGTGTAAGATCCTGGGATTGCTTCTTTTATGCATCTCTAGTTCTTTCCCCATACTTGATAGTTTTCTCCCATGCACATGCAGATCAGGACTTAGTCAAAGATTCAAGGGGACTCCTCTGCACATCTCAAGAGTGCTCTCTAAGCTCTCTCTCTCTGTTAGGAACTGCATCTCCTCTGGTATTTAGATCTGTAAATTCTATCTGCCTTGACCTTCCCGAACTCCAAACTCCATTGTCTGCTCAACTCAGAGAGACTGTCAGGCTGTGTTTGGGTCCCGTGTATCCTATTCCTAATGTCTGAAAACCATCATTTCATATACTTTGTCTGTTGGTACTGTTGTATTTGTTAAGGGTAAATCTGGTTTCTTTTACTCTGTCAGGCCAGAAGTGGAGGTTGTTGCAATTGACTCTAAGATCTCCATTTATCTTGAGTTGCTTCTCTGTTCTTCTGGAATATTGCCCTTTTGGGTTCAAGAATGAGTTGGAGTTTGGCATGTAGTCATAAAGTTCAACTGGACTAAAATCCAGTGATAATAATCATTAAAGTGACATTGTGAGATGACAGCTATAGCAACATATTTTGGCCTTCTGACAAAAAACTCCTTTCTGACCCTTGTTTCCATTCTCTTTAAAGATATGCTGTCTTTTTCAAAGTCTTTATCTTCCACTTTAAGATAAAGATACAAAATAAAGACTTTGCAAAAGGCAGCATACCATTTTTCAGCAATGAGAAAACAGGGAAACAGATGCCTCAGCCAGTCATTCACTGACACAGCCTAAGTGCAATGTCACTTCATCTTTTAACCTCTTACCATTCAAGCCTCTGATGATTCTATGAATTTCTTTAGAAAACTCTAGAAAAAATGGAATTTATTGTTGCCAAAATGAAGTCCCATTCTCCAGCTACCTTCCAATACTCAGCCCCAAGTGTTGAGAATCTATTTGTGCATGAATTGTGATGCGTACCTAGGAAAATGCGCTGATCAGCAGCTCTGCTCCTAGATGGGTAACACTCCCTCAAAAGTATGACAGACTCTCCCTGTGCATGAAGCATGTGTTTCAGGCATGGAACCAAGTGATTTGTGCAATCTTGTGAGGACAAAGGTTAGAAAACTGGGCTCGAAGGCATGTCCCACTTTTATGCTTTATAAGCAGTGCCCTTCTGCCTCCCTTCACGAGCCTGGGGGTCAGCAGAAGGGCAGGGCCTGTCAGAGGCTGTCAGCCTCCATGCACAGGGCACCATGGACAACAGTAACATGGCAACAGCTTAAATAAATAAGACAGTACATTGTTTAAGAAACAACTAATGTTCTGAGGTTTCAGTGATAACAACCACAAAGTAAACATGCAAGGTGGTAAGAAATACCTGGCATGAATGCCTTTTGTTAAAAGTTGAACCACAAGTGCATTTTTTTTTACACTCTACTGAAGTATTTTTGTTATATTCTTCTTTGGTGGCAAGAAAGGAAAGAATATGGTGAGTAATCTTTTATATTTACAATAGCAGCTCTCTATAAACTGGCTTGGTTCTTCTAGAACTGCACTATTCAAAATGGTAGCCATTAGCGCATGTGGCTGTTTAAATTTAAATGAATTACAGTGAAATAAAATTAGAAATGCAGCTCCTCAGTCACACCAGCCACATCTCAAGTGCTCTACAGCTACAAGTGGCTAATGGCCACTGTGTTGGAAAAGGCAGCTTCTGTCATCACAGAACATTCTGTAGGACAGTGCTATTACAGGGAGATCTGGGTTCAGATCTGGCTTGAAGACCAATCAGTTCTGTGGTCACAGGCTCTTCCCTGGGTCTTTATTCTTGTCTGAATATAAAAGGTGGAGTGATGGGATTTAGTGAGACAGATGAGTTTTCATGTCCACAAAATAAAGAAACCATTGGAGAAAAGTATTCACACTGAAAAAGAACATCTGTGATACAACTTGGTATGAATCTATTGGTTTGAAATGATAACTATTAGGCAAAGCAAACAGCCCTTACAAATCTCCATAAAGCTGTCAAAATCCAATGGCCACGTCCAGGCCCATTAAGTGTCTCTCTTTGGCCAAGAGGAACCATCAAAGCTGCAGAAACTTTGAGGACTGAGGATGTTGCCCCTCTAGTCTCTAAGGCCAAATGCAACATTAAGCCTGGAACCAAGACACAGACATCAGGACAGTGCACTTGACCACCCTTCTCAGTCAAAACAACTTGTTGGCTGGGCGTGGTGGCTCACGCCTGTATTCCCAACACTTTGGCAGGCCAAGGCGGGCAGCTCACAAGGTCAGGAGATCGAGACCATCCTGGCCAACATGGTGAAACCCAGTCTCTAATAAAACACACAAAAACATCAGCCAGGCATGGTGGTGCATGCCTGTAGTCCCAGCTACTTGGGTGGCTGAGGCAGGGGAATTGCTTGAACCCGGGAGACAGAGGTTGCAGTCAGCTATGATTGCACTACTGCACTCCAGCCTGGTGACAGAGCAAGACTCCGTCTAAAACAAACAAACAAACAAACAAACAAAAACAAAAACAAAAATCTATAAAGGTGATGGTTAAGCAATTCTCTTGTGAGTGTGGTGAGTTCTTATTCCATAATAAAAATTTTATAGCTGCAAGAATGAGCCTCTCGTCTATTGCCTATTCCTTCCTATGTCTCTCTTTAATATGTCAAATCAACAGGTTGATAAATCTTTATAGAACCCGCACTCTGTACCTAATGTGCAGATACTGCAAGAGATAAGAAAACAGTCCAAGTTGGGGGTTCGTTCTTTCTGTGGGGCTGTGACCAGTTGGTTCAGGAAGAAGGATTCACAACATGAAGGACTTAGGAATTAATGCTAGAGTTCTGGTGGAATCAGGTTCTAGAGCATATAATGCTCAGTACTGAATAACCACTGAAGGCACGCAGAGATGGAACAGGACTGGATTTTTCAAGGAAGCTTTCATGAAGGAAGCAGGCTTTAAGCTCTGAAAAAAAATGCAGGCACCAGGGTGGCAGGTAGGATCAGGGAAGAGATTCCAGGCCTCAGCAATTACATTGTCCTACCCAATCCTGTGCTGCTTTAAGAGGAGGTTTAGCATAGTGGATCAAAGCATACACTCTCAAGCAAGAGCGTGTGGGTTCAAATTCTGATTTTGTCATTTATTAAGTCTGTGATCTTGGGCAATCTACTTAACCTTTCACTAGATTGCTGTGAGGATTAAATGAGTTTATATATGTAAAATTCTAGGCACAAAATAAGCACCATACAACTATTAGCACCCCCACTCCCACCCCACCCTCTTTTTTCACAGAGATTGTTTTTACTTGTATTTACATTGAGAATCTCTTAAAAGTAACCTCAATAATTTTACAAGTAATTTCCATAATTGTCAGTTTGATTTCTTTAATTAAAAAAATTTTTAATAAGTAAATACACCGTATTTAGGGCAAACCAACTTGCATAATCATCCTGATGGATGCCTCAGCTCTTCTTACCAAAATACTCATGTCAGCAGGGCCCTGGACAGGATCTGCTTCACCATATTTGAGACTCAAAGAGACTGACTATGCCTCCTAAATTATACCACAGAAACTATTTGGTTTAGAAAGATGTCTCTGTAGTATCAGTGTTCTCCTCTTGTTTTTTAATTTTTTTATTTTTAATATTTGCTGGGAAAACTACATATTCATATGCAGAAGAATGAAACTAGACCCCTATCTCTCACCATATACAAAAATCAAATCAAAATTGGATTAAAGACTTAAATCTAAGACTTCAAACTATGAAACTACTACAAGAAAACATTGAGGAAAATCTCTAGGACATTGGTCTGACCAAACATTTATTGAGCAATACCCCACAAACTCAGGCAATCCTGTTCTTATGTGAGAGGGGTGATTATTATACTTCCACTTCCTCACTCCCTCTGGGAGGCAGACTGGCAGCATGGGAAGGGCATGCAGCTCTGAGTGCAAACTGACTTTAGTCTCAGTGGCTACTTGCAATCCGGGCAAACCTAGGCAGTGTCTTAACCTTATGGAGCCTTCTTTTCCTCATCTAAAATATGGGACATTAATGCCCACTTCACAGGCTTGTTTGGAACACTGAAATAGAATTTCCAACACAATACCTGGCATGTGTCTTGGCATGTGGAGGGAGCTCCCTCGAATGTCCCAACAGTTGAATTTACTATCACTGTTTCTGAGAAGCAGCCATATCACTGCCACTCAATTCTTCAGGCTATTTGTACATGAAAGAGGCAAAACTTCCTGCAGTCCAAACTGGCTCTGCCTACAGCAACAATAGCAAGTTTCCCAAATAAATTTAAATACAAAATTAAAGCAAATAATAGGAATAGCATGAATACATATCTGTTGCAAACCCTAACACATACACTTATATTTCTAATTTGTGTACAACCGTATGCAATGTGGCCTTGGTCTTGACAGTGCTAAGACAGGCTACACCCTTGTGTGATTATCTCTCCAGAAGGATAGAGGCAAGTGGATCATTCTCCACAACAGTGTTTGCATTGGTAAGTGGATTTAGAGGCAGACAAGAAAATCCACTCTAGTAAGCTTAAGCAGAGAGGGATTTATTACAGATTTGAGAAGCTCACAGGATTTCTACTTAGGGGTAGACACCAACCAAGCTTAAGTACTGCACATCCAGGTTGAGCCTGGAGAAACACTCAACCACACTCTGAGATTGTTCTAGAAAAAACCCCACAGCTTCCTGCTGTTGGCATCTATGGTACTAGGGACTGTGCACCAGAACTTCCAACACAGATGCAACCTGCAGAACCAAATGCCTCTGCCATGGTGTTCTCCTGTAAGATCACATGCAACTGCTGCTGAGTGTGGCTCCTTCTGCCAACCTGTTATCGCACATTATACCTTTTTTTTTGTGGAATCTGGAACACCTAGACTCTAGCTGCAAGGGAATCTGGGATTTTTTTCTTCCACCGTTGAGCCTTTATAGTACAAGAAGCCATACCAGGTAGGTTTGTAAAGGTTGTAGTGAGTCCCTCTGCAGTATCTGTCAAAGAACACAAGTTCACCTCCACTATGAAAGACTTCTCTGGTCCCCAGCCACCCAGATTCAGCAGGTCCCTCCAGATTGTGCCCATGGCACTTTGCACATATTCCAGACATTGTCTCCATTACATTGAATCAGTTATTTGTTCACACAAAGGTTTTCTTTGTTAAAATGAATCATGGAGGAGTAGGAAAGGCACAAGCTTTGGAAGTACAATTGAATTCAAATCTCAAATTTGCCGTTTACTAACTCTTTAGCCTTGGAGGAAATTCCTTAATATCTCTGATTATTGACATCTCTATTTATAGAATGTGGTATGATACCCACCACAGACACTTGCCATGAAGAGTGAAGTGCTTAACTGAATCACTGATGCATTACATGTGTTCAGGAGATGGAAAATTCCCTCTAAATCTTCTTATCATTAAGAGCAAAAATAATTTTAATTTCAACTTTGTATCTCTCTGGGTAGTTAAAATTCATGTCTGCTATATGCCAGATTTTCTGCTAGGTATTGAAATGATAAAAATGAACAAAAGTCTTGCAAGTGTTCTTAATATAGGTGGGAAGAGACATATCCAGACAAACACACACACACACACACACATACACAATGGTTATACAAAGTGATAATGTGTGGAGAAGGAGTGATTGATCTTTCAGGGGCAGGGAGAAAGCCCAGAAAGATTTCACAACTCAATGTGTGAGTTGGGTTGTAAAGGTCATGTAGGAATTTAGGTGGAACAAGGGAAGGGGAAGCTGACCAGGCAGTAGCAGTAATGTGAGGGTATTTGAGATCAACAAGTAGTTCATAAAATAGAGTCAGTAGAGCAGGGAGTTGGAAAGAGATGGGCACAGCTGGCTGTCATGAACTGGGACAAACTGCTCTAAACACCACTAATTGTGTAGGTTGTACCACATATGAGGGCACCTGGCTAGTTTGTAGGGGTGGGGATGGTTCTGGTATCCAGCCAAGTCAGCCCAAAAAGACAGTTGCCTGCAGGGCTGTCGCTTGAAATCAAATTGGCACCCTGCTGTGAAAGGTTTTGTGTGCCAAATTAAGGAGTCTGAAATTTACCTTGTAGGTAATGGGGAGTCATCAAAAGTTAAGCAGAATAGACTTAAGTACATTTGCCCACAAAAGCAACTCTGGTTCAATGAGAAGGATAGAAGCAAGCTGTATTAGTCTATTTTCACGCTGCTGATAAACACAAACCTGAGACTGGGAAGAAAAAGAGGTTTAATTGGACTTACAGTTCCACATGGCTGGGGAGGACTCAGAGTCACGGCAAGAGGAGAAAAGCACTTCTTACATGGCGGTGGCCAGAGAAAATGAGGAAGAAGCAAAAGCAGAAATTCCTGATAAACCCATCAGATTTTGTGAGACTTATTCACTGTCATGAAAATAGCATGGGAAAGACCAGTCCTCATGATTGAATTACCTCCCCCTGGGTCCCTCCCACAACACATGGGAATTCTGGGGGATACAATTAAAGTTGAGATTTGTGTGAGGACACAGCCAAACCATATCACAGGCAGACCAATTAGCAGGCTCAGATGAATAGAATGCAACATCATACCACTGGGGAGAGATGATAAGCGTCTGAATCAACATGAGTAGCAGTAAGAAAATGCAATGAGGATCATTTTGAAAACCATTTAGAAGGTAGAACTTCTGAGATATGCATGGTACCCAGCTGGATGTGGAAGACCATGTGGATTGTGACAGCAGAAATTAGGGAGGAGCAGATTGGTCTTTTTGGGGGGTGAGGAGGGTTTTCAACATTTTATTCTTCCCTTGAATTATATAAACTGATTTGTGCAGTAGGCAGGAAGGCATATGAGTATGAAGTTTAAAAGAGAAACAAGATCAGATACAGAGATCTCATTGACTTGTAGAGATAATAGCTATAGTCACTGATGTAAACAGAGTTGCCCCAAAAGAAGTAGAGTCCCCCAATAAGGCTTTCATGTACATTGTGCATAGTGGTATCCCAGTAAATAATTAACATTGGTCTCTGTGGTGTAGGGGGACTCCTATCTTTAGCATTTACTGATTTCTGTAGTGTAAGTTCTCCCACCATAGCTGATTTCAAGCTACCAATATGGCATCACTGAACAGGGAGTCGGAAAGAGATGGGCACAGCTGGCTGTCATGAGCTGGGACGAGCTGCTCAACACACCACTAATTGTGTAGGTTGTACCACATATGAGGGTACCTGGCTAGTTTGTCGGGGGTGCAGTGGTGGAGATGGTTCTGGCATCCAGCCCAGTCAACCCAAGAAGCCAGTTGCCTGCAGGGCTGCCTCTGCAAGGAGGGGAAATTTATTCTACATTATTTGTCCAGAAGGGGAACTTTTTCCCAATTCTGAGCCCAGAATTCAAGAGGGCTAAGTATGGAGCCCTGAGGAACACCAACATTTAAGCAACAGGGAAAGAAGACCCCTCAAAAAACACCATACAAGAGGGGTGGGCAGACAGGGCTCATATCTAAGCACTACCCCTTTCTAGTTTGATGATCTTAGTCAAATTACTTTCCTTCTCTGTGCCTCAGTTTTTACTATTTTTTACATTGAGGTAAAAATATACATAACGTAAAATTTAACATCTGCACCATTTTTAAGTGTACAGTTCAGTGGCATCAAATGTACTCAGACTGTTGTGCTACAATCACTACCATACACTCAGAGAACTTTTGTTTTGCACAATTCAAAGGCTGTACCTATTAAACAGTCACTCCCCATTCACCTCTTCCCATAGCCCCAGCCAATAACCACTTTACTTTCTGTCTCTGTGTTTGGCTACTCTAGGTACCTCATACAAAGGGCATCATACAGTAAGTTTCACCATGTTTTAAATGAGAAGACAACACCTTCCTTGTAAGAGTTGTAATCCTCAGATGGACTGTGAGGATTCCAGCTGAACACTTCACATCTCACACATGCCTAGCACAGAGAGGCACTCAGTAAAGGACAGCCACCAGCTCCCATGTGTGAGAGATGCGGTGCAAGATGCTTATGGGAGACATGAGGGGGAAAAAGACACTGTTCTTGCCTTCACAGGTCTTCAGCTCAGAAAGATTTTGTATTTACAAGTAACTATTATTAAATCAAAAAGTGAAATTTTTCAAAAGAAAAGTACTGATGGCCTGGCGCGGTGGCTCACGCCTGTAATCCCAGCACTTTGGGAGGCCGAGGCGGGCAGATCACCTGAGGTCAGGAGTTCCACACCAGCCTGGCCAACATGGCAAAACCCCATCTCTACTAAAAGTACAAAAATTAGCCGGGCTTGGTGGTTCACGCCTGTTTTCCCAGCACTTTGGGAGGCTGAAGTGGGCAGATCACCTGAGGTCTGGAGTTCCAAGCCAGCCTGGCCAACGTGGTGAAACACCGTCTCTACTAAAAATAGAAAAATTAGCCAGGCATGTTGGTGGGCACCTGTAATTCCAGCTACTCAGGAGGCTGAGGTGTGAGAATTACTTGAACCTGGAAGGCGGAGGTTTCAGTGAGCTGAGATGGCGCCACTGCACTCCAGCCTGGGTGACAAGAGCGAGACTCTGTCTCAAAAAAAGAAAGAAAGAAAGAAAGAAAAGAACTGACAATGTTCTTCGGGAATTTAGAAGATGAGATTGTCAATGGCTAAGAAAATCAGAGAAAAGTTTACAGAAAAGGGAACATCTCTTTGAAAGGTTTGGCCCAAATGGTAATAGCAAAAAAGGACCCTTTGTGAAGACAGACTGCATACACCAAAACATTGCACTGGTCATCTCAGGCTGCCATGACAAAACCACACAGACTGCATGGCTGAAGCAACAGAAACTTATTTTTTCACGGTTCTGGATAAAAGTTCACCATCAATGTGCCAGCATGATCAGTTTCTGGTGAAGACTTTCCTCCTGGCTTGCAGACAGCCACCGTCTTGCTGTATCTCCACATGGAAATGAAAGAGAAAGCTCTCTGGTTCTCTTCTTAAAAGGATAGTAAACCTATTGGATCAGGCCCCCGCCCTATGGCCTCATTCAGCCTTAATTACTTCCTTAGAGGCCCCAACTCCAAATATAGCCATAATAGTGGTTAGGGATTCAACATATGAATTTGTTGTCAGGGGTGTGGGGGAGACACAAATAGTCTATAAAAGGCATCGAGGTGGGAAATCATCACTCGTTTATAGGGAACATTCAATAATATTTGGATGATGCATAAGGGGGTTGAAAGTGGAGGAGCTGGAGAAATGAAATTATACCCAGGGATTAGCTTGGATCACAGGAGGCCTTTGAGTAGCAGCTAAGACTTTTAGAGTGTGTTTGGTCTGTGGCAGGGAGAATCTGAGGGTTTTAAACAGGGACTTTGCAAGGTCAGAAGTGTGCTTTGGGAAGATGGTTTTGGCAGTGGTGGGTTTTATAGCCAGTCTTGTTCTCATTGCCTTGGAGCAGAGAAGGAAGGGCAAGTGCTGGCAGATTAGATACCTGCCAGAATATCCCAACTAGATCTTTCAGGTTGCTTTCCTGAATGCCAGTCGGTCCCTCGTTTGACTGGCTGTGAAGGAACACACAAGTCTGGGGTACTCTTGTGAAAAATCATTTTGAGGGCAAACATCCCCCAGCCTACCCCCACCTGGAGCTTCCCAAGCATCAATTCCAAAGCAAAACAGGCTTCTTTATCTCAGTCAAAGGTTTTGAATAGGAACTGACCAAATGAATGATCCACTGGTCAAAATAACTTTGGACAGTTTCTTGCTGACTGCTGAGCACACAGCAAAGCTACCTGATCTTGCATTTCATGATATGGTATCTAGTTCTCAGAGGTTGTAAATGGTCAAATCTCAATTACAGGGCTCTTCAGGGCAACACTGCAGAGAGGAATGCCTCTCCCCAGGGTAAAGTTCTCGTCAAACTCCTTAGGCAATTGGTCCCAGCAGCCACTGCGACAACAACTAAAAATAGCCATAGTATAAAACCCCAGCTTCCAGGAAAGCTGAGAGGAAATAGTTTGCTAAGAAGCACAGACTGTGATAAAGCATTGCCTGGTGTTTTCCAACACATCATGGGACGTGATGAGTTCCCAGAAATCATTAATACCGACCTCAACGATTAAAGTACATTTACTGGGTGGGAGGGAAGGCCACTTTCTAAATTATAAGCAACTTCAGAGATCATCTAGCAGCACTGTTCAGTATAGGCCTGAGCAATATGAGGTTGTGCACATCACTCTTCCACCTACATACTTTCATCCTTTTATTCATTTAGCAAGTGTTAACTGGGCACGGCTCAATTCCTCACTCCGTTCTGCTCAAACATCCTCCTCACCATCTAATATAGCACCTCTGAATTTCTGTTTCCTTATTCTCCTGTTTTCTTTATATCACTGGCATTGTGCTTTATTTATTGGTTGTCCATCTGCCCTACCAGCCTGTCACCCAGCTCCAGGGGCAGGACTTTGCCTGTTTGCGGTCTGTCACGGAATGATTATACTGAATGCATATGTGTATCAGGCCCTGCCCTCCAGTGTCTCTCCTCTCTCTCTCTCTGCAACTCCTATTAGTTGGAGGTTGACCCTTCTGTATTTGGCCTCTGTCTCTAGTCATTTCTCTCATATTTTTATTTGCTTTTTTGCTCAATGATTTCAGAGGCTTTCCTTATTTCTAGCTCTTCTATTAAATTTTTCATTTTTAGCAGTTATGTTCTTAATTTTTAATAACTCTGATCTTATTCTCTGATTGTTCCTTTTCCAAAGTGTCCTGTACTACATCATAAGGGCCGAGTGGCAGGGGAGGCCAAGTCAATCATCATTCCTTTGGGGTGATCAGGGAATGGATCTCCAGATGCCAGAAAGAGAAAGTCTTTACCCTGGCACCTCCACACCGAGACTGGAAGCACAAGCTCTCCCCACACCCTCAAATGGCTGCCTGTGGAGGGAACTTTCCATGTAGAGGCCACAGGTAAAAGGCTCCCAGTGCACTGCACAGAGCTGGGATGTGGGAGTTGGCTGCTGTCTGGCAAAGTTGTTCTAGGATAGAATTTCACTGACTCCCTCCAATGGAGTCCCATATCATACCTCCCACCCACTGTGGGATGGGCCAACTCCAAGCTGACAGCTTCTCTAGGGTCCTGGAAAAGAACAGGGCCCCCACCTCCTCTGTACCTACCTTAGGGTTTATTCTGAGCTATAATATTTTCTGTACTCTATTATCTCTCAACATTTTCCTACCTATCTTCTCTCTTCCAGAAGTTTGTCAACAACCCTTGTCATTGGTGACACTGTCTTATTTTCTTAACTGTTGTAAGATTGTTCCTTTTCCTACTTCTCTACTCTTATTTCAGCAGGATCTCAGGATAATCTGCAGACAGTAATATTTCAATCATTGTGCATGAGCAAAGGGTTCTAAATACAGCTTGGGAGCTGGTGAATGTGAAGTGTGTAAACAGGACCCTTTACTGCAAGGCTTTTCAGCACTTCAATTTGCAAACAAGAATAGGTCCTGCAAATCTCAAAGAGGGGGTGTGGTATGAAGCATTTCTCAATTATTTGACCACAAGAATTTCTTCTTTTTTTTTTTTTCAGGGAAATCTCATCATTTTTGTGTTCCAAGAAATATACTATGGAAAATACTAGACTAATTTATCAGTGTCATGCTAGCCCTGGGAGTGCAAAACAGTAGACATTAACAATGTTTGCTGAATGCAGGTGCAAAAGGAGGCTGAGTCAATGGGTCCTAAATACCACTCACACCCAAGTAACAGATTTACTTTGTGGAGATGATGGTTTATCTCAGATAGTCAGTGCAGTGGAAAGAACACCCAGGCTGAATTCAGACTAACATAATAGCTGGGTGCCATTAGGCAAATTGAATTATTTGAGCCCCAATTTCCATATCTGTGATATGGGAATAATATCTGCTTTTTTTATTTTATGAGGTAGTTTTGAGCATCAAAAGATAAAATATATGAGATGGTATTTTATAAAATGTAAAGCACTAAACAAATACAAGGAATTATTATTATTGTGAAACTCAGTTGCCATGTCACAGCAGTTAGAACGTGAAAGGGAAAAGACATTTGAGCATTCTCTAACCATATCATGTGGCTGGTTGCCCAGTCATCCTAAACTTAGAGATTGCCCCAACTGCAGAATCACAGGGAAAAACACAGAAAAAAAAGGAGAGAAACCCTAACCGTCTTATGGATTGCACGTAGAGCTAAATCAAGACTTTATCCTCACTTTACAAGTGAAGACTTGAGCTAGAGAAACAAGAGACTCAGCAATCTTTATCTGGAAAGGACCTTAGATGTCATTTGAACCAACTTACTTGTTTTAGATGCATAGAAACTGGCCCAGAGAGGTTAAGTAATTTGCCCCCCATCACACTGAGATAATTGTGCTAGCAAGCAGGTCTCCAAGTTCCTGGCCAACATAACTCAACTCAACAAATGTTTATGGAGAGTGGAGTACCATTGCCCCAAGGGCCAGGGCATACACAAGTGGGAGCCTCAATTTCTATCCTGAAGGAGCTTACAAGTGCAAGAGAGGAAAGAGTGACAGTAAACACTAGAGAAGGGCTGATAATTTAAGACTGGGTTGTTCAGTTATGTTCTAAGAGTTCAGAGATGGGGGCCACTGTTGATGACTAAGGCAGACAGAAAAATCTTTTTGTAGTTGGTATTCTCCATTTTCAGAACTTTTGACTCACACACAGTGGCTCATGCCCATAGTCCCAGCTACTCTGGAGGCTGAGGCAGGAGGATTTCTTGAGGCTAGAAGTTTGAGAAATTCTGTCCTTTCACCTCAAAGATTCCATGGGGAGGAATGCACACACACACACACACACACACATACACACACACTTTATACCTTAAATACAACCTGCCATAAATCTCAAGGGTAGTTTCTTGACCTTAAAATCGCCAAGAAAAAAAGAGGACCAGTAGAGTCCATTATACCTGAAAAGTATTTGCTACCACCTAAGCCATCTCAAAAGTGTCTCAGAGCCCATGATTCTTTTGTGGCAAAGAAGACAAAGCACCCATTTCCCTGGCAACAACTTTTATTTAGTATTCAAATAACATCCCTGTGTTTGGAAGGCCAGTGCATCTTTTAGTGTTTTAATTTCTAAAGTTTATAGAGCAGCAAATTGGTTTGGCATCTGTTAGTAACTCTGCCCTAAGATGGGATGATTCAAACTTGGCAACTAGCAAGCACTGTCTCCCATTAGTAGCAGTAATAATGAAATGATGTGGTTGAACATCTCAGGATGCCAAGTTTACTTTGTGCTTGGACAAATGGTATATTGTGTTGGTTTTCATTTCTTAAAAGGTCCTTATAAAAGCCTCCCCTTTTTATTTATGTTAGAAAACTCAATTTAACCAAATAAGCAGAACCAGAGTGCAGGGCATCAACAGCGTCAGAGACTGGGTGTACTACGTGCAGGAATCTGTCCACAGCTGCAGGTACAGTTACTTTCAACTGAACAGATTAACTTTGGTTGCTCTGCATAGGGATGTGGTCCAGGCACTTACAGGGACACAGAGAAACATGGAGAAGGATCAATGGACAAGTGAATAAACAGCCCAGTGACATCCATTGGGCTTTAAAATGGTTTGCTGCTGAGGAGATATATTGGCAATTGGTGTGATGGGACCTCCTAAGGCCAGAGCTTATTTCTGAACATATATCCCACAGAGCACACATTCCTTGAGATACTCCACACAAAAAAATGGCTAAAGAAACTTGAGAAACAGTCCCTAATTCTCCTCTTGCAGATTCACAGTACACATTAGCTTATAAAAGGAGCAGAGACATCAGTCAAAAAACCTTGAATCTTGTTTAACTCAGCATTTCCCATTTTGGAAACAATTAACTATAACTTACCAAACATTGGAATTGCTATGTCTCGAGCTTTCTGCCTGAGGCTATTTACATAGCCTGTCAAAAGCTGATGGCAAAGAAGTGAAAATTGTAGTCTATATGACATATCTGTTTTTGTCCCTGAGTTAATTTACCCAACCCAATGTTTTGTTTCTTGTTTATGTTAGTTCTGCCTATTCCCACAGCCAGGTTGACTGCTCTTGCCTGGATCTGAAGGTTATATTGAAATGGGGACTCATACCTGGGTCTGTTGGTCTCCAAAGCCTGTATTTTTAACTATGTGATACTCTGCTTAATACTGAGGGCGTTTAAATTCCCCTCAATGGTTGGGTACTTTCATTGTCTCCTATATCAGTCAACTATTCCTATCTGCTAGAAATGAAAAAAGAAAAGAGAGGAAGGGGAGAAGGGAGACAGGGAGAGGGATTAATTTCTTGTAGAAGCATGGGTAAAACTTAATCACAGGGACATTTTTGAGCATTTGTAACTTTATCACAAGTTCTTGCTGTTTTCACAAGTTCCTGGGAGATGTTATGCTTGGAGGTAGGTTAAAAATATTATTTAAAGGATGAAACCTATTCATCTTCCCTGGATAGGGAAAGAATCCCAAAGATGATTATGAAAGAGATAGTCTAGGATTACTCCCTACAAGTTTTCCTGTGGAGCAGCCCCTAAACTGCTCTTCTCAACCTTCATTTGCAAAGCAAAACAGCATTAGTGTAATCAGTCCCCTATCTTTCCCAAATCTGCCTTACCCTAGTAGTTGCAGGGGATATTCAAACAGGAGGCCTGGAGAAAGTGCTTTTGAACAGCAAGCTCCTTTGTTTTCCTCCCTTGCCTCTGACCACTCTGGCTTTTAAATTCTCAAATTTGAATTCTCAAATTAGATTTTGTCTGACCTTTAGCATTGCTTGGCAACTATGAAGAGTCCATTTTCCCTACTGTGGCCACGGTCTGAACCACGCATTCTGATGCTAAGCCACTGCATGTGCCTGACTGACATGACACTGCAGGCTCTTGGCCCCCATTCTTCCCCCGGGAGACAAGTGGCACCTGATGGCATTGCCAACTTCTCACTGGTTAAACTATATTGAATTGTGTCCATTGCCAGCCTCAACTCCCTCCCAGGCAAGGAGGAAGGCCAGGGCTCTGATCAGGGCTGAGGTTTCAGGAGCTGGACTAGTAATGGAGCTGGGGTTGATGAGGAGGTGGGAGGTGGGGTGACTGCTGGGTGGAGCAAAGCAAGCAGCAGCCAAGGTGAGTTTTGAGAAAAGGAGGCCATTTACCACTGGCAAAGAGACTGGAAAGAAAGATGCCTGCTGTGTATGAGGCCAAAGAGCAAGCAGAGAGAGTATTTGAAACAGGGAGGATGGAAAAGAGTCAAGCCTGAAAATCTTCCCATGCTAAGACTGGGTTAGGAGCAGAGGCAGCCCTAGAATTTGTGAACCTGAAGTTCATGCTTTTAAGGAGCCCTCCTTCAGAAACAAAAATGAAATTCCAACTACAAAATATAATATGGGGCTGGGAGCAGTGGCTCATGCCTGTAATCCCAGCAGTTTGGGAGGCCCAGGTGGGTGGATCACTTGAGGTCAGGAATTCGAGACCAACTTGGCCAATATGGCAAAACCCTGTCTCTAGTAAAAATACAAAAATTAACCAGGCGTGGTGGCATGCACCTGTAATCTCAGCTACTCAGGAGGCTGAGGCATGAGAATCGCTTGAACCAGGGATGTAGAGGTTGCAGTGAGCCAAAATTGCGCCACTGCACTCCAGCCTAGGGGACAGAGTGAGACTTTGTCTAAAAAAAAAAAAAAAAGTAGATATGGAAGTGAATATTTATTTAGAATATGAAAAGGAATTAAAACAAATTTGCAGACTTTTAGAAAACTATTATATACCACAGATATCAAAAAATCCCAAAAGGTAAATTAATATTTTATTATGTGGATAACATATACCTGTAATACTGTTTTTTCTGTTTTTTTTGAAACATACACTTTGAATGCCTCTTCATTTGCCAATGATTTTGTAATATCCTGATTTGTGGGAGAGAAGACAGGTAACACAATTCCTCCACTAGGATGATCAATCAACATTGACTTTTAGTATTAATAGTTGGGACGTAAAACTGCAACTGTTTATAGAAGTACTACAGGTTTGTATGCAAATACATAAAAGTCTACTTTGGGTACTTCCCACTGAAAAATATATGGTGCATTTGTTATTGTATATGTTGCATTATTGTGTATATTCCTGACAAGAGAGAATTTCTGTTTTGACTAGGCATTGGTGAAAACTAGATCCTCTGTTTACAATTTTACATATCTGATAACTGGGAGAACTTCCCACAGACTAGCTTCTAGCTCTATATCTTTCAAATTTCAATCTTCATATCCTGCATATTTCTGGTGCTGATGCCATAGGATACATTTATATTGTGACATGACCATCTTTGGGTCATGACCTGAGTGAAGTCAGCACAATGGGCATCAAGAGTATTACTGAAGGCCAGCTCTTCACCATGATGGTTAACAATAATGTAACTATTACCGGAAATAACTTAGGACCACACAAATATATCTCACTAAACCCAAACTAAATATATGCCTAATTTAACTTCCCACTTAGTGAAGTACCCAAGATGCCCATGGCAACTCTAATACCATCTGAGGCTAGTGGAAGTATAACAGAGGGAAAGCTGTAATGAAAAGAGGCATTGGTCTTAACCAGTTGCAGCTCAAATATCTTATGCTTGCAAATTTTGCAAAAATAAATCATGTGAACACTACGGTAGGTCCCTTTCTGGGCATGGGAAGGGAGCAGTGAAAGTGAGAGGTCTTGGACTTTGAGTTTTATGATTATGACAATAAATCATCCTTGCGTTAGGTCAGAGTATTCCAAGCTTCTTCCTATACTAACCAGATAAATGGACACAGATTGTTTCCACCATCGTGATTATTAAATTGTCAAATCAATGATGGTTGAGCCATCTTGGGCACCACACTTCCTCCAGGCATGCAGTGAGGACTGGTCATCTCCGCTGGCCCCTGTGCATGTCTGTTAGGAACAAACACCTCCTGTGTAGTTAGACTTCGCTGACACAGGCTTCTATTTAAGGAGATGACTGTTATTAATAGAAAGAGTGCTAAAACTACTCTAAACAGAAATGGACATGGTTTCAAGTGGACTTTATCAAAATCATCATGGTATACACCCATCTGAAAGTAAAAAGCAAGTTTCACATGAATGATGGGGTCTCTTAAGTGACCACACTGAATTGACCATACAGGCTTTTCTAAGTAAAATGTCTAATCTCAGAAAAGGCAGTACCAGGTGGTCTGATGTTAAAGAGACTTTTGACCATTTCCCACTCTCTTTGCACTGTTAGTCAACAGTCACTGGTTGGTTTTGGGAAATGGTACTGACACTTCATTTCGTTTCTTTTGTTTCCATTGAGGTGGAATTGATGAGCTTGTTTTGCTGTTGATTTTACTGTAACTAGGAAGGTCCTTAAGTGAGGCAGATAAGATGGCAGCAGAAGCTATCAGAGGAGGAGAAAGGAACCTTAGAGATTGTCTTCATTACATAGTGGAGGGAACTAAAACCCCAAGAGGAAAAGTTACACATCAGTTAGAAGAAGCATTACTCAGGGGTAAGCAAGGCAAGTTTCATCTCTGGAATCTAGTCCACTTTGTTTCTGTACTTTCAATCCAAACTAATGTTTCACCAAAGTCCTACTGGAGAAGATGGTTTGGGTAACTATGGAGTAATTCTGGCACCCTCTCCTCAGCCCCAGCTCCCCAATCCCATGCCCCAAAGTGATTGCACCTGCCTTTACACAGGTAAGGCGATTGTCAAAACTTGTATTTGAAAAATAATAATACCAAATGCTTATGTTCATGTGCGTTCCTTAGCCAGTGCTTCCAATGACTGGAACATGTTCAAAATTGCATGAATACTATTTCATAGAAGAGAATAAGATGTGGAAGATAGCTGTATTTTGGTAAATACCAATTAGTAATATGGCATAATTGGAACTTTATAAGATATAAAAAATAAAAAATATTTATAATTTGTAATAATTTACTAAATTTAAAAAGTAGGTATAGTTGTTTAAAGATAAAATTATTTTGACTTTGAATAATGATTAAATAAGTTCCTCTCTGGCTTACTGCTTTCTTATTCACGTGTCTTGTTTGATCAAACAGGGAGCCATAGATACACAGACACTAAGTAAACTTCCATGAACAACCCCAAAAGACAGGTAGACCATCTTGTTACCTAGAAGGCCAATGGTTTCTTGGCAACCAGCATCATGGAGAATGGGCCAGTGACTCTCTGCCCTCACTCTGTGGTGTTTCATGAAGTCATATATACTCTGAGTCAATCCAGGGTGAGTCATATTCCCCTGGGCAGGCAGTTCCCACATTGCAAAAGGAAGGAAGGAAAGGAAGCAAGAAAAATAATAATAACTCGGTGGTTATTGTGTTAAATAAAGTACATTTCAATATGTTGTACCAGGTGGTAAAATTATAGAAGCCAATCTTTTCTGAAAATGCAAGATGCGGTATGTTGGATCAAGTGATTTAAAAAAAATGTAATTGTTTTCAAACTTGTTTATCTTCTGACCTCTTGGAACTGCCTATTAAAAAGAGGAAGCTAATTCCTCTGGCAAACTTTGTGGAAACTTGACACAGAGTCTTAGGGTGGTATTAAAAATGCAACAGGGCATTTTACTCTCAGAGGAGAGCGGGTGTGGTGGGGGACTACGGCCCACTCACTGCTCCAGGTCAGCAAGCTAAGAATGATTTATTTATGGCAAGCATGCTAGATGCCAGCCGCTTCTGGAGGAGCTGAGTGCTCAAGAATGAAGGCCTCAAACACAGGAGATGAATCTCCCATAACCTCTGATGATTTATGAGAGAGTTATTAATTTGATTCTCATTGTCAGGTGATGGATCAAGATACATTTTGAATTTGAGCTATTGTTCTTTCACTTTCTTTGTCTTCAGTAGGATATAGTTTAGATTGTAACTTTCATTAATTGTGTTATAATCCTACAAGTAGCTGAATATGCATTCTTTTTCATCTTCAGTCACTCTATGGCCCCCAAATCATATAAGAAAAATAGATGACTGTTTAGTTAGAGAAGTAAGTTCCCAGAAGCATTTTCATCCAGGCTCACCCCAAGAAACCTACATTCCTGCCACTGTCAAGCGGGTCTGCTCTCCAGATGTGAAGCAAAAGATCACCAAATCTCCATTTCCATTTTACCTTTGCCCTGAAGGTTTGTAACAATACTGAAAGCAAATAACTCAAATCCACAGTGCAAAATTTCCAAATTTATGTAAATTTCTGGACAGGCCTGGTCTTAAACCAAGTGATGATACAGGTAAAATCTCTTTCCAAAGCCACCATTTCCCTCCACTACTTCTTGTTTTCCCCTTCCTTGTTCTCCCCTCTTTATGTACCCTCTTTGGGTACTACTCTCGGAAAAGAGCCTGTCAAGTGCAGTCATTCCAGGGAATAAATATGATCTGAGGTGGTTATTTTTATCAAGGTATTTTCCTTTTTTATTAGTCAAAAAGCCTCAACTGGAGCAAGGAACCCTTTGTAAAACTTCAAGCCACAACAGATGGCATCTTCCAAGGAAAGAACCTTTGAAGCATTCACAGGTGACTACCACAGAGACCCTCATGGGTGACTACTGTGCTAATGGCTGCTTTTGAATTTGGGCAGCTCCGCAGGTAGATACCAGGCACTATTTTGCTCCCAGCATTGTAGTTGTTTCTTTTCTCCCACAAGCATATGGAAGCAGGCAATGCATCTTATCCAACTTCGCCTACCCCACAACACACAGCAGAGGACATTGCACACAGCAGGCTGACTGGCATCCGATGAATCTGTGAACTGAAGAGTGGGCTGTCCCTCCTTTTAAGAATGCAATGATAAACTCTGCTGCCCTCTGCAAGTTAGATACAGAGAGCTCCTTGCCATACCTCAGTGTAGAGCACCACCTCCCTCCTCATTTTTCACATTGGTGAATGGAGACATAGCACAGTGCATGAGCTGCCCTCAGGAAGTAAATGAAGCACAAGTGAAGGGACATTCCTTTCTTCCCATCTCCACAGTTCAGATTTTGTGTGTGTGTGTTGCCTGAACTGTACTCTGAAGTGGCTCCTAAACTTAGCTTCTTCTAACTGCTACAATTACCCTCTGACTTTGAAACAACTTTCTCCACCTCAATATAAAAAGTGAACCTAGTACATTAGGAGTTTGCCTTATGTGATTTGGCAGCACAAAAGTTCCAAAATAAGTTGACCTGTTATACTTCCACCACCTCCAGCCTTTCTCTATCTCACCACCAGCCCTATCATTTTTCCTGTACTTTGCAGGTATTTGAGAACATGGTGCATAAGCAAATGAAGACATTAACCTGGTTTCACAATCTAGTTCCCTTCTGTGTAATTATAGGCCAGCTTCTTAAAACTTCTAATCCTCACTTTTCTCATCTATAAAATAAGAAAATACAATACATGCTTTATAAGGCTATAGCAAAGAGTAGATGAACCAATGTATACAAAGTACCTAGCACAGTACATGGTACACAGAGGGTGCTCAATAACTGTACATCATTATCAGCACCGTTAATAGTCTCATCATCACTGTTGCATCTAGTAACTGCAACCAACTCTGTTGGTGCTAATGACGCAAAGTCATTAGGAGTGATTTATGGGTGGGCTATGTAGAATCAGAAGGTAAAAATCCCTGCAAATTACACACTTCTGAAATATATCTCTGTTTTTCAGTCAGCAACCTTGCTCCTTGGAAACAAAATCACATAAGCAAGAGAGAACGTGCACCCAGAAGCATGTGCCTTGGCCCTCCCACTTGGTGGACATTGTGTTTTACCTGTTGAGGGAGGCATGTAGTAGAGCACAGAAGGTCTGAGTGTCTGAGGTCTGGATTCTAGCTTTGTCTCTATTGCCAATGGTTAGCAGGGTGACCTTGACTAAGTGCCCCATCTCTCTGAGGTTCTGCATCCTCACCTGGCAAACAGGAACCGAGACTCAATACTCCATGTCATCTTGGGCTCGGGTACATGTAGTCCATGTTTTGTTTAAACACATAGTCTGTGTTTTGTTGCTGATGTATCTACTTCCCTCCTTTTTTGTTCTTTTCATTGTCTCATTGAGAGGGCAAGGCAAGGATGAAAACAAACAGGAAAACAGCACCCTCTAGGGTTTTTCAGAGGCATGACTGTACTGATGATGTGTGACGTGCTGGAGTATGAAGGACATCTGGCTAAACACCCCGAGTGGCCTCAGTGCCTCCCAAGGCCTGCCTGCCCCACCTCCTAGGTGGGCCATTCAGTCTTGTTTCTATCTTGAAGGGAATTTAAATAAATTTATTTTGAAAAAAGAAAAAACTACCCAAAACAAAAACAAAAAAAACCTACAGAACTTGGGGAAATTATTGAAAAAAAAATTAATTTCAACTTCATAAGCCATTTTCTATTTCAAAGATAAGTTTGTTATTGAATGCAGAAATACAACCTTTTTAATGCTTTCATTGAAATAGTTAAGAAACTGTTCAGAATATTTAAGCAAGGCAAACGAGCATTTTATTAATTCAATATTTTAATTTTTAAAAAGAGTGATTTTGAAAGCCCATTTTAGTTTGGTTTTGGATTTATTATTCTCCTTCCTGACATGAGACAAAAATCAATAAAAGAGAACATTATTCTCTCCTAGAAAACAGAGTCACAGCAAGTCAAAAATCACCTGGTCTAATATTCCCATTATATAGATAATGAAACTGGTAGTCCAGTGCCTTTGTTTCTAATTGAGAGCTTCTAGTGCTTTTTGGTGGAGTAGACATAATAGTGATGGCAGTGACAAGACTCAATACAAAAAATTATAAACATTAACTTTATTATTAACAAATAATAATAAACATTAACTCTGTGTCAGGCACTCTGCCATATCTTACCTGGAGCCCCTCATTTAATCTTTGCAACCACCCAACAAGTTAGTTGCTATTGTTACTCCCATTTTATAGTTGATGAAATGTAAGCATAGAGAAGTTAGGTAACTGTTCTAAAATTCAAAACTTATCAATACTCGGGGCTTTAGGTATACAACCACAAACCTAACTCACATTCAAATGAGCAGACATGTAATTAAATTGATACCACTGGGCTTTTTATGACCTCTAATTTTTTGGTTTTGAAACAACAACCAAAAAAATCCCTGTTTTCTTTTGAAACTTCTTCCTAAGCATTGTGAGGATAAAGTGAGGAACGAAGAACTGGGATGAGCAATAAAAGGTAGGCTGTAAACAGACTCTAAGGAAAGGAGTGGGGAGGTGGCCTGTCTCAATATTAGTTAGTTAGGAGCCAGTTATTTGGACTGAGGTATAGTTTGCAATTCAACCACGACCCTGCATGAGTTAATGGGACCATTAATTATTTACAAAAGCATAATGATAGTAATGGTGTTGGTTTTTCTTGCATGCAATGCAAGGTATAGCAGTTAAACTTATTTTGGAAATATAAAGAAAAAGCTTAATTAATATGAAACCTTTATTAAACTCTATGCACCTGCAATTATATTTTCTTCTGTTATTTGGTAAAAGCACACAAATGCACACTCTCTGAACACATAGCTTTGTGTATTCTAACATAGTTTTTCATATGCATATTTCCTCATATTTCACTTTCAATAGCTACATAATATTATTCCACCATCTTGATGTATCACAATTTTCTTAGTCATTTCCCTATTGCTGAGGCTTTTGTATTGTTCCCAGTTATAAATAACACTGCTATACTATTTACAGACCATTTTTAATTTGGGGGATTTTTTTATGTATGTTCCCAAGAGCTTAACTTCTGTGTCAAAGTGTACAACATATCATATCTTTTGGTAGATTGCTTTCTAGAAAGACTAACAAATTGCAAGACCAATAACATTGCATTTGTAGTATTCCATTTTTCTGATTTATCCACTACAACTGCCACAACTGCTACAACTGCTATTTATAATTTTAGCTTTTTTTAAAAAAACCACAATACTATCACCATTGCCCCCTGCACCACAGCCACTACTATCACCATCTCCTTCATCAACACAAGAAACACCAACACCATTACTATTATCAGCTACCGTCGACATCAACATCACTACCAACAACATCGTCATCCACCACCACCATCATCAACTTCACGAACACCACCACCACCCCACCATCAGCATCATTATCACCTTTATCAATGCAACCTCTACCACATCACCATCATCATTCACCACCATCATCATCATCAAGCCCACTACCAACAATGCCAGCGCCATTACTTTCACCACCACCACTATTACTGTGTTCCGCTACCATTACCACCACCTGTACTACTATCTGTACCACCACCAAGCCTCATCCACCATCATTCCCATCACCTCCACCAATGCCATCACCATGATCAGCTATTATCACCATTATTAACACTATGAGCAACAAATCAAATACTACCAATCGCGTTGTCTTCAACAACACCACCAACAAACAACAGTGTCATCACATGCTACCGTCACCATCATTTTCACCACCACCATTACCAGCACTAGTACCATCATCATTATCTTCCACCACCACTATTGCTGCCTACCATTAACGGAAACATTCAATATGTGCCAGATACTGTACTGAATGGTTTATTTACATTAATCATTTTATCCTCACACTAATCCTTTAAGTATAATAGCTGTATGCTACTGATTAGAAAATGGATGCTGAGAGGTTGGGACCCTGAATCAAAGACACAGCTAAAAAGTGGCAAGGCAGGATCCATATCTACATCTATCTGATTCCAAAGCTCATTGTCTGAATTGCCAGGGTTTACAGTTACTTAACTGATATGCTGTGGTGTTTTAAAGGTTTTTTGTTTACATCTCTTTAGTTGCTATTGAGACTGAACATTTTTCCATGTGCTGATTTATTGTCTGCATTTCCTTATGTGTATGCCCTCCATTTATTTCCTATGATCTCATTTTGAAGAAAAGCTGAATACTGACCTTAATTAGATGAATTCTCTGTTCATTTCTTAAGAGTAGAGCTTCCTTTTTAACATTTATAACTTACAATTTTTTAACTTCCTTACAATCCCTTTTGTTTTTTATTCCAACATATCTGTTTTATTTATAATTATATCTCAGCAAATCAGAAATGTTTTTTCTTCTTTAATTGAAAATAATATGCTTATTTTATTCGTTTTCTTTTTATGTTTATTTTATGCTTATGTTTATTTTGCTTTGACCAAAATTTATTATAATATATAATATGAGGAATGAATCTAATGCCGTCTCTGCACCATGACCTGATTGTCCTCTGTATTAAATACTGATCACTTCTTGCCTATGTATATCTGGTTTTTTTAATGTAATAAGTTCTTATTATGGTCTAAATTTACTTTGGAAATATCTATTGTCTCCACCCATCTTTTTCCTGCTTTTAACTGAATGTCATGATGTTTTGGTAATTGTCACATATTTTAAAATCCAGAAGGTAAATACCAATCCCTTTAGAAAAAATAAATTTAGTATATTTTCCCTCATGTTATTCTGGAAGAATCTTAAAATCAGTGTTTCAGATTTTATAGAATATACTATGGAGATTTTAATTATTATTGTAAGAACAGAGAGTTTTGTTATCTTCAGAATATTTGGCTTTCTATGCATGAATGAGTTATAATTCTTCATTTATAAATAGTATTCTTTTATTCCTATAAGATTGTATCCTTTTAAAATAAGTTTCTTATTGAGAGCTAAATTCTTATGTATGCATTTAATGATATTCTTATCTCCATAGTACATAGATGTTACATCATCATAAGTTATTCATCACCTTAATACCAGGATACAAGTAATTTTAGTGAATTTATCTTTTCCCAACTCATCTGCTTTTGCTCTAACTACAACATCTAGGAAGATAAATAGTTCAGATGCTGTAGCAATTTTCTCTGTTACTTGAAAACAATATCTAAATTAGTATAAACTAGGAAATCTTCTGAAAGCCATAATGTTTCAGAAAGGCATGTCCCCAGATGAACCAATCTGGGAAAGAGAGTGCTAGAGAGAATCTCCAGACACGTGGGTTTTCATTAATGTAGATTAAGTCTGGCTGAGCCCACTAGAACTGACTGAATTTTTCTAAAACTGTTGACATGAAGTAGGGTTTTTATGCCAGTAAACTTCCCTTTCTTAAGTTCTCTCCTTTTCTTTTTCACTCTCATTTCCATTGTTCATGGCTCTTACATGTTGACTTTAGCAGAGTAACAGTGAAGAATGGTGTAAGCTGGAAAATCATCCAAGAGAAGGGCCTCTGGGAAGTCAACCTAATGCAGGCCTGGGTTGTCCCCTTTCTCCCAAGGACAGAGCACAACTAAGGGGATCATGGGGCATGAGGACCCACCTGGGTGGGAAGCACCTCTCTGAAAGGCAGGGCCATTCAGTCTAAAGCCTAGATTTTGTAGTTAGAGTTCAAAATCCATTCATTTATACAACAAATATTATTCAGCCATGCAGTCTGCTAACTGACTGGACAAAACATCTATCTGTGCTTCATTTTTTTTTCATTTATGAAAGTGAAAGGAAAAAATGAAGGCATAGGATCAAGTGAGCTCCTGGGTCCCTTCTACTTGAGAATTAGTATATCTAATACTGAAGAATAGCTACCAGAGGGACTGGGCCAATGAGCTCTACCAGATAATAAGCCAGTATTAGTGAGTCCTATGAATACAAAAAGTCCCACTGAGGCCAATCCCAGGCTCTATCTGAAGGCCTAGGTCTCATCCTCTTTCCCTGAGGCTTATTGTCACTTGCCTAATCTTCTCAATGTAATTGTATTATCTTCCACCCACACAGCAAAATGTCTTTTGGTGAATCCCTACCTGTAACCAAATACCAATCCTTCCTGTGATTCTGTAGTTATTCAGCCCCCTTGTACCTTCAGTTAGCCCGCAATTACCACTTCCCTGGTGCACACCCAAGATAGGTAAGGAATGAATGAATATTCATCCTTGGGCAAATCATCTAACTTCTCCAATTCATGGTTTCCTTATCAATGAATAGTGCTACTGATACTTAATTGGAATTATTGTCCTCAGCATTAAATGACACCTGATTCAAAATAGGGTGCCCAACACATAAAAATTTTACCCATATTATCTTACTTCATACCCAAATAATTCTGTAAGATAATTAGGACAGGTGATATTGCCATCATCTTGGGGCAAAAGGAAATCAGGAAGTTTAAGTGACATGTATCAAGTTTCAAGGTAACTTGGTTCAGCAAACCAAGGAAGCTCTCTGACATTGGTGCCATTCTTTAGGTGATCCATTCACTTATTTATTTATTCATTCCTTTGTTCTTCCATTAATTTATTACTGAGCATAGTCTTTTGGCCCCCTCTCTCAGCCCTTTCCACCCAACAATACAACTGAAGCAATCTGCTCCTTCAAGCTGACTGAGCATGCCATTCAGTGGATAAATTGTGACCAAAAGATTGTAATTTTGATTTTGGAACCAAATCAAGGTTTGGACACAGATATACAAAAGAGCTCTTTAGCATGTTGTAAGTAAAGGGGGAAAAATGAATAATCATTCACCGGCCAGAATGACAGTGATGTCCTTCTTATGATGAAGGTCCTTGGATATGCATGAAGGAAGCAAAAGAAATGACACATGGCATCTGTATGAAAAATATGAAGACCTTTGGTTGAATATGGGTTGTTAAACTAAGGATGAAAAAAAAATGGGGGAAGGTATTTTTTTCTTGCTTGTTCTTCTGGAAGAATCTCAAAATTGGTGTTTCAACTTTTATAGACTATACTAAGGAGACTTTAATTATCTTATTTTAAATTTTTAAGTAAGGAGATAGAGAATTTGGAGTGCAGTGATTCTTAAGAACAAGACTTCCCTTATTATTTTTGAAACAAGCTATCACAATTCTTATACTACAAAACATATAAAGTATGGAAACTACAAACCCTTTGGAATCTACCAGCAAAACATTTGATACTATAAAATGCCACTGAATTCATTCAATAGGTATTCATTATTCCACAAATACTGAGCACATTTCCAGCACTATGTATACACTGTGAATAAATACAAATAACTGTAAGATGTGGTCCTATTCTCAAAGACTTTGCAGTCGGCCTGGCGCAGTGGCTCACGCCTGTAATCCCAGCACTTTGGGAGGCCGAGGCAGGCGGAACACGAGGTCAGGAGAAGGAGACCATTCTGGCTAACATGGTGAAACCCCGTCTCTACTGAAAATACAAAAAATTAGCTGGGCGTGGTGGCAGGCGCCTGTAGTCCCAGCTACTCGGGAGGCTGAGGCAGGAGAATGGTGTGAACCTGGGAGGCAGAGCTTGCAGTGAACCGAGACCGCGCCAACTGCACTCCAGCCTGGGCGGCAGAATGAGACTCCGTCTCAAAAAAAAAAAAAAAAAAAAAGACCTTGCAGTCTAGGTGGGGAGACAAGACAAGAATGAAAGGAAAACTAATAATAAAACACAATTTGGGATTAAACAAAAGGGGTAAAATAAATAAACTGCCAAATAATAAATAGTTGCCAAATGAAACAATAGGAGCGATCCTGAGTTTGAAAGATCGTTAAGAGAAGGCCTCCAAGCAAGGTGGGATTTGAGAATTTGAGCACAAGTAAGGTGCAGGGGAGGCCCTTTGGGTGGGGAGGAGTCATTAAAAACCAACTCTGGGCAGGGCATGCTTGCTCACGCCTGTAATCCCAGCACTTTGGGAGGCCGAGGCAGGCAGATCACAAGGTGAAGAGATTGAGACCATCCTGGCCAACATGGTGAAACCCCATCTCTACTAAAAATACAAAAAAATTAGCTGGGTGTGGTGGCACGCACCTGTAGTCCCAGCTACTTGGGAGGCTGAGGCAGGAGAATCAGTTGAACCTAGGAGGCAGAGGTTGCAGTGAGCTGAGATCGCACCACTGCACTCCAGCCTGGTGACAGAGGGAGAATCCATCTTAAAAAAAAAAAGAAAATAAAAGAAAAAAGAAAACCACCAGCTCTGGCTGCAACACAGCCCTGGGTCTGCTCAGTGTCCCAGTCAAACTATTGTCCTTTAGAGTAAGTTGAGCAATTGTACAAATCATTAATTACTCAGCCCAAATGACCAAAGTGAGAGCCCAGAGGAGATGCAGACTGTGTGCAGTTTTGATGTGAGTCTCTGTTAGATTTTCAGACACAATTCTGCAAGATTCAATATCCAGAGGCAAACAAACCAACACAACAGTAGAGATGGAGCCAGTGATAGGGAAGTTCAGGCAGAGTTATGTGTTTAAAAGGCATTGAGGCATCGGACAATAGCCAGGGAGTCATTAAACAATATATTTGTTTAAACAATACACCCTGAAACAAATGACTCACCTTGTTATTTAGTCAAAAAGCTATTTACTGAAAGAAAAATAGTTTCTGCTCTCTTAGTTTCTTTTTTCTTCCTCTAATATTACTCAGTGGCTTGAAAACTTCTGCTATCTTCTAAGAAAGACAATATAAAACAGTGGCTATACAGAGGCAGGAAGCCTGAGTTCCTGGCCTGGTTTTGCCATTGATACTTTGAAACTTGAGACATGTCACTTAAACTTCCCGATCTCCTTTTTCCCCAAGATGATGGCAATATCACCTATCCTAGTTATCTTACTGAATTATTTGGATATAAAGTAAGATAATATGGGTAAAACTTTTTAATGTGTCAGGCACCTATTTTGAATCAGGTGCCATTTAATGCTGAGGACAATAATTCCAATGAAGTATTAGTAGCTCTATTTACAGATAAGGAAACTATGAATTGGAGAAGTGACTTGCCCAAGGCCATACAGCTATTACGGTCCCACTTCTCCGAACCTTAGTAGTCACCCTTCTCTATAATGCCCAAATGACATAGTTTGAGTCCGTGCCCTACATGCCTGCTCTAGCCTCTGTCAGCTGGAGGCTCCTTTTGCTATAAGAAGTTTTGAGATATGAAGTTGAAAGAGCACAGTGCTTGAGCTGGGATGTTGCCAGTCTGTGTCAAGCTTACACGGAACTGTCCAATGAAGCTAAGGCAGAAAGAGATGGGCTGAGGGGATTTGACAGAGTGCCCAAAGCTTGAGCTACCACCACTTTTTCCTTTTTTAATTTTTTTTAAAGAGACAGGGTCTTGTTCTGTCACCTAAGCTGGAGTGCAATGGTGCAATCATAGCTCACTGCAGACTTGAACTCCTGGGCTCAAGCAATCCTGCCCCCTCAGCCTCCCAAAGTGCTGAGGTTACAGGCATAAGCCACAGCACCAGTTTACCTTTCATTCTTAAATACAGTATGTTAAACATCTCAGCCTGAAGCACCCATATTGAGATTATTTCCCAGCTCAGGGATACCCGAATGGTGGGTTTTGCCTTCCATCTCCAAGATTATAAAGGCTTTCTAATAAGCAGCTTGTCTCCACTTTGGTGCAAGTTAGAATTACCTGGGGAACTTTCAAGATAGTCCTGGTGTCCAGGCCACATGCCAGACCAATGAAATCAGAATATATGGTGATGGGAGATGGAAATAAATACTTCAGTAGCTCCCACATGCAGCCAAGTAAGAGAACCATTGATTCCATAAAACAAAGAAAGGGTCTCCCCACGGCAAATTTGAACTTCTGGTATTTTAAGATCCAGACACTGGTAACAGGAAGAAGCTACTCTGGCATCATTTCCAATAGTAGCTTTGTGTTTGTTTTGTTTATGTTATACTAACATGTGGCAAGTTCCTGGGTTTTACCCTAGGTCTTCTTATTCTAAGCCACCATTGTTGCCTTTAAAAAATAATAACCTCTTGTATTAACATAGCATTTTTTGGCCATCTACTCTGCTTACTCTTAAAACCAGTCTCTAGATGTCATTTAAGAGTCAAATGTTGATTTTTAAAAATTGATTCTTATTTAATAGAGATATATTGAAGGTTATCAGTCAAGTCAGCACAGGAGAGACAATGCAGGAAAGACTCTCCCAAATACAAAGATAAATCTAGAGATAAATTCCTCTATGAATAGAAACTTAGTTTAACAAAGTGATGTTAATTCCCCCACCCTTTGGTGTTTCTTCTCTCTGCTCTGTCCAGGGTCTCTGTGAAGCTCTCAGAATGAGGAAGGGCTGGCAGGTCTTCCCATGTGTGGGCCCATTAGGTGGCAAGGCTATGGAGACCTGCAGAATGGTATCCAGCCCCCAAACTCTCTTCTGTTCACTTTTGCTGCAGTGTCTTCAGTGGGCATGAGCCCACGGAGGTTATCAAAAGTATAGATTTGATGAATTCTGGATATATGACCAAATGAGCTATTACAAGAATAGTTTACAAGTCAGCTCTGACTGCCCAAATGCCTGACACAGGAAACCATTTTTACAAATACATATGTTTTCTTATAATACTTTAATAAAGAAAATAAGTCTGCATACATCTTAAAAAAAAAAAAACTATAGATTTGGCCGGGTGTGGTGGCTCATGCCTGTAATCCCAGCACTTTGGGAGGCCGAGGCGGGCGGATCATGAGGTCAGGAGTTCGAGACTATCCTGGCCAATATGGTGAAACCCTGTCGGTACTAAAAACACAAAAATTAGCTGGGCGTGGTGGCACATGCCTGTAGTCCCAGGTACTCAGGAGGCTGAGGCAGGAGAATTGCTTGAACCCGGGAGGCGGAGTTTGCAGTGAGCTAAGATCACGCCACTGCACTCCAGCCTGGGTGGCAGAGCAAGACTCCATCTCAAAAAAAAAAAAAAAAAAAAAAAAATGTAGATTTCCAGGCCCTACCCTTAGATTCAATATTTGTGAGAGGAGCTCAGAGAAATCCATTTTTAAGAAGCTCCCTAAGTGATTCTGCTACAGATTGTCCTTGGAAACTGCTTCCTCTGCTCCCCTCACATGGAAATCAGGCTTTTGTGTTATGTAATGTATTCTCTGAGAGTTGCTTTTAAGATGCAGGTGTGACCAGCCCGAGTAGCTCACTAAGTTCCTCTCGGCTTTGGCAGACTTAAGAATAAGGGCACGAAGAGGATTTCAATATGTGTTTATGGAATGAATGAAAAGAGGTTTCTGAATCCAGGGATGAGTCTGTAGATGAGGAAATTCACTTCCCAAAGATAAACGTGGTTGACTTCATATGGGGGGTTGGAGGCAGCACACATAGCCTGAGGGATTCTGTGTGGGTTGGGCAGAGTCCAGCATGCTGGCATGCCTTGGCCTTTCCCCAACACTTAATTAGAACTAACACCTAACTTCTTGTGAAAAAAGGAGAAAGTCAGATGATATAAAAATGCATAAAGTAAAAGCTGAAAAGTTCTCCCTCCCCAATCTTACTATCCTGAAATAACCACTTGATACGGTTTGGATTCGTGTCACCACCCAAATCTCATGAACTGCAATTCCCATTGTTGGAGGAGGAAGCTGATCAGAGGTGATTGGATCATGGGGGTGGACTTCCCCTTTTTTGTTCCCATGATAGTGAGTGAGTTCTCATCAGATCTGGTTGTTTAAAAGTGTGTAGCACCTCCCCTTTCTCTCTCTTCCTCCTGCTATAGCCATGTAAGCCATGCCTCCTTTCTCTTCCACCATGATTGTAAGTTTCCTGAGGCCTTCTCAGCCATGCTTCCTGTACAGCCTATGGAACTGAGTCAATTAAATCTCTTTTCTTTGTAAATTACTCAGTCTCATATAGTTCTTGATAGCAGTCCAAGAATGGACTAATACACCACTATTTACAATTTAGTATCTAGCCTTCCAGGAAATATATATGTACACATATATATATATTTGTTGTGTGTGTGTGTGTGTGTATATATATATATATGTTGTGTACATATATATGTTGTATATATATATGTGTGTATATATATATGTTATATATATATGTGTATATATATATTTTACAAAGATGAAATGACTATATGCACTCTTTCATAGTTTGATTTTTTTTTCACTTAACAACATATCAAGGGCTTCTTTTCATGTCATTCCATATTTTTTTATGATATCCTTTCTTATATGGATGCACCAAAATGTACCCCATTGATCTCCTACTAAAAGGACATTTAGTTTGGTACATACATCCTTTGCTCACTTAAGAGTTTCCTATCAGTGGACCTCTTGACCATTATAAGGCCCAAATTTGTCTTCAACTTGAATAGATAATAGGCCCACCAAAAATATTGTACCAATATACACTTCCTACCCACATTGCAGACTTACCCACAATTTTTATTACAAATCTTTTGAACATTTTACCAATTGAATAAATGAGAAAATCTCTTCCTGGTGCAACTTGATTTTCTTAGCTTAGTAGGATGCCTTTTCATATATTTATTTATCCCTGCATTCCTTTTTCAATGAACTAAGTGTTCACATCTTTTACTGAGAGTCAAGGCTCACCTTGTTGTTTTCATATATTGTATTTTATTATTTTCATTATGGCACCCGTTGGCACACAGCAAATAATCATGTACTGAAGACAGCATATTCTGCAGAAAGGATGAGGGGCAAGGGATCCAGCAACTTACTATTTTAAATGCACTGCTTATATTATTTAGTACATAAGAACTTCAAGAACTGGAGCAACATCTCATATTCTGCAAAACACAGTGATGGGAATAAAATAGGATCTTAATAAATATTTGTTGAATAAAATGAGTAAATGTAGACAGAGACTGATATAGACATATACTATGTGCCTGCATCTGTGCTAGGTACAGGGAAACAGTACTTAGCACATAAGAAACACAATTTCTTCTTTTTAAAACATGATGGTTTGTTAGGGCTTCAGATGTTTAAAATGAGAATTTCGCTGCAAGAAGTGATGAATAGAGGGATGATTAGATGTCTCCTGTACTTGAAGATCTTAGTTCTAAAAGGCAACAGATACATAAACAAATAATTTCCATGTAATAGAGCAAGAGTAGAGGTTTGCACAGGGTGCTGTGGGAGCATGAGTTTTAAGGATGATGACAACTTAGGTGGATGAGGAAACATGAAGAAAGTATTTCAAGCAACATGAGCAAAGGCATGGAGGTTTGGAACAGCAAGGTGTGCATGTAGGAAATCAAGCCATTTTAGGGTTTCCCAGAATCTATAGAGCCTGAAGGCACAGGAGGTCAGGTGGACTGATGGGAAGAACACAGGGAGCAGGTCCCAACCTAGTACATCATTCTGGGGAGTGCAGTCCATGCCGAGCCACTAAAGGGTTTTGAGCAAGGGCGGGGTGTGACCTGACACAAATTGTAGATGGCATGTCCTGGCTACCAAGAGAAGGATGGATTTGAGGGATGAAATGGGTGGCCAAGAAAGAGAGAAAGCAAAAGAGCAGTTAGGAAGGTTCTATGTTTATTCAGAAATAAGGTGATGAGGCTGCAGTAATGAGGATGAAGGGTAGAGAGATCTCAGAGTAGACACTTGGTGGCTAATTGGACTTGAGATGATGGAAGGATTAAACAAAAATATGGGCTTGGTTTCTGGTTTTAGTGATAGGATCTATGACAATGTCACTCACTGGTAAAGAAAATGCGGGATATGGACAGGATTTGGGGAAGAAATTGGTAGTGCACTATCTTGGAAATACTAACCTTGAGAAAACTAGGACACTCAAGGGAGGTTCTCGGCAGACATTTATATATACGTATGAGGCTCTCAAGGAGGTTACAAAGGCTAAAAGTTAAAATTGGAGAATGAATGAATTCAGGAGGGGACTGGATTTCAAGGCAGGGACCTTCATGAGCCTCCCCTATAACTCACTTATAGCCAGGCATAACTCCCAGGGTAACTTCATTTCCCTTTGAGGGCCCATCACAACTGCAGATCTGGAATGAATTCTGGTCTGGACTCTTGAAGCCCTTTTAATCCCTAACAGGAGCAGGGGAAGCTCATCAGTGCAATTCTTTACTGTTGAATGGGAGCGAACTACTTGTTGATCAGTTGTTAAACTTTCCTTCCCCAGAAAGATGTCAATTCTGCAGCCCAACAGTAGTTTGCTTGTGGTGAATGGAAAATTGAGGTTCACTGGTGTGGGCTGCACTGTCAAAGCCAAGGATACACTTTTTTTTTTGTAAGAAGATGGGCTCCCCTAAGAAACAAGGTTGGGAAGAGGGCCTCTTTCAGTCCTCACCTTTTACTATGTCATCATGAATTAGTTTCTTGTTAAACATTTGTCAGTTTCAATGACCCACAGCCAGGTTTTAGGAGAGACAACATATAGGATAAGGCATAAAGGTACATTGGAGAGTCACAGAGGCTAGTCCTGGCTCTTCCACTTTCTAGTTCAGGGAACTTGGGCAAGTCACTTTACTTCTCTGTGTCTGTTTTCTGATCTTGTTGAAATGGGGATAATAAGAAAAATGTCTGTTCTTCTACCTCTCAGGACTGCTGTTATGATAAGATAATAATTTCGGAAATCCCATGCAAATATTATTATGGTTTGAAGATGCCTGGCTGAGAGCCTGAACTTAGAAAGCCTCAGTAAACAGCCGTTAAGTGAACTGTGCCATGAAAAACACTCATTCCCTTGCCCATTTATTCAACAACTGCTTGTTAAGTGTCTGCTCTGTGTAAGGCACTGTGCTCATTGCTAGGGATATAAGGAAAGAACAGACTCCATGAAAGGCATGGAAGAACCGTAAATGTATATTACTAAGTTAAAGAATTCAGTCTGAAAAAGGTTCATTCTGTAGGATTTCAACTACATGACATTCTGGGAAAGCGAAACTATGGAGACAGTAAAAGATCAGTGGTTTCCAGGGGTTAGTGGGGGTGGGGGAGGAATGAATAGGCAGGGCACAGAGGATATTTAGGGCGGTGAAAATACTCCATAGGATACTATAATGATAGACACATGTTATTATAAATTTGTCCAAAACTATGGAATGTATAATACCAAGAGTAAATGTAAACTATCTAATGAAACTATGGACTTTGGGTGACTATGATGTGCCTATGTAGGTTTGTCAGTTGTAACAAATGTACCACTCTGGTGATGAATGTTGATAATGGGGGAGGCTGTGCATGTGTGGAGGCAGGGTGTACATGGGAAATCTATACCTTCAGTTCAATTTTGCTGTGAACTAAAACTGTTATAAAAACAAAGTCTAATAGAGAGAGAGGGAGAGAAAATAGATCATACATGGCTTAGAAGCACCTATAACCTATAACTTACTGGAAGAGAAAGGAATGTAAACAGATTTTCAAATACTGATAAATGGGAGGTATAATCATGCATGTACAGTATTAGTTAGCTTTTCATATTACAATATTTTATCTTCATTTGTGACCAATGCATGCAGAGGGTCAGTACTGTTCATTGTTCAGACAGGACCCCCTTATTTTTTATTCACTGCAGGCAAATGGCCACCCAGTGGTGAATGACTCCAACCACCTGGGACTTCCCGAGAAGGGATGAGTGATGCTGTATGGTCAGCATTCACATGGCCAGGCATGCAGCATCTCTATGACCAGCTGGAAAGGAGCAGAGGAGGCATTGGTGTTGACTGGTGAACTCAATCAGACCACTTTGGCATGGCTGTTTTGCATCCTTCTGCCTTTTAATTTGTTGACTTCCCACAAGGAGACAGTGCTTATGAGTAAGGCAGAGCTTAGGTCAGCAGTTTGACTCTTTCCACATTAATGTTGGGAGGCTTCATGAAGGGCATTAAGTCTTGTGTCCATTGATGCAGTGACTTTGCGCTGTGTTAATGGGGGATAAACGACTGAGTCTATATTCTGCTTTATTCATCCTGGGACTTAATTTTATCAGAGAGAAAAAATAACAATGATTCCATTTACGAGGTGACAAAAGAGCAAGGTAAAAAAGAATTAATTTCAATGTAATGGAATGAACTTCAATGCAATTTTTTTAAAAAGCATAAAATCACTTAGCTAAAATATCAGCCTTTGGGAGAGGTTTCTCCCATCCTCCACAAGTCCTGGCCTTCTGTAGTTGCTGCCAATGAGCAAAACCAAGTGTGAGGAATTTTGAGATAAAAAATTTATATTGCAAAGGTGTCTTAGAATAATATTTATCTTTTATACACAGGAGTGCATTGCTAACTTTTGCAAAGGCATTTAATTGAAGAAATTATGAATAATTACAGAGAAATACAAAAATCGTTTCTTCTAAGTAAGTTTCTGCAAACTCAACATATATTCAGTGGAGCCATCATTATTGGTTATGCTGGAACTCTTTCACTGAATGAAAACTTCTGGGCAGATTTTCTCCAACGATGTATTGAAACTACAAAGGTTGAATAATATAATTACATAGGAAAAGGTGAAAATGTGATCCCACAGTGTAGACCCCATAGGGATATAATGGGGGAATTCAAGCTTGTACTTCAGCTCCTCCAGCATAAAATGCTTTGTCCCACCTAAGGGCCATCATACATGCTGTTCCCATCTCTCTTCCCTTCAGTCTTCAAATGAACAGCTCCTTTTCATCTTTCAGGTCTGGGCTTAAATGTCATCACTTCAGAGAGGCCTTCCCAGTGGAACTCTGTGCAGGAGGCTTCCTCACCCCCTTCACTGTGATTCTCTACCCAGATTCCTTTGTTAGCTTTGATCATAATTTAATATTGTACATCTATTTGTTTGCTTATGTGTTTGTTCTGTCTCCCACAATGGATTGCAAGACCCACCAGGCACAGGATGTTCACAACTGTTTTATTCCCTAAGGTATATTCAATGTCTCTCGGAGCACCTAAGATATAAATAGGTGGTCAGTAGATAAATTCATGTGAAAATGATAATTATGGCAATTGCCATCTCAGTGGAATCACAAATGAGATTACTATCTCATTTGTGAGGCAGTTGGTGCTATCTCATCTTCTGGTTATCTCGTCTTCTGGTTATTCAAACTTAGACAAGGAGCATCTTTTCTCAATGCTGTTAGCTTTATTTCAATTGTATTTTCCTAAAAGCATATTGTGTCTACTTAGCTGGAAATGGGGTGAGGGGTGGGAGCACCCCACATGCATTTTGAGCACTATGATCTCCTTGTGAGCAAGGCCTGGGTCTTACTCATAAATTTATCCCCAGCATTGAGTACAACATCTGGCACAGAACAGCTGCCCAGGAAGTGTTTGTTGAATTTAATGAAATTGAGATATTTGAAGAACTTTCTGCCTTCTCCTTGGAAGAAGGAAATTGAAGCAATTAAAATAATGCTCTCTGATTTTCTGTCAACCAAGTTTTATGGGGATAGGAGTAATCTTCCTGGCAGATCATAAAAGATTGCACAGTTGAGTAAAGTACATGACAAAAACGGAATCAAAGCTACCTTCCTGAATATAGATTAAAGAGAACTACTTATTATAGTGCTACAGAAATGAATTTCCTCTGTGTCTGCCTCACTAGGACCAGAAAATGTTTTATTCTATTTCTTTGAGATTCTAAATTGGAGAGCGATGCATATATAAGGATGTATATGGAAACAGAAAACAGCTTAAATACAGACATGTTCCTAGAATTCTACAGGAGGACTTTTACATTGCTTCCCCCACCTTTAGGATAGATTCTTCTTAAAAATAATAATAATAATTCAGGCTAGACCAATGCTGTTCATCTCCAAGAAAGCACTTGTAATTTTCTCAATAGTATTTTATGTCTTTCAGGAAATAATTTCTTATGTTGCTCAAAGAGCTCATGCCATACCAGGGAGAAACAGTGAAATAAAGATGAAGGCTATATCAGTCCGTTCTCATACTGCTATAAAGAGATACCTGAGACTGGGTAATTTATAAAGAAAAGAGGTTTAATTGACTCACCATTCCACATGGCTGGGAGGCCTCAGGAAACTCACAATCATGGCAGAAAGCAGAGGGAAAGCAAGGCATGTCTTACTTGGCGGGAGGAGAGAGAGAGAACAAAGGGGGAAGTGCCACAGACTTTTAAACCATCAGATCTCATGGGAACTCACTATCATGAGAACAGCAAGGGGGAAATTCGTCCTCATGATCCAGTCACCTCCCACCAGGTCTCTCCCCTGACACGTGGTGATTACAATTCGACATGAGATTTGGGTGGGGACACAGAGCCAAACCATGTTAAAGGCCATCCAGCATTCCATTCTTTACCTGGGAGCATTTCCTTTTTTGAATGATTCAGCAGCTGATCTTCAGCCTTCATTTCCAGGCTGGGCCTTTACTATTTTTATTTCTTTGGTTTACTATTCACTTAAACACATTAGTAATAAAGTCATACTAGCTAGTGCTTATTTATTGAGGTCATTATAAGCAGATACTTGGGACTCTAACAACCTGGGATTCAAATCCCCAGCTCTAGCGCTTTCTAGCTCACTCACTAATTTGTATATATCAGCTTCTTCATCTGCAAAATGAGGTAACAATAGTAGCTCCCGCATACTGAAGTTTGCAGTGAGGGATTAAGTGAGATGTTGCCTCTGAAATTCTTTGCTCAGTGCCTCCCTTATACACATTTGGGGAAAAATAACTCTTTTGTTCTTTGTTTATGGGTCAGTCACTGTGTTGGGTGCATTATACATATTTATAAATAATATTAATCAAACTACACAAATTTCAGGGAAAGTATAGTTATCTTTGTCTTACAGGTAAAGGAACTGAGGCTCCGAGAGGTTGAACCACCAGATTAGAGGACTAGAAATTCCTGAATTCAGAATTTCTGGATCTCAGTCTAGTGCTCTTTTTATTATACTATAAGACATTCTCTTTTGAAAAAAAAATCAATTAATGGAGACATTATTTATTATTTTTTAACTTTTATTCTGTACCATGTATGATCACCTTAAATCTACACACATAGCCTTTCTCTGGAATTCTGTCAATTCCTGAACATATTTTTACTTTTGTATCTTAGCTTAGGAGACTGTTGTGTTTTTATGAGGATTTAGAACTTTAATACTTTTTATTCACCTCAAGATTGGCGTCACTCTTAAAGTGTATCACTGTGTTGATGCCTCATGTCCACCTTCTAATAGCCATGAGGTCTTTTTTCTATCATATAGACCACCTCTTGCCTACAGCCCTCTATACAGATTCTAACTAATGTGAGTATAAATAAATGTCCAGTTGCAAACATTAGAAAACTCAATTCAAGATTGTCTGAGCCAAAAAAGAATTTTACTAACCATTAGGACAGGAAAATCTAGTGGTATCAAGTTTCAGGCACTGAGACATCCAAGTCAGAACTTGGGCTTCCTCTCTATGTATCTTGGCTCTTGTTTTCTCTCTGTTGGCTTTACTCTCAGTCAGGTTCTGTCTTAGTGGTGGTGGGATAGTTCAAAGAGCTCTAGGAACATACCCTAGTCTCTTTATAAGTCCAGCAGAAGTAAAAATGGTCTTCTAAATTTCTGAGAAAAAGTCCTAGAATTGAATCTCATTGGATCCCAGTTGATCATGTGCCCATTTTGAACCAATCACTGTGACTAGAGATTGCAGTGTTCTGACTGGCCAACATGAGTCACCTGACCATCCTTAAGGCTTTACTTCAACCTAAGGTACTGTGAATGGAGGAAGGTAGATCCCCAAGGAAACTGGGTAACTCAAGGCAAATGGAATCTAGTTGTCTAAGATTATGACAACTGTTTATTTGTATTTTCAGAACTTTAATTTGTGTGATCGTGGGTGTTTGCCCAATTCCCTCAAAATATTCTACATTCTACTCTCACAAATGTAACTGCTGGCTTCCTATTCCCGATGTCCCTAACCTTGCTTTCCCCCCAACCCTTGCTCTCTTTAATGCTATTCCCTTTTTTGAGTTATTAAAGATCATTACTGGTCAATTAGCAAGATGGACTGTTCACCAAAAGAAAATCAGATGTGTAGGTCAGAGTAATACTAGGTGACAGTTGTGGGTGGATTTTTTTTTTTTTTGAATTTTGTTATATGTATTTATCTTGGACTCCGTCCAAGGTTTTTAAAAAGTATTTGTATAATAGTTGTATTTTTAAGGTGATCTTGCCAAAGCTAAAGTAGGAGCTTGACCATTAAGTGAGGACAATCACCAGAGCAGTAAATCCTGCCAAAAATGCACGGTGATGCAACAGAAGATGACCTCAGATCACTTTTCTTCTGCCCGTTGGCTCCCATAACTTCCATTTCCTAGGGCTGAGTATTTTTTAATTTTTGTGTGCCATCTCTTGGACCCTATGTTTCCTTTTTCATTTCATCTCTGGGTGTGTCTTAGTTTAAGCAGAGTAAAGGAGAACTCCAGAATCCCCAACCCTAGCCATTTCTTATCCAAGACTAGTCATTTACTTATCCCACCAATTCAGTAAGCAATTTCTAAATTTCTAGTAGCATCCCAACCTCCTCCAACCACATCCTGGGCTTTAGCAATGGAGGGAGTTCCAGCTCTGTTGTTTATAACTATCCACATGACCTTGGATAAGTTACTTACCCTTTTTAAGTTTTTGCTTCTTTATTTGTGAAATGGGATTAATAACACTACCTCATAGGGTTATTATAGAAATGAAGTGAGCTAATAAGGACTTCAGAGTTCCCAACACATGGTGAGCTCTAAGCAAATGTTAACTATTATTATTATGATGTAACTCTTTCATATGTTTCAGTTCAAATTAGAATCTTTATAAAAACTCCACACTGTAATGTCCATTTCACTGGTGGAAGGTCAAAATCCCAGATGGAGGAGACTTCAAATAGAAGTGCTGGTTATTCATTCATTCATTGATTCCATCAACAATTATTTATTGAGCATGTGCACTATACAGGACATATTAGCCTGTTTGTAAGTATGTAGCAAGGGACCATTATATCCTGTGGGTCTTGCAAAAGAAACACAAAATTGGATTCCTGTCCATAAGAAGCTTCCACTCCAGTTGAAAAGCCATAACTCAATCCCGGAAGGAATAATACAGGAACTAAGACTGCTCATCATCAGAAGGTGGTATGCACACTGTATGTTCTCAGGGGCTTCTAAAATGAGTATGAGCGGTGTCTGGCACATAGTAGACACCCCGAAAACACTGGTTGAAGGAATGAGTAATGAGTGAATCAGTGGGATGAGTGATGGTTTTTGACAAGGACTCTTGACTTCAGTCCAGCTCACTCCCAGGCCTCTGCCTTTGCTAAGCACCAATAGACAGACTGCAGTGAGAGCCAAGATCATTGATCATGTTGGCCATGCCCAAGGACACCTTAGGTTATAAAGAAATAGAACTAACAACTCACCTCAATCCCCCTCATAGCCCAATCTGTGACCTCATGCAGGTGTGATCCCTCTAGGATTCACCTCCCTTCGTCTACACCCAGTTGGTCCTCCCACAAGGGCATAATGTCTTTCTGAAGCTGTCATCAAAATCTTCCAGCTTAAACCTCAAGTCCTTGAGATTGTCTGGGAGATCTCCTGCAGAGAATGTAAGTTGTTTAATTCCCATGGAAATAGCTGCTACTCTGGGTATAGTGAGTGGGCTCAACTGAGTACTGCTAGGTACATAAAAGCTGGAACTTGTGACTAATAATGTGATTGCACTCCGGTAGTGGGTAGGGCAAGCATTTTCTGAAAAATCTCCCCATAAGCATCATCATTATTTTACAGTACATGTCATTTCATAACACACACACACAAACACACTGTCTAAATATGTTTATTTTGTTTTGTTATTTCAATGAAAGTTTGTTTTATTTTGTTGATCAGCCTAATTAGAAGCACTGCATCTCATAAAATAGAAATCTCTTTTACATTTCTGAAATTAATGGTAAGATGAGGTCTGATGTTACAGATTTGAAGCAAAGACTGTGTGGAAAGTGGGTATGGCAATAGAACCTGATGGCTTTACCTTTTTGGAAATTATTTAAGCATTTTGATCATTTTTTAAATTTGCATACAGAAAATTCACCTTTTTGGTGTGTAGTTCTGTATATTTTAACACATACAGAAATGTGTGTAACCAATGACACAAACAGGATGCAAAGTAGTTCTATCAGCTGAAAGCTGCCCCTTTGTAATCAAGCCCTCATCTATCCCAGTCCCTGGCAGCCACTGATCTTCTCTCCATCCCTATAATTTTTTTATTTTCCAGAATGTCATGTAAATGAAACCATACAGTAAGTAACCTTTTGAGACTGCTTTTCTTTTTCACTTAATATGGGGCATTTGAGATTTACCTGTGTTGTGCACCAATTAATAGCTCATTCTTTTTATCGCTAAGTGATATACCGTTGCATAAATGTTATCACTTTTTTTAATTCATTTACCCATTGAGGAACATTTGGGGATGTTTCCAGTTTGGGGCAATTATGAATAATACTTTTGTAAAAAAAAATTTATGTACCAAGGTTTTATGTAAACATAAGTTTTCATTTCTCTTGGATAATACCCAGAAGATGGTAAGTGGGCCATATAGTAAGTGTACATTTGACTTTATATGAAAATGCCAAACTGCTGTCCAGAATGACTGTACAATTTTGCATTCCTACCATCAATGTATGAGAGTTCCAGTTGCTCTGTATTCTTGCTCACACATGGGATTATCATGAATGCACATTGTAACCATTCTAATAGGTATATTGTGGTATCTCTTTATTTGCATTGCTCTACTGAAGAACGTTGAGCATATTTTCATGTGTTTGCCATTGGTAAGTCTTCTAGGTTAAAGTGTCTGCTCAGATATTTTGCCTATTTTTTTAGCTGGGTTTTTTTTTTTTTTTTTTTTTGAGTTGTAAAAATTCTTTACAAATCCTGGATACAAGTCCTTCACTTCCTCCTCTTCTCATTACTGGAAGAGATTGCATGGAATTGGTGTTATTCTTTCTAAAATGTTTAGTAGAATTCATTAATGAAGGTATATGGGGCTGTAGTTTTCTTTTCTTGGAGGGCTTTCAACTATGAATTTAATATGTTTAATAAATATAGGACTATTCAGGTTATCTACTTCTCATTGAGTGAATTTTGTTAGTCTGTGTCTTTTATCCATTTTATCTAAATGGTCTAATTTATGTTCAGAGAGTTGTTTGTAGTACTCCCTTATCTTTTTGTATCTGTGAAGTTCATAGTTGATATCCCATCTTTTGTATCTAACATTGATAATATATCTTCTCTCTCTAGTTTTTTGGTAAATCTAGTGAGAAATTTATCAACTTTATTGATCTTTGATAAAAACCAGCCTCTAGTATTATTGATTTTCTCTATTGTTTTATTTTTTCTTCGATTTCATTAATTTCTGTTTTTATATTTATTATTTTATTATTTTTGCTTGCTTTGGTTTTAGCTGGCTGTTCTTTTTTCTAGTTCCATAAAATGGAAGCCTAGATTATAAATTTCAGAACTTTATTATTTTCCAAAATAAGTGTTTTATGTATAAATTTCTACTAAGCGTTGCTTTAGCTGCATCTCACAAATTTTGATATGTTGTATGTTCATTTGAATTCAGTTCAAAATATTTTTTAATAATCCTTGAGGCTTCCTTGTTGATCAATGAATTTCTTAAAGTGTGTTGCTTAATTTCCAAATAACTGGAAGTGTTTTGGATATCTTTCTGGATATTAATTTAATTGATTCCATTATGGTCAGAGAACATACTTTGTATAATTTCATTATTTTAACGTAATGAAGTTTGTTCTGTGACCCAGAATGTGATCTCTTTTGGTAAATGTTCCATATATATCTGACAATAGTGTATATTATGTTGTTGTTTGGGTGGGATATTCCACAAATGTTCATAAGGTCAAGGTTATTGATAGTGTTGTTTAGGTCTTCTATATTCTATATTCTTATGGATTTTTTGTCTACTTGTGCTATAAATTACCAAAAGAGGAGAACTGAAGTCTCTAACTATAATTCTGTATTTCTCTTTCTCCTTTCAGTTCCATCAGCTATTGTTTCATCAATATTGAAGCTCTGTTATTAAGTATATATGCATTTAAGGTTGTTCTATCTTCTTGGTGAGCTGGCTCTGTTATTATTATTATTATTATGTAATGTCTCTATTCCTGATAATTTCCTTTTTCTGAAGTCTATTTTGTCTAATAGACTTACATTAATATATGTTTATATATTATTAATAATTATATTAATTTAGAGGTTAGCTTTCTTTTTTTTTTTTTTTTTTTTGAGACGGAGTCTCGCTCTGTCGCCCAGGCCGGACTGCGGACTGCAGTGGCGCAATCTCGGCTCACTGCAAGCTCCGCTTCCCGGGTTCACGCCATTCTCCTGCCTCAGCCTCCCCAGTAGCTGGGACTACAGGCGCCCGCCACCGCGCCCGGCTAATTTTTTGTATTTTTAGTAGAGACGGGGTTTCACCTTGTTAGCCAGGATGGTCTCGATCTCCTGACCTCATGATCCATCCGCCTCGGCCTCCCAAAGTGCTGGGATTACAGGCGTGAGCCACCGCGCCCGGCCCAGCTTTCTTTTGATTAGTGTTTGCATGGCAGGGGCTTTTCCATCCTCTTACTTTTAATTTATCAATAACATTGTGTTTGAAGTGAATTCTGTAACAGCATATAGTTGGGTCTTCTTGTTGCTTTTTTATGCAATCCAACAATCTTCAGCTTTTAATTTATGTGCTTAGACCATTTATATTTAGCTTAAGTATTAATATGGTTATATTTAGGTGTACCATTTTATTATCAGTTTTCTATTCTCTTCCTCTTTTCTGCCTTTTAGATTATTTGAATATTTCTTGTCATTCCATTTTAGCTTATCTGTTGGCTTTTTTTTTTTTACTATACTTTTGTTTTATAACTCAAATAGCTGTTTCTTTAGGGATTACAATACACATACCTAGTTTTTCTCAGGCTACTTAGAGTTTACTATATCAAGTAAAGTATATAAACCTTACAACTGTATAAATTCCTTGCCCTTTACCCTTTATGCTGCAGTGGTCATATTATTGAATCTAAATATATTAAAAATGCTATCAGATATGTTATAGTTTTCACTTTCAACAGTCATACAAAAATATGAATGTCACACAGATTTGCATGTCACCCTTTCATTGGAGCCATGCCAATCTTCTCTGTATGGTTTCCATTTTAGAATATGTGCTGCCAAAGTGAGCACTAAATGTGTTTTTAAAGTACTTTCCTGGTAAAAATTTATTCAAAACTTGCACCACATTTGTGAAACTATGGGCTGGAATTAGACATATAGTGTTTTTCTCCAGACAAAGCTAGAATTGACTCTAACCAATTATTCTTTAACATTAAAGGGTACAAAGTAAAGTCCTTTTATCTTGAGCTAAGGCATAATATGAAATTGAAAATGGAAAATATGCACAGAAATAGTTTATGACCAAAGAAGAATTATTTTTTTTGCAGCATGAAGCTTTATAATATCAAAACTATAAGTTATCTGCAGGGATGTCCAAATGGGAGATATTTCCTATAAAATGTTATTGAAAGAGATCTGTCCAAATTTACAATAGCAGTAGATATTTGGAGAAGATAAAATGAAAGTTAACTCTGATAGGTTTGGGATTAAGGAAAGAGAAGTCATACCACACATTGTTTAGATCATAGCCAAGGAAATGATCGAAAATACGTGTAACACATTTTTCATTAAAACAAAAAACAAAAAACCAAAACCCTCGAAGACATTTTATGCATATAATTTTATTTGCTACTGCCACATTGCCATTAAGAATATTGCCTACACTTCAGTGCAGGGATGTTCTGAGTCTGTGCATCATGCAGCGAAGGCACCAGTCTCCCTCTGTAACCTTGGTCCTTCCCTAAAGTATGTAGTCATTGGTGCAGAATGTACAGCTGTGAAGGTGACTGTTTCTCTAAAGGCTTTGGTGATGTAAGCCTGAAGCCAAGCAGGAGGAAAGCAATTAAACATCACCTTGATTAAGTTATAATGTACCAAGAGAGTTGCACGTTGGGCTTGGTGACTGCTTTCTTCAGGAAGGAGGAATTTGCACTGAGAGTCTGTGGGGACACAGCCTGCCATAAAGGGTAGTGAGGACATCTTTCCCTTTTCTTTGCCTATCAGATGCCTGACCTTTCAGGAAGGTTCAGCTAAAGTGCCTTTTGCTCCATGAAGCCTTTTCCTCTCCTCACCCCAACCATGGTAAATAGTATCTTTACGTGACAGCTTGTATAGCTCCTTCATCTTCCCAATTCATGTGGCAGCCTTAGTTTTCATTTCATGTAACTATTATTCTGAAAGGGATTTTGATCTCTGTTAAGACCGTTAAAACCATGCCTTTGTTTCCTCAAAGTGTGCACTTCCATAGTGTGCACTAAGAAAAGCAGTTTGTAGAGCAGTTGAGAGGACAGGCTCAAGTCTGTCTGGGTTTAAATCCTGACTTCACCATTTCCTAGCTGAATGACTAGGGATAAGTTACTTAAATACTTCATGTCTCAGTTTCCCCACTTGTAAAATTGGGATCATTATACTATTTGTAAATATTATACAAGTTCACACATGTAAAGTGCTCAACATTTTTGCCTAGCACATAATAAGTATTATTACTTATTTTTTTATTAAGCGATAAATTTTTTAATAAAGCTATTAAACAAATACATGTTTTTAGTAAGGAAGGACATAGCACAAACAGGATTAATTAAAGAGAAGGCAAAGAAGACAAAGAGAATTCCACCAGATTCTGGTGCAAAACATTCAATAATTATTTTTTAAAGAACTGAAGGGTGGGAATGTCTGTTGGTGCAACCACTTTAGAAAACCTATGGCAGTGTTTACACAAGGAGAGCATTCTTATACACTACAACTCAGCAAGTCCACTCCTAAGTATACATCCAAGAGAAAAGTGTCTGTGAATCCAACCAAAAGATGTTTGATAGAGAGAATGTTCGTGACAGAGTAGTCATGATAGTCACCTGCACAAATGTCCATTGACAGAAGAATGAATAAGTAAGTGTGTCGGTGAAAATGGATGATACACAACTACACATAGCACAATGGATGAATCTCACAAACATAGTAATGAGCGAAAGAAGCCAGACACCAACATTCCAGGCAAAAAGATCCTATGCTGCTACAAGCCAGAATAATGGTTACCCTGGGACAGTGGAGACGGGAGAAAAGATGTGGAGAGGAGAGAGCAGGAGGAGCTTCTAGGGCTGTGGCTAACATTTTATTCTTCATCTGGCGCTCGTTACATGGGTGGGTTGGATTGTGAAAATTCATTGAGGCATACACCTAAGATATGTGCATCTTTTCTGTGTTTGCATCCTACTTCACTAAAACAACCAGAAGAGAACGGGAATGAAGTAAGATCAGAAAATAAAGGAAGAAATAGAAAGAAAATGAAAGAAGGGAGAAGAAAAATAAACAAACCCAGAAGGCTGAAAGGCATGGAAGCCGCACCTGACCGGGTTGACTCACCCCTCTGCCCCAGGAGCCACCCCTGCCCTGCCCTGCCCGTCCCCAGCACCCTACTCTCCTTTTGCTTAGCCCAAGGATGGCAAATGCCCCTTTTGGTGGGGGTTCTGAGCATCACTAAGACAGGAAGGGCTTTCCAAGTGGGTAAGGCTGGTAGTGGAGTAACTCGGAGGAGCTGACGCTTTATTAAAGAAACAGAAGACTTGAGAGCCATCTCCTCTCTTCCTTCCCCTTCCCCTTTCCCCTTCCTCTTCCCCTTCCCCTTTCCCCTTCCTCTTCCCCTTCCCCTTTCCCCTTCCTCTTCCCCTTCCCCTTTCCCCTTCCTCTTCCCCTTCCCCTTTCCCCTTCCTCTTCCCCTTCCCCTTCTCCTCGACTCTTTCTGCCTTCGCCTCATTATCCGCCCCCAGGACATCCTCTTGGCCTTGGTGGCTTTGCCAGGACCAGCTCTGTCTCCGCCTCCTGCCCTGCGGGGTCTTGGGGCGGGGGGCCGTGGCCCGGCCCAGGCCCGAGCTGCCGGGGTGTCCCCGCCGCGTCCCCGCCCGGCTGACCCCGCCCTGCAGCCGCCGGCTATTTTGGGCGCGTTGGCGGCGGCGGGATCGCTGACAGTCGCGGATCCTGTGACACCTCCGGGCAGCCCGGCACTTGTTGCTCCCACGACCTGTTGTCATTCCCTTAACCCGGCTTTCCCCGTGGCCCCCCGCCTCCTCCCGGCTTCGCTCCTTTTCATGTGAGCATCTGGGACACTGATCTCTCAGACCCCGCTGCTCGGGCTGGAGAATAGATGGTTTTGTGAAAAATTAAACACCGCCCTGAAGAGGAGCCCCGCTGGGCAGCGGCAGGAGCGCAGAGTGCTGGCCCAGGTGCTGCAGAGGTGGCGCCTCCCCGGCCCGGGACGGTAGCCCCGGGCGCCAACGGCATGACAGACTCGGCGACAGCTAACGGGGACGACAGGGACCCCGAGATCGAGCTCTTTGTGAAGGTAGGTCGGGGTCCAGTCTCCCGCCGCACCTGCCGCGCCTCCCGCCGGGCTCACCCACCAGGGCTCGGGGTGCGCTGGACTCCGGACCCTCCCAGGAGGGCGGCGCGGAGCCCTGTGCTCCCCCGTGGCCTTTCCGCAGGCCAGCGCCCCGCTGCGAGGCTCCTGGGCGGAATGGAGGAAGGCAGGTTCCGGCAGGTGGCCGTCTTCTCGGAGAGTTGATCCGCAGTTTGTCCACCCCCGTCCCCGCCTCCGCTGTCACCGCTGCGAGTCCGAGTCCAGAGCCCAGCCCGGACGCGATTCAGGCTGGTCCTGAAAGACGTCTCCAGGTGTCGGGATGCGGCAGAAACCTGGCTGGACCCGTGAACCTTTCCTTTAAAACGGGAGGAGGGGGAGGAATGGGAGAGAAACGTTATTGACACAATGATCTTTGGCAAAGCGAAAATGACATTTCTTAAAATTCTCTTTCTCTCTTTCGCTCAGAGATCCTAAAATAAAAGCCAAGGAGACAAAAGTGTTTTCTTGCTTGGTGACTTGCAAAGCAGAAAACAAGCACTCCATTCTCCGACGTTATTATTTTTGTCATAATCATGATTTTTCAAGGCAGTATCAAGGAAATGTTAGGCGTTTGGTAGTAGGGAGAGCCTCCCGTTCAACCTGATGCAGACAGGGATGAAGGAGCACAGTGCAAATTAAATGAAGTCACCTTGCTCCTTGGACAGAAACTGCCTAATGTCAGAGCTGCTGTACTTTATTTGCAACCTGTAGGAGGAAGGATGGAGGCGAGGCTGCGGCGGCGTTTCCCGGTCCGCCGGTGTAAGGAGAAAGAAACATTTGATCAGCCCTTGGTGCCGACGCTGCAGAAGTAGGGAAACCTGAGGCTGCGGGAGAGTAGCCTCCAGGGCTGAGCAGAAACAGTCGCCAGGACTTGGGGGAGGGGAAGTCGGGGACTGCCTGGGCGCCAAGACCTTTCACAAAGGGGGAAAACTCTCTCAGTGCAAAGTTTCCCTAGAAATATGCAGATCGCTGAGAAGGGAAGAGTCACTGGTGCCTGTCAGGGGCCTCCTGGCAGAATTTAAAAGGCATAAATATTCCCTGGAATTGGGAAAATGTTATTTTGCCCAAAAGATCCTTCTCTACAAGCTAATTAAATAGATGTTTGCAAAAAGTATGAGATCTACATAAACCTTGATAACAATCTGTGGTCTTTGGTACTTTCTGACTCTTAAAATGTGACTTACTTTACACTTGGTACGTGATCTGTCTCCGTTGTCCCAGCCTACCACAAAGGTTTGTTAAATTTCTTCTGCTGGGTTTTACATTCTTTGTGTTTATTTTTCAAGCTTACACCTGACATTTAGTGACACTTGCTTTCTTCAGCCTGTTCTCTTCCCACTGTGGCCCCTGTGTGCTCCTTTGGTTTCTGGGACTCCCCCCACCCCCACCCCAGGCTGGATTTCCAGGTCCTTTGGCAGACCCAGGTAATAAAGGAGGTCATTTCTCGTCTGATGCTGGGTAGTGTTGGACCTTAGGGCAGCAAGGGGGTGTTCTGAACCCCAGCATCCAGGCCTGGGCCCTAGGGGTGAATAGGGAGAGCTTTAACAAAGCGATGAGTCTTGCTGCTCTCCTTGAAGAAAGCGATTCTAGGACTTACTCAGATTCCTTGAGAGTGGTAGTTTCAAGGTGTCAAGTTTCTGAAAGATATTTGAAACACAAATAGGTTCTTTAGAACCAAAGGAGCCCTTTGCCCCACTCCTAGGTGTGGAGACCGATTCTACCTGCACCTTTGGAATTTTCTTGTTGGCAGTGTTGGAGAGTCTCTCCATTTATATAAAAACCTTACTGCACAATTTGCAGCGTTCCCCAAATAATTCTAAAATGACTGTGTTGTCATTTGTTTTTTCCCTAAAGGAAATCAATGAGAGCCAGGCAGGCCTTCATGGCTAGCTCAAAAACCAGATTGATGGGGAGATCAAAACATCAGGTATGAAAGTTGTTTTGACTCCTCCCTCAACCCCATCTTTTTGAGCTTCAGGTTAGCAGTTCTCATTTACAAGTAAATGGGACAAGTAAAGGCTAGAAATATTGTGAAATAAAGATGCTGCCCAGGCCTTACTTGAACTGTGTCATTTGAGGGAAGCAATATCCTTGTTGACAGAATCACACTTTTCCAAAGTTTGGAGTTTCTCTGAGGTACATGATTCCCCATAAAAAGAAAGGCCTTCTTGTTGATGGTGTCAGGTAACTGAAGCTCTTTCTGCAGGGCAGGGTGGGTTGGTTTCTATGAAGACTTCCAAGAAGGATGGGTCCCACCCAGTTATAGTCATGACTTGGTCATTTTCAACACCCCCTTGGAAGGACCTCCCAACCTCTTGTTTCCACTGGGTGTACCACTCTAAATCACAGTCACCTAATGAGTTTCACAATGACATGTAATTGTAATTGTCTCCCACGTCAATTGATAGTCATTATCTGTTACTACTACTGCTGATAATGATAATGATAAGAAGAAGGAAAGATTGCAGCATATTAGGACATAATAAGTATGTTCAAATACCTTATCTCATTTGATCATCAGCAACTTTATAAGGCTTGATTCACTTATGTGAAAGATAAAGAAAACAAATAAACTGGATTCACAGGTACCTTATGAGACTCGCTGTCAGAGCACTTGATGAGCTGCAGTTTGCTCTTCTTGTAACAGCCCAGGGAACTAAGAATGATAATTCCTCCTGTTCTGTTGAACAATACATGTGCTCACAGAAAGTAGGTAAAATGCCCAAAGGTAGATGGCAGATAGCATTCAGATCCAGTCCTCAAATCTAGCAGTTTAGACTTTGAATTTCTTGCTCTTTTCCAAATACCTATATGTCAGGCCTGATACCTTATTTTGCCAAGTTAGGCTTTCAAGTGCCATCATGGTGACATTTATTTATGTTATTAATCCATTCTAATGTGTTCATAGAATGCTTCCAAGGAGACTAACCCATTTCTGCTATGTACTCCGAGTCTTTCCCTTTCGGGGAACATTCTGACAGTGACTTTTAAGAGATTATTTCCCCACATTTTTAGTTTCTACAATAAGAAATGTTAGATCATGTCAACTCTGATTCTAATGTCCCATAATACCTGTGGATGGCGCAGGGATTTGGAGATGCAGTACCTGAGTTCAAGTCTTGCCTCTGCCTCTAATTAGCTAAATGATCCTGAACAAATTATTTAACTTTCAGGAGCCTCACTGGCCCTCTTAAAACAAGAGCATGGTTATAAATAAGGAGACCATATAATTTATTGTCCAAATCTAGACACTTTTGAGAGTGAAAGGGAATGATATCAATAATTAGGCTGGAACCACAGGTATAACCCAGGATAGTTTGGGAGCAAATAAGGATGTGTGGTCATTCTGGTTATGAAAATACTGTCATTGTAGATTTGCTGTGAGGATTCCATGGGAGAACATAGGTGAAAACACTTTGTAAATTGAAAATTGCTGTAAACACACTGACTTGAATATTATGAGTCCCATGGCAGACTGAACCTTTCTGGACCTGCACGTCCCTGATTTGCCTTGGGGAACAAAGGCCTGGCTCCTTCCTCACTTGCAGGGATATTTTGAGAGTAAATGAGATAATATGTAGCTTGGACTTTGATCCTAAGAGGAGGACAACAGGCTAGAGGTAATGGCAGTGAGTGTGGTTTATTGAAAGAAATAGAGCAAGGAAGTAAAAGCAAAACAGAAAGCAATTTGAAAAGACAAACACAGGATGTGCTGTGTAGGTTAGATCAAGGCATTCCACCCATTTGCATTGCTTCCTCCACTCCCAGTCTCACCCCTGGACCCCAGAAGTGACTAATGATACAGACAAGCTCGCCGCAAGTGTCTCTTCAGCCAGGAACTGAGGTTTCAACAGAAACCAGTGGTTCTCAGCCTTCACTACCTATTCAATCCATTGAGAGAGATTTTAAAACTTCTGATGGCAGTTTGCTCCCCAAGCCGATTACATCAGTGTGTCTGTGGGTGGGACCCTGAAACAATATTTTCATATCCACTCTCAGGTGGCTCCAGCGTGCAGCCCTGGTGGAGAGCCACTGAGTCATAATCAGAGGCAGGTCCAATAGCAGGCAGCTTCTGCCACCGCTGACATAGGTGGCCTTGCTAATGCTGATTAAATGTCCAGAACTTCTAACAGCCTCAGGGCATCACGGTCAGAAGTGTTGTTGATAGAAAGCTTGCATCCAATCACTGCCCAGTTAACAGATGCTGACGAACTATTAAGCCCTATCCACAGGACTCCAGAACAATCGTGTATAGGGTTGGTCTAGTCAAAGAATCATCAATTCAGCATGGGGGAAGTAAAACAGAGTTCTGCTAATTGTCTGATGGAAACGACTAGTCTTTCATTTATTGAGTGGCCCAAAAGTTTCTGAGTGGTGCAGGGTGCAATACAAGTTGTGGTGACTCGTGGTGTGGTCATCTGACTTCCAGAACAGATAGGATCAGATCTTGTGGTGTCGCCTCTATGTCCCTGAGCTACTGTGACTGCCTGGTCACCTTGGGCCGCTTGCCTAAGCATGAGCTCACTAGGTTTTTAAAGTTCCCTTCATCATATTAAGCTACTGTGTTTTTCTTTCCCACTATCTTCAGGTTTTGATCTGTAGTCAATAACGCAATACACAAATTTGCCTGCCCTGCTATGGCAGTGAGTGCTTCTTCTCCTGGTAACACATCCCTGGAGAGCTAGCGTCAAGAGTTGTATGATGCATATTTGAAGTGCCATGGCAGGGTGGTGGGAATGAGGACTGGGTCTGCAGAAGCTGACGTCCACTGCCAGTGTTGAGAGCTCCTGCATCCCTGATGACTTGTGTTGTCTCTTTGGGCATTTATTGGCCCCCTCCATGCAAGACAAAGCGTCTGTCAATTTAGACAGTCAGTTAGGTCAAAAACTTCTCATTCTTGGTTCCCTTTGAGTTGTCAGCTGCTGGCCCCATGTTAGTGGTGGCAAGAGATGTGGTGGAAGAGTGAAACTTTGGTGTCAGGCTCGGGTTCACCAGTGTGTTGGCCAGGATGGGCTGCTTGACCTCTCTGGACCACAGATTTTTTTTTTGTTTTAACCAGTGCAGTGCTAATAGCAGCAGCACATCTTTCATGGAGTTGGTGTCAGCATTTCAAGCTGAGTATGGATCTGGCCTATTAGTAAGTCTTTCTCTGTAGGCTCCATGTAGCCCAATAAGTAAAAGTAAAGCCCTTGGGCTTCCCTCCCTTGATGTGTACAAGAAGTCAGAGGCTCAGTCCTACCAGCTGAATCTCACATCTCAGAACCAAGATACTTCTTGAAAGAAAATGTAAGTTTCCAAAGCAGGTCGTCATTCAGGGAACTGGAAGAGAAATGTTCCCGATTGTTGGAGCTGACCCCTGAGAACACAAGCAGTGAGTCTCATTGCTGCAGACCAATGGCAACTGAAGTACAGTGCAACCACCACTGGATCTGACTGCCTCTGACTGGACTGCTGCTCCATAAGCTGGAGCCCACTAGAGCCCATGTCTGGAGTAATGTGGTTGGACTGACTACAGGGTAACTGCAGATCCCTGACCCACTGGGTTCTTCAAACTCAGGGGAAGTTGATTCCTCCTGTCAGTTGCTCCCTCATCCAAGAAAGCTCCTACATAACTGCTTCCCCAAGGCTCCTGGTAGCCAGGCCAGGGTAAAGGATCCTCTTTATTTTCAAGAGGATCCCTGGTTCTCTTTGCAGATTTTACTACCCCTTCCTCAACAATCTTCCAGCTATGCATAGCCATAGGTGCTCTCATCAAATATACTCACACATGCACACGTATTATCTACCAGGATTATGGGGAAAATGTCGTAGGCTCTCACTCTCTGGTATCTATTAAAAAACTATTACCCAGAACACATCCTGAGTTGTATCTGTTGTCAAGACTGGAGGAACTAGAGATAGTAAAGATGCAAAGTGGTTAAGCATGAGTTTCCTAAGATGTAGTTCTGTAAAGGACTCTCTCTACCCAGGGTGTCTTAAATCTAACACTGCTTGTGTTCTGAGGGGTCAGCTCCCACAGTCAGGGACATTTCTCTTCCAGTTCGCTAAATGACAACCTGCTTTGGAAACGTGTCTTTTCTTTCAAGAAAGAAGTATCTAAGTTCTGAGATGTGAAATTCTTTAAGGACAAATAAGATAAATAGCCTACTGTCTGAACTGAAACGAATTCTTCCCTGTAAAAAGAAATGGAGTTGTTAACTTCTAGAAGTTCTTTTAGCTCTGCTGGCATGGGAAGAGTCTTTAAGGGGGATTCAAAGACTCTTCCCATGCCAGCAGCACTGGAGGTAAACCATGGGTAGGCTGGTGGTTCTCAGCCTTTGGGGCATGAAAGAGTCACTGCACTTGCCTTCTTCACTTGTACCTGCCCAGGTCCTGTCTATAGAGTTTCAGATTTAGGAGGGTGGGGTGAGGCCCAGGCATCTGTATGCTTAAGAAGCTACCCACTGGTGATTCTGAAGCCCATCAAAGACTGAGAACCACTGGTGCAAACCATGGGTAAATAGGGCTGAACTACTCAGTGGAGCATCAAAAGGACAAAATATGGTCCAGTCGCTACTTCAAACAAGCATTTCACAGGATGGAGGTAGCCAAGGCAATATGCTGGTTCACATGAATCACTCCAGATTGACCTCAAATAAACCAGAAAAGGGAGGAAAGAAATGCTTTTGACCTTTCTTTTGTAATTTTTCTTTTCTTCCTTTGTATATTTTTTATTATATAGGAGTGACACATAATTTTAAATGGCAATGCATGAAGGAGATAGTAAGATAAAGAATGTAGGGAGTTGGGGATAAAATATAATCAATCAATCAATATATGAAAATGCTTACAGAGCACCTACTCTGTGCCAGGCTCTGTGAAAGCTGAAGGGGGCTGGGGGAGATCAGAGAAGAAGACAGGCTCCAGTAGCTTGTGAGAGTGCCACTGAGGAGTGCAATGCAAACAAGCATCAGTGGCACATGAGTGACAGGAATGCAATGAGTCATGCATATGATGGGACCAGTGTGGCCCAAATGGTGTCTTCAGGCCCAGCTTTGGGTAGGGTGGGACCTGAGTTGAGTCTTGAAGAATGATCAGGATTCAGAGGTGGCCAAAAGTGAGCAACCATGTCAGGTCCAGCAAAGGTGTGGAGATGGGGATGCTCAGGGCTTATGAGTACACGGGGTTGTCTGAAGCAAGTGGTATATGAAAGGAGCAATTGGAAATAGGACAGCAAAAAAGCCAACAACAGTGGCAGGAGGGGGCCTTGAATGGGAGGTAAGTGGTATCTGCTCCCTTGTAAGTAGTGGGGAGTAACTGGAAGTGTCTACACACAATAGGAGATTGACTTGGGTTATGTTTAGAAAGATTGATAGCTGGACTTCGTGCTTTAGTGGGAAAATCAATGAACTCAAAGTATGATGGATACCCTAAAAGTCCTGACTTGATCACTGCACAATCTATGCATGTAACAAAATTGCTCATGTACCCCATAAATTTGTGCAAATGAAAATCGGGAAAAAAAAAAAAAGAAAAAGAAAAAAAACAGGAAAAAACAAACAAACAAAAGAAAGAAGATCTGGATTCCAGGTCTGCCACGCACTGGTTGCGTGACTTGCTTTAAGGGTAAGTTTTTTTTTTCTATAAAATGTGATCAACATTCATAAAACCATAGAATTTATTATTTGGAAAAGCTTCCAGAAGTCATCCAGTCTGACCTTCTCTGATGAGATAAGTTCCCAATCTAACACTTTGGGATATACGCTATGTGGGTTTAAGGAAGAGTAGTGAGATAAAATGTGAGCTGCTGCTGTTTTTGCCATTGCTATTACGGCTGCATTCACTGTGACCATGTTGGAATAAGGAGAGCCCTGAGGCAGAAGTCAGTGAGGAGGCTATCCCAGTGGTCCCATCAGGAGGCCAAGTGAGTCCAAACAAGGGCCAAAAGACAGAGTGTGTTGTGGAATACAGAAGTGAATACAAAATTAGGTGCATGCCTTGGAAGAAGCCTGTGCAAATAGTGTATATTAGGGGCACCAACACCGAAGACTCAGCAGTTTCCTGGTACATTCACCCCTGGAAAGGTTAGTGTCCACATCTAGAATGGTGATATCTTTGATGGGCTTGACCATTACTGTCTAAGATATTGTAAATTGAAGAGTACAGACAAACTAATTGAGCTTTAAGTTTCCTTTTAACTCTGAAGAAAGCCTATGTATCCTGTGAGGAAGGGAGTTGCTGTTCATTAAAATCGTTTGATTTGGAATGGTGTAATCTGAAGTGCTGGCAGGCCAGTCCTGTGCAGATGTTCCTTAGAATGCTGAAGGATCAGAGCTGAGGATCACAGGGGCTCAGGGCTAGGGATTTTATCTGAACTTCTGCTCAGAGCTACAGGTGACGGAGGAGGTTCCCCAGAGGAGGGAGCATGGAGAAGAAGTACAGAAATAAGGACTTGCTTTAAAAAATGTCTTTTGGGGCTGGGCATGGTGGCTCATGACTGTAATCTCAGCACTTTGGGAGGCCGAGGCAGGGGGATCATGTCAGGGGATCGAGACCATCCTGGCCAACATGGTGAAACGCCGTCTCTAGCAAAATACAAAAAAATTAGCCGGGTGTGGTGGCACCCACCTATAGCCCCAGCTACTTAGGAGACTGAGGCAGGGGAATCGCTTGAACCCGGGAGGTGGATGTTGCAGAGGGCTGAGTTTGCACCACTGTACTCCAGCCTGGTGACAGAGCAAGACTGTCTCAAAAAAAAAAAAAAAGGAAAAAAAAGAAATATCATTTGAGAGGGAGGAATGAGGCACGTGAGGAGTTAGCCAAGGTGATCAAGGAATAAGAGGTAGGAAATAAATGCAATGTCCTAGGCAAAGGAAATCATGTGAACAATGGCTCAGAAGCAAGACAAGCCCGGATGTGTCCCAGAAAACTCAGAGCTCTGCTTGGCTGTGCTGAAGAGGGTGTGAATGGATATTGGGAAGGCAGATAAAAATGTAAGTTAGGGGCCAGGCGCAGTGGCTCACATCTGTAATCCCAGCACTTTGGGAGGCTGAGGTGGGCAGATCATGAGGTCAAGAGTTCGAGACCAGCCTGGCCAATATGGTGAAACCCCGTCTCTACTAAAGATACAAAAAATTAGCTGGACATGGTGGCGCATGCCTGTAATCCCAGCTACTCAGGAAGTTGAGGCAGGAGAATTGCTTGAACCAAGGAGGCGGAGGCTGCAGTGGGCCAAGATTGCGCCATTGCACTCCAGGCTGGGCGATAGGGCAAGATTCCATCTAAATATATATATATATATATATATATATATATATATGTATTTATACATGTGTATATATATATATATATATGTATTTATACATGTGTATATATATATTTATACATGTATATATATATTTATACATGTATATATATTTATACATGTGTGTATATATATATATATAAATATATATATATATATATACACACATAGGCTCTGTCCTAATCTCTTTGAGCTGCTATGACAAAATGCCATGAACTAGGTAGCTTATAAACAACAGAAATTTATTTCTCACAGTTCTGGAGGCTGGGGAGTCTATCAGTGCACCAATAGATTTGGTGTCTGGTGAGGGCCACAATGTGGTTCATAGCTGTCACCTTCTCACTGGGTTCTCACATTGTGGAGGAGGATAACTCTATTCTCTTCAGCCCCTCATGAGAACACTAATCCCATTTGTGAGGGCTCCACCCTCATGACCTAATCACCTCCCAAAGCCTCCACCTGCTAATGCCAACACCTCAGAGATGAAATTTTAGCATAGGAATTCTGGGGGGACACAAACATTCAGATCTAGCAGATCAGATCATGAAGCATCTCTGATGGCAAGCTGGGGGATCCAGACTTTTGTTTATAAAGTGGAAGACTGCTGTGCCCCTACCTGCCTGTGGAGCAATTGTAGTTTAAAAGAGGGAAGTGCTTAATTATCTAAACATGGTGCATTTGGCCCTGCATCTGAGGCAGGGTGTTTTGGCGTGGGAGGCCTTTGCAGCACGTCTCTGGTTACCCACAGGCTTTGGTGTGTAGAAGTTTTGTGCCAGTTACCCCATATCCTATATCAACCTCTATGGACTTCAGGGTGATGGTTTCTTTTCCACTTTTGTTTAACGTTATTCTATGGTAAGAGGGAAAAGAAACAAGTGTCCGACTGGAGAAATAACACAAAAGGGGAAGGAGGGGAGGATGTGCAGTGAATGGAGTCCAACTGGGAACCCATTACCTAGAATAGAGACGAAGTAACACCATGTCCCAGTTATTCTCTTAAACATCCAATTTGGGAGATTGTCATGGCAACAGATAGAGGTTTCTTGATCCAGCCCAAGGCTCCTCTCCTGTCAATGTCCACGTCTGCTTCCTAATGCTGCCAGTGTGCATGGGCCCCGTCAACACCAAGGATGAAGACGAGGGGCCGTCTCACCTGCCTTTTATTCATTTACACATTTGCTCTCTGTGGCATTTTATAGTTATAGCATAAAATCTAGAGACAGCAGTGTCTTTAGAATTTGCCCCTGAAACCAAAGGAGCCATATGTCCTTGGCCCTTTGTCACAAATGACTCAGGTTTTACTTGTGGAATTGAAGGTTCTGGGCAGGGCTTCCCCACAGGCTCTGGGAGAGGGGAGCTGTGTAGGGAAAGTTATGTGGCCTTTCCTCATTCAGGTACTTTGTGAATATAACAGGGATCTGATCTGTGTGGCAGGATTATTATTATGAAGTCAAATAAGATAAGAAACATGAACCCCTTTTGCAAACTACAGTCTTCACTGTTCAGATGTCAGGCACTGCCTTGGTCGGTATAGGTCAACTGCTGAAACAACAACCTACCAACTTTTTCACACAGTAGCTCAATGCAGTGTTTAGTGAGTGGTCTCCCCCACTTGGACTCCCTCCACCCTGTAGTTCTGCCACCCTGCGGGACGGCCAACTCCTTTGCTGGGCTCTCTACAGTCAGCCAGCACAGGGAAGATTGAAGTTGGAGGACATCATGGTAGGTTTGCATGGTCGAATCACTTCCACCCACTTTCCATAGTCCAGAGCTCAATCCTGTGGCTGTTCCTCTGTGCAAGGGAAGCTGGGAAGTGTCATCTAACTGTGCTGCAAGGACAGAGAGGAAGCAGGTTTGGAGCTAGTCTCTACCGTAGAAACTAAGTTATGTATTCTTGTTTCCTACTACAAACTGGCATCCCACCTGCAGCCTCTCTCACCTCCTGTTGACCATGCTTAATACTGTCCACTTAATCTTCCTAAAGAAGAACCTTCTCCTGTATGACATCGATTCCCCATCTGCTAGATCAACTTCAACTGCTTCCACCTGATACTGAAACTATTCTTGCATTCCTTTTCCCAGCGTTATTTCCCATATTCTGTTAAAATGGTTCCTTGTGTGTACATACAGTTTTTTGAAGCATTTTTGGGTCTCTTATCCTTTGAGGAAGGAAGATAGTTAATCCTCTCATATACCAGGTGATTTGTCAGGGGCTGCATGATGGGTTGCTCTATACAAACTTAGAAACCTGGAGATCCGGACTCCAGACCTGACCACTCTCCACCAGAACAGGGTTTCCCAGCCTTGCACAGGCATGAGAACCACCTGGGGCATTTTCCAAACTCCAGCCCAAATGTGTGAATCAGAGTCTTCAGGGAAGGAGGTCCCAGATACCTGTAATTTAACAAGTGCTGCAGGTGATTCTTGTGCCCAGTCTGGTTAAGGGAACACTGCCCTTAACCTAACCAGGCCCCATGGGAGTATCCAAAACCCACAGGGGTGAGTCTAACAGTGGAAATTTAAAGCCCTGTGACATTCAAATGTAGGAGAGATTTGGTAGGCGAGTGGTCTTCTACTGCTCTCAGGTCACCCCAAGGTATATAACATCTCAGTCATTTTATATAGTGACCTTTAGACTTAGGATCTGCTCCATGGCCCGTGGAATTATAAAAACAGTTGCAGCCTTGTTTATTGTTTTGTTGTTGGTGTTGTTGTTGTTTTTGCAAAGGTATTTATCCCCATCCTCAAAGTATAAGGTTCTTGAAGAGGAAAATGTTGGGAAAGAGATAGCGGGGATGGAAGAGGGAAAAGGGTAGGTGAGACAGAGGATCACTGAAGTGGCTTATGATACAGAAAAACCAGTCTTCACACCTCAGTCCTCTTTGGTCCCATGAGTGGTGTCTTTGCATTTTCAAAATCAGAGAATCAGTTTGGAAATTGAATAATAGCAACAGTGGCTAACTGCTATTCTGAACACCTTAGTTTCGCTGATTCCTTGAATTCCATGGAGTAGGTCTTGGTACTATTCCCAATTTACAGATGAGGAAACTGAAGGTCAGACTGAGTCCCATCTGGATAAATGCACAAAGCTAGGACATTGTAGAGCCTGGCTTCAAACTTCATCCCCTGACATCAGAATTTGTGCTCTCTCCTGCCTCATTTTACCCAGCCCCTTGTAGCTTAATGAGGAGAAATTGCTGCGCTAAATCAGAAGGCATTTTCCCAATGGCGAGCAAGAGGGAGATGACCAAGGTTTTGCCTTTCCTTAATTCTCCATAGGTGGCAATGAATAGTCCAAGGTCAAGGTCAGATCCCAACACTTAGACAAGAAAGCAGGGCAATTACCAGATTGGGTGAGTTAGAGCAGCCTAAAGACGCACCTGTTCTCAAGTCTCCTACCCACTTCTCTGCCATAGTGACATGAACTCCCATTCTTTGATCAACCCCTTTGGCTTAAGGAATGTTTCTTAGACGTCCTTTTAAAAATATACATATGCTACTTGTAATGGGCTACCTATGGATGCAGTAGCCCCAGCTGACACATTATCTGGGATTACTTTATCAGGTCAGTAGGCAGAGGGAAGAGGACCAGAAGGAAGTGGGTAAGAGAGACCAGGAGTATTGCATGCCACTGGGAAAAAAAAGTGTACCTGTTGTGCATTGTGGGTGTGGCCACCAAGAGCAGATTTTGTCCCCTGGCCAGTTTGCCCAAGATGTGGCATTGGCCCAAGTTCCTCAGTCAGGATTCTAGAGTAAGCTCTGAAAATCATCTTTGCAAGGATGAAGCCACTGACTTGAGAGAAATCTTACATCTATTCCAGTCGGCTCTTCTTCCATTCTAAGACCTAGAGTCATTTACAGATATGTATGGCAGAGTCCAACAACAACAACAACAAAAAAAATTACAGACTATTCACTAGGCACTATAAATGTGAGATATAACAATAAATCTAAAGAAATTTACAATATCGTCCATGGAATTTGATGGATTCCATCGAGTCCTCGCAGGATTCTAGCAGCTTCATTCCTCCTTGAGGCCCAGACAAGTTAGGCTGTTATAATGCCACATAGAAGACTGAAAGCAGAGGTGAGAATAAAGCTGCTGCTGATTGAGTTTACTCCCTGGTGTGGGGGGTGGGGGTGGTCCAGCCTCACTGCTAGGACTTTCTGAGTCTTTCTGAGACACTTGCCATGGTCAAGGGTAGCAGGATCAGGGAAGGCATTATAATAAATATAATTTGCAGAGCATCTCTCTCCTATGCACCAGATATTGTGGTGACACTCTGTTTAATCCAGTATCCCTACTCCTTTAGATATATTGTGATTGTTTTACATGCGAAATCTGGCTTCAGAAAGGTTAGGTGTTTTGCTCAAGGTCCCATGGAAAGTGGCAGAGTTGGGGTTTCTGACTAACTCCAAAACCCTTTAATGTGTGTTCATAATTAAAAACAATAAAAAATGAAGTCAAGGTACTTGAAATGCACTTTTCCATGTGGCAGCTGTTTACTGAAGCCTACCAGGTGCCAGGCCCTGGGTCTTGTGGGGGAAGCCAGCTGGGACCTGGCAGAACTTGCAGCCTGGGGGTCTGGGAGAGTGGCAGCCACTGGGCATTTGGAAGGACTGTGGCCTGAAGGCAAGAATGAGGCTATGGGAGCTCCAAGCCAAGGGACCTGGTATCAGGAAGGCACTAAGCAGTGTTTTGCAGCACAGCCAGGGAAGAAGTTGGGGTTCAGTTCAAGTGTGCAACATGAGGGGAGAGGCCCAGCTAAGCTCAGGCAGAGAAGGGGGAGAAAGCCATCCACCTCTTCCCCTCTCTCCCCCGTAGACCTGTTGCTAGGGCAGATTCCAGAGCAGGTGATAGGGGGACACCAGGCTCTCCACCCAGTCAAGACCCCAGGACCTTCTCTTGGTACCCACCTACCCCAGGAGAGTAAGGACACTGCTGGAGAAAAACCATGGACTATCTCTTCTGGTTCCTCTCCCAGTTAAGGTCACCCTAAAGGATGATAAGAGGCTTATCTAGGCCTAACACTCCTCAGAAAGCATTTTCCATCTGTATGCCAAGAATTGCTCTAACTAGGGCGAGGCAACTTTCATTCCAGAGTGGGAGAAAAATGCCTCTCAAAGGGAATGCCTTGTTGGTGAACACTGTAGAGTGAAGGAATACCCAGACTTCATTTCAAAGAGTGGTTATCAGATGCACCTAGTTGACAAGAGGTTTGTGACATGGGGGATGGTCAATGAAGAGCTGGAAAAAGAGGCTCTGTGATATGGTTTGGCTCTGCATCCCCACCCAAATCTCACCTTGAATTGTAATAATCCCCATGTGTCAAGGGAGAGACCCGATGGGAGGTAATTGAATCTTGGGGGTTGTTTCCCCCATGCTGTTCTCGTGATAGTGAGTGAGTCTACGAGTCTGATGGTTTCATAAGTGTCTGGCATTTCCCCTGCTGGCAGTCATTCTCTCTCCTGCTGCCCTGTGAAGAGGTGCATTCTACCATGATTGTAAGTTTCCTGAGGTCTCCCCAGCCCTGCGGAACCGTGAGTCAATTAAACCTCTTTTCTTTATAAATTACCCAGTCTTGGGTATTTCTTCATAGCAGCATGAAAACAAACCAATACACCAGGGATGAAAGACAAAGACCATCCATGCATGGCTCTGCTCCTTCGGTTTGGTGCTGACTTCCATCACCTGGGTTCAGATGAACAGGTGGTAACAACTAAAAATGGTGACCCTGAAGTCACAAATCAGATGGATACTCCCCTCACGGTGGGTGTCTCCTTCAAAGGAGCATGTGCACCATCATCTTATTATTACACAGACATACACAGTATGTGTGTGTTTTACATATATACAGTTAACCTCCAAACAACGTGGAGGTTAGGGGCACTGACCCCTCCATACAAGTTGAAAATCCATGTGTAACTTTTGACTTCCTAAAATCTTAACTACTAATAGCCTACTACTGATGGGAAGCCTTACTGATAACATAACAGTCAACACACATTTTGTAGGCTATATGCATTATATATGGTATTATTACAATACAGTAAGGAGATAACAGAAAATGTTATTTAAAAAACCACAAGGAAGGCCGGGCGCGGTGGCTCACGCCTGTAATCCCAGCACTTTGGGAGGCCGAGGCGGGTGGATCATGAGGTCAGGAGATCGAGACCATCCTGGCTAACAAGGTGAAACCCCGTCTCTACTAAAAATACAAAAAAAAAAATTAGCCGGGCGCGGTGGCGGGCGCCTGTAGTCCCAGCTACTCGGGAGGCTGAGGCAGGAGAATGGCGTGAACCCGGGAAGCGGAGCTTGCAGTGAGCCGAGATTGCGCCACTGCAGTCCGCAGTCCTGCCTGGGCGACAGAGCGAGACTCCGTCTCAAAAAAAAAAAAAAAAAAAAAAAACCACAAGGAAGAGAAAATAGATTTACTATTCATTAAGTGGGAGTGGGTCATCATAAGTCTTCATCCTCCTCATCTTCACATTGAGTAGGCTGAGGAGGAAGAGGAGGAGGAAGAGGAGGGGTTGGCCTTATTCTCTCGGGAGTGACAGAGGTGGAAGACCCACTTATACTTATCCATGTATAAGTGGATCTGTGCAGTTCAAACTTGTGTTTTGCAAGGGTCAACTGTATACACACACATAATATACAGGATACACATATAAATTTTATGTGTATATATAATATGTATACATACACTTTTCTCCTGAGATTTGAGGTCCAAAACTGAAATACCCACATCCACATAGTATTTGGCACACACCATATACCCAGCAAATGATATTCCTGTGTAAATCCATACCTATCTTTTCATTTATTTTATATTCACCAATTGTCAAGTAATAGAGCATTACAGTGGAGTTTAGGAAACTTGATTTTTGGTTCTGCTTTCTGCCATTCTGTTATTTTCAACTGGCAGCTTGGGTTTCTTCATCTCTAAAATAAAAGGGTTGGATAAAATGATACCCGAGGTCCCTTTCAGCTCTAAAAGTTGATTCTTTGATTCTCTTGTGTACCTCACTGTGTGAGGTCCCATGGGAGGTTCCAAAAGGACTCTGCTCTCAGGGAGTTTACAATATACTTGGTGAATGGCCTTGGAGCTCTCATAGCCTAGGTTGAGGTCAGCAAATGTCCTCTGTAAAGAGTCACAGGGTGAATGTCTTAGACCTTAAAGGCTATACAGTCTCTGTTGCAGCTACCCAGTTATGCCTTTGTAGTATAAAAGCAGCTGTAGACAACATGTAAACAAATGGACATACCTGTGTTCTAGTAACACCTCATCTACAAAAACAGGTGTGAGCTGATCGCTGACCTAGGTACCCTTCCAAGAAGGAATTGAACGAATGTGGCATGATGCCTGGAGCTGTGGGCTTGGCCTTTGCTGTAAATGGTTATGAGGTTGGAGGAGCTGCCTTCAGTGAGAGTGGCCATATTCACCTGTCACTGTCCATTCCATGAAGCACTGAGATCTGGCAACCTCAGGGTTGAGCTGTAAAATGAAGCATTCTGAATTACTTGGAGAACATTCTGATGTGAATCCAGGTTATTAATATTCCTATCCTGCATGTGTTGAAATATTCACAGGGGCTGAAGCTTAGGACTTTGTTGCCAGGTCCATAGAAAGGTTTTTGTGGTTGCGGACTCGAGTCCTCAGGTGGAAGCCCTGGATGTAGACAGAACTCATTCCCTAATTCTACCACTACGCCTCCTCTCACTTCCCCTGCACTTGGGGTGCTATTCTGACAAATCATTCCCTTGATATTTACTGCTTAGACTCCTGGCTCCTGCCAAGCCATGTGCTGCTGACACATGCTGCTCCTCTGAGCAGTGTCCTAACATCTGTGTGCTGGGACATAGCCACCTGCCTATGAGAAGGTAGCTAGGAAGTTTCCACTTCCCTAGTGGGAACTCACAGCAGGTCTTTCCAGGATGTCACCGTGTGAAAAATATAATGATTAGCTCATTTCCAAACCAATTTTGCATACCAGGTGAGTTAGCCAAGCCATTCAAGCAGGAAAGCCATTCTGTGAAGCCCCAGACAACCGCTCCCAAGGACAGATTACCTGAGAAAGGAGAATACTGTCTTATGAGGTCACACATTCCTAATGGTAAACACTCAGGGCAGTTTCTGCTCTTGACTCCCCTACACCCTTGATCAAGGCACTTGGCCTCTCTGGGGAATTTTTCAACCATGAAACAGATGGAACCACATTCCTGGGCCTGCTGGGTCCTGGGCTTAATTCAGATTGTATAAACTCATGGAACCTACTTATAGTCTCTGGCTTTGGTTAACTTACTTTGGTTAACTTTCACATTAGCCACTTTCATTGTGTGTGTGTGCATGCCTAATTTCCTCATGTTCCAGGCCTTTTTCCATAGTCTCAAATGCCATGATCTGGCAGGAAATTGGTTCTTTCTTTTGCCAACAAGTAACAATAAAGGGCACTTTTGCCCACTATTCATATGTTTGTATTTTGGGAGTATTTTTAACTGATTTTGTTATTGATGTATGTAGTAGATATTCGTCCTACTTCATTGCTACCCAGTGCCATTTGAACACGCTTCTTAGGCCCAGCATCTTCAAGGCAGAAGCCAAGAACTGGCTTTCTTTTTTTTTTTTTTTCTTTTATTATTATACTTTAAGTTTTAGGGTACATGTGCACATTGTGTAGGTTAGTTACATATGTATACATGTGCCATGCTGGTGCGCTGCACCCACTAACTCATCATCTAGCATTAGGTATATCTCCCAATGCTATCCCTCCCCCCTCCCCCCACCCCACAACAGTCCCCAGAGTGTGATGTTCCCCTTCCTGTGTCCATGTGATCTCATTGTTCAATTCCCACCTATGAGTGAGAATATGCGGTGTTTGGTTTTTTGTTCTTGCGAGAGTTTACTGAGAATGATGATTTCCAGTTTCATCCATGTCCCTACAAAGGACATGAACTCATCATTTTTTATGGCTGCATAGTATTCCATGGTGTATATGTGCCACATTTTCTTAATCCAGTCTATCATTGTTGGACATTTGGCTTGGTTCCAAGTCTTTGCTATTGTGAATAATGCTGCAATAAACATATGTGTGCATGTGTCTTTATAGCAGCATGATTTATAGTCTTTTGGGTATATACCCAGTAATGGGATGGCTGGGTCAAATGGTATTTCTAGTTCTAGATCCCTGAGGAATCACCACACTGACTTCCACAATGGTTGAACTAGTTTACAGTCCCACCAACAATGTAAAAGTGTTCCTATTTCTCCACATCCTCTCCAGCACCTGTTGTTTCCTGACTTTTTAATGATTGCCATTCTAACTGGTGTGAGATGGTATCTCATTGTGGTTTTGATTTGCATTTCTCTGATGGCCAGTGATGATGAGCATTTTTTCATGTGTCTTTTGGCTGCATAAATGTCTTCTTTTGAGAAGTGTCTGTTCATATCCTTCGCCCACTTTTTGATGGGGTTGTTTGTTTTTTTCCTGTAAATTTGTTTGAGTTCATTGTAGATTAAAACAAGCAATGGGGAAAGGATTCCCTATTTAATAAATGGTGCTGGGAAAACTGGCTAGCCATATGTAGAAAGCTGAAACTGGATCCCTTCCCTACACCTTATACAAAAATCAATTCAAGATGGATTAAAGACTTAAACTTTAGACCTAAAACCATAAAAACCCTAGAAGAAAACCTAGGCAATACCATTCAGGACATAGGCATGGGCAAGGACTTCATGTCTAAAACACCAAAAGCAATGGCAACAAAAGACAAAATTGACAAATGGGATCTAATTAAACTAAAGAGCTTCTGCACAGCAAAAGAAACTACCATCAGAGTGAACAGGCAACCTACAAAATGGGAGAAAATTTTTGCAACCTACTCATCTGACAAAGGGCTAATATCAAGAACTGGCTTTCTAACCCCACTTCTCTTTTGCTTAATTTAGCTAGAGTGAGTTCCGTGGTTTGCAAAAAAGAGCCCAGATCATTATTTCTTTCATTTCTATTTTTTTTTTTTTTTTAGTTCTGAGGTACATGTGCAGGATGTGCAGGTTTGTTACATAGGTAAACATGTGCCATGGTGGTTTGCTGCACCTATCAACCCATTACCTGGGTATGAAGCCCAGCATGCATTAGCTATTTTTCCTAATGCTCTCTCTCCCCCCACCCCAGCCCTCAACAGTCCCCAGTGTGTGTGTGTTGTTCCACTTCCTGTGTCCATGTGTTCTCATTATTCAGCTCCCACTTATACGTGAGAACATATGGCATTTGGTCTTCTGTTTCTGTGTTAGCTTGCTGAGGATAATGGCTTTGAGCTTCCATGTCCCCGCAAAGGACATGGTCTCATTCCTTTTTATGGCTGCATAGTATTCCATGGTGTATGTGTACCACATTTCTTTATCCAGTCTCAGATTATTATCTCTTTAGAAAAAAAATAAATGGAATTTTCTTTTGAATCTTATAGATCCTATGATATTAATTGTAACACCTAATTTGAGTGCTTCTAAATGTCTCATTAGGATATTTAGCACCAAAGATTTATTTTACAACTTCAGTACATTATTTGGGATGCTTTTAATAGAGAAAACAGAAATGTCAACCCAGTATTGTAGGTAGGGCTTGTATGAACACAGAATTATCTTGAGTTGCTGGGCCAGCCTTGGGAGGCCTGCGTAAAGCAGATCACACTGTGAGTTCTTTCTCCTCCCTCTCCATCCCCTCTTCTGTTACCAAATTGAAGGCTTCTCACTGAGTGAAATCAAGTTATAAAAATTTCTGAAAGCCTCCTTCAAGGGAAAAGAATAATAGTAATGACAGCTAACATTGACTAAATGCTTACTATGTGTGCTCTAATAGCTTTATGTGAATTTATTATTTAATCCCCACAACTCTATGTATTAAATACTATTATTAGGATTGTATAGATGAGGAAACTGAGGCACTAATGGTTAAGTGGCTTGTTCAAGGCCACACAGCTTATACATGTTCCTAACCTATCATCTCTCCTAAGGAGTGGCCAAAGGGGCCTGCCTGGTATCTGGGGTGAAGGAACAGTGTTCCTGGCCACCTTGAGGTTTTTTTTAAAAAAAACATTTCTTTCTTTAATTCTTTCTTCCCATCCCTTTTCCTGGACACTATAATAGGCTTGAATATTGAGAATATACCAATAGTACTTGTTCACTGTACATTTCCCAAGTTTATATGAAAATTTAAAAAGGAAAAGGACTGTTATTTATAAATATATTAGTTCCCTTTAATTATTTTCTGGTGAGAGAGTGAATGGGTGAGGGCAAGAGCAGACATAATTGTAACCAACTGTCAAGGATAGGAAGTGTCAAGGAAGCTTCAGCAGTGGTTGGAGGGAGGTCAAAGGTGTAGGCACTGGGCACCCTCTGTCTCTGTAGGTCCGTGGGCACTGTACACAGTGGACTTCCTTTACTTGCCCAGATTTATCTGCTTCTTTCACCACTCATGAGACATGGTGTTGGGTAATACATGCCCAATTTTTTATTTTTATTTTTATTTTTTACTTTAAGTCCCGGGATACACGTGCAGAACGTGCAGGTTTGTTCCATAGGTATACATGTGCCATGGTGGTTTGCTGCAACTATTGACCCATCCTCTGAATTCCCTCCCCTCACCCCTCACCCTGCAACATGCCCTGGTGTGCGTTGTTCCCCTCCCTGTGTCCATGTGTTTTCGTTGTTTAACTCCCACTTATGAGTGAGAACATGCGGTGTTTGGTTTTCTGTTCCCGTGTTAGTTTGCTGAGGACAATGGCTTCCAGCTTCATCCATGTCCCTGCAAAAGACATGATCTCATTCATTTTTATGACTGCATAGTATTCCATGGTGTATATGTACCACATTTTCTTTATCCAGTCTATCATCAACGGGTAAATAAATGCCCAATTTAATACTCATGTCATTCACTACCTGAGCAACAACATGTAAGACAGTTAACTGTTATCCTTACCCTCAGCCTGTTGAATTCCCATCTGGTCAGCCTTCACTGAAGATGTGGTCTTGGTGGGGATATCTGCTGACCATGAGCCCTGCCTTTAGTGAACCACATGGAGAAATAATTCAACTTATTTATGTCAATCTCAAGAAAAAAGCTGAGGGCTGATTTTAAGATTTTAAGTGGAGAAGCCAACTTTAGCTTAACACATCAAAGAACTTTCTTAAAATAAAACTTCCCCAACAGAGCAATGGGGTATCTTGAGAAAGGTGGTGAGCTTCCCATGAACGGATGTATTTTAACAGAGGCTGAATGATTTCCGCAGGGCTTGCTATAGAAAGAATTCGTGTATTTGGGCCCAACACATAGTACTGGGCACATAGTAAGTGTACACTAACCAATCACAGTTGTTAGCAAATCTGTTCCCACTCTAGTGGCCCTTGTTTTTACCTTCTCCTTAGTTTACAGTTTTATTTAAAAAGGAAAGGTGAAAGTGGTCAGTACCTCTGTTATGTGAAAGTTTGTCAGGGTTAGAAATGTGATTGAATGATGCTGTGTTTTTGTAGTGCTACAGTTACTCAGAGTAGCAAGAGAGGGGTTTTCTCTCCCATGTCCTGTGGTTGATGTAACTCACACAGATTTGAGGTCCTCAGATATTTATCTGGTTTATGTTGTAACAAAATTGGATTGAAGATATTTGAAAGCAGATGCATTGATCTTTACTTCCACATTTCCTACAACTCTTTTTGTAAAGCTAAGCATTTCGAGGTGCAAATGAGAGTTTCAGAGCTTGATTGATTGTTGAATAAAGTCTTGCCTACCATAGTGATCATATTTATAAAATATTAAACATGCTAATGGTTCCCTTTTGTCCAAAATGTATTTTGCTCAGTTACTTTAAAATAGATGTGAGAACTTCATAGTTTGCAATGGCAATGTAGACATTAGAATTTCAGAAATTTTCCTCTTATGAACAATTAGATGTTTTCTGCTCATATGGCCTTATAAAATCTCCCCCATCTCTGAAGATTTGGAAAACAGGTCATGCCCAGTGTGCTTCAGGACCAACTGGAGTTTTCCAGTTTTCTAATTGCTAGCATCTGTTTCCTACAAGAATCACTGGACCAGAACTGCTTTCTTGGTTATTGATGGGAAACCTCTCCTCAAATATCTCAAAATGCTTTTCAGACCTCTGCCCAGTTAGCTTGTGTTTGTGTGTCTGTGTGTGTGTGCACACACAGGCACACATATGCACACACACACAGATGCACATATAGACCATGTATTCTCAAGGCAGGGGGGTAATTATCACCCCAAAAGTAATAAAATTGGTTCATATGGGGTACAAAATTACACTCTTTTTATATAAGGCATAAATATATACATACAGCCCTTAAATAGATATACAGTGTATCTGTGGTATTAAGTCTATATAAGGGGTGATTAGGGAAAACATGTTTACAAAGCGTCCTTGAGGGAGGTGATAATGAAAATAGGGTGGAGAAACACTGATACAGACTTACAGCAGATATACTGGAGTGTAAATACACAGGTATTTCTGCATTCACATACAGGCCACCCATGCATATGATGCATATGTATCTGTTAGGCATAAACACACGCTATGTAGTTTACCCAGGGAATTGAATTCACAGTGGGGCAGGACTGAATTCTGTGGTCTTTCTAAAATTCTCTTCAATAAAGAATCTCTCCGTGAAGGATTTGTTTTCACTTTCAGGATCCCCATTAAAATATTTTTTTAAAATAAACTGTCATTCTTATTTTGACTTGCAGGCACTTCAATTAACATCACACAGTCTTCAAACACAGAGAGTACACATTCGCTGTCATTCTCTGGAAAGGCTGCCTGTTAGAAATGAGCTGGGTCAACAATTCATTTCACTAGACATCTGCTGAGCATCTCCTACGTGTGGGGCATCACAGTGTATCCCACAGGATGTGCAGGAATGCAGGACAAGGTCCCCAAGGCAGAGTCAGATTTAGAGGTGGGCTTTATAGGTGTGAGCACCTGATACCATTGAAGATGGTAGGTTAGAATGGCCTGAGAGTGGGGAAGGGGCTTGCCTCACAGCCTCTGGAACTCTTGATACAACTTTCTCTTCCATCGCTGCCCTTTATCAACCTTATTCTGATGCCCATCTTTCCTCTTGTTAATTATTTTTGCTATGATCATAAGTTGTTTTGATTTCGAGTGCCCCTAAAGTCTTTTAGGAAGTAGATGGTATGCACAAATCCACAACATAACAATTAAAGTCTAATTTTTTAAAAATCTTGTTATGGATTCACACAGTTTCAACCAATAGCTGTGTTTGACAAGGCTGTCAAGTATCAGTGTTGAGCTCCTCACATTCTGTCTCATTAACCTCTCTTTCTACTATAGCAACCCTCTGCTCACACATACCCACTCCCAGATGTATCTGAGGAAGCTTTCTTTTCCTTCCCTCATCCCTACATTCATCAGTTCTGTAGATGGGACGTGAGGAAACCCCATCTTCCTCCAATACAAGCCTGTCTCTAGGAAATGATTTCCAGAAATAGGGGTATATTAGTTTGCTTTGCTGTGTAACAACTTACCACAAATTTAGCAGTTTAAAACAAATACCTTTCTTATCTCACAGTTTCTACGTGTCAGGAATCTGACAATGGCTTAGCTGGGTCCTCTGCTCTGTATCTCACAGGCTACAGTCAAGGTGTCAGCTAGGACTGCATCCTTGTCTGTAGTTCTGAGTCTTCTTCCAAGCTCTGGTGGGTGTTGGTAGAATTCAGTTTCTTGCAGTTTTAGGATTGAGGCCCTCAGCCCCTAGAGGCTGCCTATGGTACAGTGCCAACTGGCCCTCTTCACAGGAAATTCACATGATAGTAGCTTGCTTTTTTAGGACTAGCAAGAATCTCTTTTCTAGCAGCTTTCACCCAGTAAGGCCACCCAGGATAGCATCTCTTTTGCTTAATTCAAAAGCAACTGATTTAGGCCTTGATAACATCTGCAGAAAATCTTTCCTTTACTATGTTCTGTTAGCTAGAAACAAGCCATAGATCCCATTCACACTCGAAGGGATTATATATAAGGCATGAATGCCAGAAGGCAAGGGGATCTGGGGGTCACTTTAGGGTCTGTCTGCTGCAGGTGGCTTGAGCTAATGTTCCTCCACAATAATAACAGTAGCCAGATGCTTCATCTAATCCTCACATGGACAGCTTGAGGAGAGACTTGATATGGGTCTATTTCACATGAAAGGAACCTGAGTTTCAGAGATCCAGTCCCTTTTCCAAGATCACAGAGCTGGTAGGAGAAGAACCCGGTCTTGAATCCAGGTTTGTCTGACATCACACCAATCAAACAACAACCTGTGTGCCACTTAAGGGAGCTGACAGTCTGAAATACTCCAAGGTTATCATTATATTGCAAACTCAAGTTTTATTTTGACCTTTCTGGATGCTCACCAACTTTGTTTAATCTTCCTAAATTTAGATTAAGAGCACATTTCTGATCTTGGACTTGGCATCAGTATATTTTGTAAGGCAGGATGAACACCCTTACTATGTAACAGGGGTTTTCAGAAGAAACTGCAGTGTGAATGTTATTATTTAAATTTTTGCTGTGAGGTAACTCACCTGCAGGCAGGCTCAGAGAGCTTGTGTGATGCTACACATTTATGGTTGATGGGAGTGAGATGTGAAACCCACCATCCTTCTATCACACTTGGGTGCTTGTTGGCCAACTCAAGTGGTTTTCTAAAACAAAAAGGAAACAAAGAGTAAAAGTCAAGATGGAGGATTCTTTGTTTCGTTCAGGCAGTTATATTTTTAGCTGCCCCTAACTCACTGACCTATTGCTGGAATGGAAACTAGTGACTTAAACATGAATGGAAACCACTTTAAAAAGTAATAGGGCATTGGTGCTGCCTACAGTGAATCAGAGGGTGAAGCATTCAGATGAGTGCAAAAAGTCTACCTTGTTTTGTTTGATCTTAACAATACCTTTCATTTGTAAAACACACAGTAGCCTAAAAAGAATATTTGAATAATTATATAATTTAATTGTCCTAACAACCCTGTTCACATGACCCAACTTTCCAGATGAGGAGAAGAGTTTCAGGGAGAAACTCCATGTCTTCCCCAAGGTTGCCTGGTTCAGAGGAAAAGCAGGGTCTTGTGCATAGGGATTCACTTCCAAGCTCCTATTCTACACTTCCCTCTCAAGAACAAAGATGCATATATGGATGGAGACGTCGCTGGAGAGAGTGCATGGATGTGAGATGAATCCCATCATAGATACACAGAAACACCCAGGAGTTAGACCCAGAGTTTAGCCATCAATGTCCTGATGGTGAAGTTCCTCAAATTGCTAGCCCAGGGGTGGGGTTTTCACTATTGCCTCCTATTCTAAAGGGCAGATATTATTTTCCCTGCAACTCTGCCCATTGGGGAATTTTGGTATCTTTAATGGGATGCCTACCTTGCCCCAGCTAACTTCTGGTAAATTTTAATATTCCCTATTTACAAAACAGAACCACTGCAGAGATTGCTATAAAGAGCAAGGTGGGCCTTTCTCACTTGACCATTCAAATTAAACTATATTACCTGACTTACGTGCTTATTAACGTCATGAGTACGATGTTGTAAGGGCAGCACTGGAGATACTGGTCAAACAGTAATATTATCACCATAGAAAACTGGTGAATCTAGAAAACTACTTCCATTGATCTACATTTCAATTTGGGGATTTTTCTTAATGTTTTTACCAAAATTTCAAAGCAATTCTGACTTTTCCTAGCCAAAATGATATCACCTTTTTTACAGAGATAATATCAGGAATGAGAATATTTATAGAGCTCTACAGCTTCCACAGGATGCTGAGGCTAATTGTCAGAGAAGCTGGAAAAGGGTGTCTCAGGTCTTAGTGATGACAATCAGGAAAGGAGACAATGTTCTCCTAAAACACCACCTGGAAAGCATCGGTGGGGGTGGGGAGAGTACTTAATGTCAGAGTCAATCCTGTTGTGTGTCTCTTCCTCCTCCCAACATTTTGACAAGAGTGAAACAAGATTCAAATGGATGTCAAATGCAGCCTAGAAAGGCAGACAGAATCCTGCACATCAGCACTTCCAGGCTACAGAGCAGTTCTAGCCATGGGGGCAGAAGAGTCATGCTGCTACCTGGGAAGGGGAGAGCCTTGGACCCTAGGTACTGACCCTCTGTATTCAGAACCCAAGCCTCATAGACTGAGACTGGCCTTTAGCTTTCTCCCCAGGTCATTCCCCCTCTGCCAGTGGCTGCAGCTGCACTGAGCCTGCCAGAGGTCGGAGTCTGGCAGAAACCCCATTTGTCTTGACCTGGAAAGGATCTGCCCTCCTGTGCTCACACTATTGGCTGGGCCAGCACCACAAAGCGCAAGGGAGGAACTTGAGAAGTCAGCAGCAGCCTTTGTTCTCAAAATGCTTATGCTGTGATTTCATACTCTTTCTAATTTTAATCTAAACTTAACCTTTGAAGGCAATTTAATAGAACCCTGCTAAAACAAGGATAATAGTTAAGCGTGGCATGAATCTCCTCAGGTTTTTTAATGGCAAGTAGCCACAGGGATTCATGCTTTGGAGAGATGGCTGGATCAGATGATTCCTAAAGCCCCTTGTGATGGTTAATTCATGTCAACTTGACTGGGCCATAGGAGGCCCAGATAGTTGATCAAACATTATCCTGAGTGTATCTGTGAGCTTAACATTTGAATTAGTGGACTGAGAAAAAATAGATTGCCCTCCCTAACGTGGCTGAGACTTAATCAATTGAAAACCTGACTTGGCAGAGTCATGGGGGCAGAACTGCCACCCCAGCAGGCTAAGAAGGTGGGATATCAAACTAAAAAGGACTATTCTCAGACCTTAAGATCTAATAAAATTTGCCTTGCTAGGTTTTGGACTTGCTTGGGACCCATCACCCCTCTCTTCTTTCCAATTTCTCCTTTTTGTAATGTTTATCCTATGCCTATCCCAACATTACATTTTGGAAGCATGTAATGTGTCTGATTTCACAGGTTCACAGCTGCGAAGGAATTTTGCCTCAGGTTGAGTCACACCTCAGGCCTCACCCTTACCTGATATAGATGATATTTAGATGGGACTTTGGACTTTAGACTTTAGAATTGACACTGGAATGAGTTAAGACTTTTAGGGCTGTTGGGGTGGAATAAATGCATATTGCATGTGAGAAGGCCATGAACTTTGGGGGGCCAGGGACAGAATGCAGTTGACTAAATTGTGCTCACCAATTCATATGTTGAAATCCTAATCCTCAATGTGACTGTATCTGGAGATAGTGCTTTTAGGAAATAATTAAGGTTAAATGAAGTCATAAGAGTGTAGCCCTAATCCAATAGGATTGGGGGATTTATAACAAGAGGAAGAGAGATATTCTCTCTCTCTCTCCCTCTCCTTCTCCCTCTGTCTACCAAGTGAGGACAGAGCCGGAAGGCAGCCATCTGCACACCAGGAAGAAGGCCCCCACAGCAATCAAATTAGCCGGCATCTTGATCTTGGATTTCCCAGCTTCCAGAACTGTGAAAAATAATTCTTTTGTTGTTATTTAAGCCACACAATCTACAGGATTTTGTTATGGCAGGCTGAACAGGCTAAGACTTTGGTGTTGTGATTATAACAACGATACAAAAATCTATCTTATAGTTCCCTCACAGGTCAACCCTGACTGTCAGCTAACAAAACAATAAACACTTTCTGGATTTCATCTGTCTATAAGGCACTGTAGAGAATATAGACATGTGTACAACATGTTTCTTTCTCCAATGGAGACCACAGTTTAGCAGAAGAGATAGAGCTTAGGTGTGCACACCAACTGGAATCTAACTTTAAAGGGCAGCAGAAAAGCATGCTGAATGTTGAGTTCAGAGGGAGGGGCCATAACTTCTGGCAGGACAATTATCAGGAAAGGTTTTGTAGAGTGAGAAGTGATGTTAATAAGTGTCTCTAGGAAGCAAACATTTTGCAGAGCTTCCCACATACCAACTAAGTTAATGGGGTCAAATGCTTGGGTTAAGTCCACAGTGCCACTCATGTTGCTATTCTCAGCATCTTCCAGTGGCTGCCAGTGAAAGAGTATCAGGTCTCCAGTTCCATGGGCAACACAAGAGGCACACTGACTTTCAAGTGAGACACACTGCCACTGATACATGTGAGTAGTTCATGGAAAATGACTCAGGTTAATGCTATCCTGGAATTGTGTACAAATAATATGACCCCAGGGTCTTCTGTCCCTGCACAAGACTCCTTTAAGTTGGGCAAGGTCACATTTACTGCCTCTTTATAATCAAAGCAATTAAGTGACCCCACAAGTGGTTTAGCTACTAGCTGCTGTACTTGTGGAATGCAGGGGAGATTGTATCCTTACCAGGGTCTCCACCCAGTGAATGAGCACAGAGGAAATCTCAGCTCTGAAAACCAAACAGGACTTCATAACTTCATTGAGCCCAGTTGTTTTCAAATGTTTCCTGGTGGCAAGGAATTCTTTGTTATGTCAACTAAATCATGTGTGGAGCCTCACTATAGAAAAAAAAGTTTAAAGAAGGCCTTCTCTGGCTTATCCTGGCTGTGTCCTTCTTGACCCCAAAGTGGCCCTTAAGGCACCCTCACAAAAAGCTGGAGCAGACAATTCTACCCTTTCCATTTGCAGACATCACTACCTTCTTAGGCTACAATGTCCTTTCATCAGAATGAATGCATGGCAGGATTTTTACCTGCCTGAGGTCACACAGCTAATCATTGGCCAAGCTGGGAGTAGAAGCTGGGTTTCCTGACTCCTAACCTAGTGCTCCTCACCATCTGGGTAGCTTTATTCAATGGTACCAAGGATTCTGACCACCCTGCATTCCTGTTACACCAAAGAATCCAGTGATGCTGGGGAAATCAATGATGGTGTGTCAGGATCTCAGGGCATGATCAGGGTTAAAGGCACTGTGTTAGTCTGTTCTCATGCTGCTAATAAAGACATACCCAAGACTGAGTAATTTATAAAGGAAAGAGGTTTAATTGACTCACAGTTCCACATGGCTGGGGAGGCCTCACAATCATGGTGGAAGGTGAATGAGGAGCATGGTCATGTCTTAGATTGTGGCAGGCAAGACAGAGCTTGTGTAGGGGAACTCCCCTCTATAAAACTATCAGATATCCTAAGACTTATTTACTAGCACGGGAAAGACCTACCCCCATGATTCAATTACCTCCCACTGGGTCCCTGCCATGACAGGTGGGAATTATGAGAGCTACAATTCAAGATGAGATTTGGGTGGGTACACAGCCAAACCACATCAGGCACCAACAAGAGATAATTGAGGCCTATACATGGGAGAACAACTACAAGGACCCTTTACTTAGATCTGACCCTTTACCCAAAAAGAGTCACTGGAAGGAGGATGACCTTTGGAAAAGGGATGCAGCCAACCCAGAGTGGCCTGGTAGGGATGGGGCCAAGGCAATAAATACCCAACTTCGCGTGCATTAGGACTTCTGATCCTAATGCAGCCAGAGGGCAGGGAGCCCCTTGATGCTATTCCCACTGTCAGCCTCCAGGCCCCAAGCAGAGTGGTGAGGCTAGAGAGCAGGTCTGGAGGGACACAGAAGCATTTCCAACCCAGCTGCTAAGAAAGGAGTCACTTCACTGTTGCACTGCATCGAGCTTATTGAAACACAGTGTTTTGGGGATGAGCCTGCTTTTTACAGAAAGGTACCTATGGGAAGAAATTAACAAGGAGGTCAAATACACATACTTCCTGCTCTGCTGTACTAAATGGCACAGCAACTTTTAGATTCTCGCCTGAAAATTAGAGTATATGAGATTAAACCCTGAAGGTAGAATGAATTGCTTCATGATCTGCTCCCTGTTATCTCTCTGGGCCCATCTCTTACCACTCCCTACCTCACTGCCCAAGTGACAACCACACTGAACAACAGCTCAGGGCTCCCAGAGGGGCCAGGCTCTTTCTTCTCTCCCACAGGTTTCCCTCTCTATGTGGATGTTCCTTACCCCCTTTGCCAGGGCTTAGCTTCTAGAAGGCCTTTCCAGGCCCTCCCTCCAGCATGACCAAGCTAATTTCAGTGTCTCTCTTGGGTGTTCCCACATCTCCCATGCACTTTTTCACTGCTCAGATCCCATTGCCTTATAAGAGTATGAGTGTGCCAAATGTTCTGTGTCTTCCCCGTGAGGCAGCTATGACGTCAAGGATGGCAGTTACCGACCTTGTTTCCCTGGTATTAAGACAGTTCCAGGCATAGAGCTGCTCGATGAATGTCTTTGGAGGGAAAGAAGGATTTCTTGAGACCCAGTCATCTCATCTTTAAAAAGAAAGAAAACATCATGGAAACCTCAATGAATTCTTCATTAGTGATTTTGAATGGATGGCTGTAAACAAAGCTGCTCGCTGAATGGCTTATGTTTTTCCTTTAAAGTCCACCATCAGAACTCCATTTTGTGGGTAACTAGCCCCAGCGAAGGCAAGAAGACCATGAAAGCCTTGCCCTGCAGTGACCAGGGGAGAGCATCCTGGTGACCTGTCATTTGCAAACATCTGTATGTTGTTTCAAAGTTTATGAAGCACACGTACTACATTACCTAGAACCTCAAAACAAAACTGTGGAGGCGGGGCACTTAGTACAAGTGTCATTCTCATTTTACTGGTAGAGAAAAGCTGAAGCTCCCAAAGTCAACTGTCTCGTCTCAAAGCCACACAGCCGGGTAGAAGTCAATGTCAAGCTGGGTTCCGGAGCACCTGTCAAATGTCCCTTCCACCCCAACATGGTGAGTCCAGGGATAGCACAGGTGACAGTACTGGCATTGCGGACCTGAAGACAGCAGACTCCCAGGCCAGGAGGCCTGGAAAGTACTCGAGAATTAATTCTACACATCCCTCTCATCTTGAGCACAAGGAACCAATGCACTGATGGCTCCTCTAATGTTTTATTTGTCTTTTAATCCCAAGTACTTTTTTAAATCTCTAGGGGAAAACCAATTCAATTTTTGTACTAGTTTTCTCTTTCCTTTACTATGTTCCACTAAGTGCTTTCCCACACTCTCTTTGACTCTTTTCTTGAAGGGCCTAGGTTCTATTCATCTCTGTGATGATGTTTTCTTTCAAAAAATGGTTTTTCTGAGGCCCTACTATGTGCTGGACATTGATTTTAGTGCTGGGACTACAGCAGTGAACAAAAGAGATATGGTTCCTGACTTAAGGAGTCTTGTGTTCTAGTGGATGAGACAGAGAAGATATAAAGAAATAAGTCAAGTAATTTCAGGTGATAAAAAGTGCTATTAAGGAAATAACTGGAGGACTAATTTAAATGGGAGAAGGGTATAAAAGACTTATCTGAGAAAGGCATTATATTTCAGGCCCGAAGGCAGGTTCTTAGCCCTTACCAGGTGAGGAAATATTTGGTGATTGAATGGATGTGTGCATACATTTAAATGAATGAATGAATGAAGGGTTGTCTATATTCTCTCTTTACACAGGCATTCCCCCAACCTACCTTGTCCTACCTGTTGCCTACATGCCAGCCAGTCCATACCTGAATCTTCTATGTGTCTTCTCAGAGATCCCAAGCGTCTGTAACTCCTAAGGCCGTGATATGCAGGAGCAGGGTAGCCAGAGCGGAGCTATAAGGAATGCCACAATCGCTCTTCCAACCGATTGTTACAAAACTCTTCTCAATGGTGTGTCTTGTGCCAAGCATTCCTCTTCCTGTCCTGAGGGCTGTATATTGACATCACTTACCCAAACCCAACTCCCACTAGGTAGTATAGGGACACTACTCATTTGATGACACTTTGGTGGCTCTGTGCATGACAGCACACACCCTGTCCCAGAATATATGCATTTTTATGGCTTCCTAGTAAGAATACTATCCAAGTCCTCCCCAGCATTCCTCTCACCCTCCCTCCCTGTGCTGCTGCATGAACTTTAGATCAGGTGAGGTCAGGCAGTGAAAAAGTCCCTGGGCAGAGGTCTGAGGATTTAACAGATTTGTTGAGCATTATGATCTCTCACTGAATGTACGTTACAAGGAAGCCCACCTCCTTTGTTTTATTGGCATTTCATTTTCTTCCATTTCCCAGACCTTGTGGCCTTTTCCCTGTGCAGCTCATAAAAGTAGGCAACCAGCCTTAGTAATTCACCTTATGCTTGAATCGTTTCTCACCTTTTACCAAGGCTTATTCCATTTCTAGATTTCTCATTATTCTTTTCAGCTCTTACAAACTCCAAATTCATGCCATTTAGACTGATTCCCAGAAAAGAGATAAAAGTGTCAGTCAGTACTAAAAGCGAATCATTGACTTCTTAAATGTCCCTTATTAAAACCACTCATCTATGCAGCCATGCAATCTGAGACAAACAGAGTTGACCCAAGTCTTTATCTCCATGTGTAAAATGTCTCATGAGTTGCAGAGTCACATACCACATAATAACGTTTCAGCCAACGACGGACCCCGTAGAAGACGGTGGTCCCATAAAATTATAATACTGTATTTTTATTATGCTTTTTCTATATTTTGATACACAAACACTTACCCTTGTGTTACAGTTGCCTACGGTGTTCAATATAGCAACATGCTGGACAGGTTTATAGCCTAGGAACAATAGACTACACTATATAACCTAGGTGTGTAGTAGGCTGGAACTATCTAGGTTTCTGTAAGTACACTGTATGATGTTTGCTCAGTGACAAAATCACCTAAAGATCCCTTTCTCAGAATGCATCCCTATTATTAAGCAATTCGTGACTGTATAAAAAAATTTATAATATCATGAACTCATCCACTGAAAGGACTGGAAATGCCTTAGAGATGAACAAGCTTGATTCATGAGGACACTGAGTCCCAAGCAGGAGCAGCAAGGACAGGCCCCAGGTGACCCAAACTGATAAGATGGAGTCAGGACAAGAATCACAGCCCCTGCATGGTTAGGTGTCCAAGGTTTGTTCACCTTTCCAAACTACAGGTTCTACAGCTACCTCTTCTTACACAGAAACCTTCCCCTAAAGCTGAGCTCCCTCACATTTCCCGTTTCTCATATTGTCTTTGCCATCTTCCAACATTCCAAGATCAAAACCTCAGTGTCATCCTTGACTGTCCCCTATATTTCTTTCTTTTTTTCTTTTTTTTTTTTGAGATGGAGTCTCCCTCTATCACCCAGGCTGGAGTACAATGCTGCAATCTCAGCTCACTGCAACCTCTGCCTCCCAGGTTCAAGAGATTCTCCTGCCTCAGCCTCCCGAGTAACTGGGATTACAGGCACCTGCCATCATGCCCGGATAATTTTTTGTATTTTTGTAGAGATGGGGTTTCATCATGTTGGCCATGCTGATCTTGATCCTCAGGTGATCCACCCTCCTTGGCCTCCCAAAATGCTGGGATTATTGGCATGAGCCACCGCACCTGGCCTGTCCCCTGTATTTCATCAGACAGAGAGTCTTCCTCCAGAGTGGTTCCCTTGGTAGATGCCCACCAAAACTGAACAGCAATATGAAAGTGCAAGGTTTTCCTCCCACCTAGGCCTGGCCCCCACAGAGGTGGTAACTAAGGGAGTCCACATTGTATCTCATTGAGTATCAACTGCTTACAGAAAAGGAATGTAATATCCATTATGGTCTTTGATAAATATATAAATCAGATTTGCCCACTGCAAAGCACAAGCCTTGAGAAACCACATTACTTTTTGAGGTATATTTAGAAGCTAGTTGTTTAATTTTCTTGGAACTTACATATCACTTACTTCTGGCTCCTTATTTAGTTTGTAAAAAGTTCAGGATGTTTCAAAATTTCAGAAATTATATAAGTAGATACTACTCATCTAGTAAGCACGTGTAAAATGAAATAGCAATAAGACAGAAAATGAGGCCAGGTGCGGTGGCTCATGCCTGTAATTCCAACACTTTGGGAGGCTGAGGTGGGTGGATTGCTTGAGCTCAGGTTTCAAGACCAGCCTGGGAAACATGGAAAAACCACATCTCTACAAGAAATACAAAAATTAGCCAGACCTGGTGGTAAATATTGTAGTTTCAGCTACTCAGGAGGCTGAGGTGGGAAGATCGCTTGAGCCCTGGAGGTTGAGGCTGCAGTGAGCCGAGATCACACCACTGCACTTCAGCCTGGGCTACAGAGAGAGATCTTGTCTCAAAACAAAACAAAACAGAAAATGAAAATAAGCACTAAATGAACCTGTAATAAGGGTCAATGCATGCTTCAAATAATGATCTTTGAGCTTCTAAGAAGGCAAGGAGGGAAAAAAGACACAATGAGTTATAGAATTCTCTTTTTGAGAGTGGAAGAAGACAATTTCTTGGAGAAGATGAAATTCCCTGTCATTGAATTACTTTGAAAAATATTTTTTTCTATTTATAAAAGTAATTAGATAACTTCTGATAATGTTTTGGTTTCTTTCTAGGTTTTTTTTTTTTAATTATTGGAATTATACAACCGATACATTTTGCAGCATGCTCTATTCACAACATTTTATCACTAGCATTTTCCCTTAACATTAAGTATTCTTTTCTTTGTGGTGATAGATTCTAAAGCCATCTCTCTCCTTTTTCAACTTTTATTTTTGTTTTGGGGGTACATGTGCTGGTTTGTTACATGGGTAAATTCCATGTCGCTGAGGTTTGGTATATAAATGATCACCGTCACCCAGGTAGTGAGCATAGTACACAATAGGTAGTTTTCCAATGCTCACCCCACTCCCACTCTACCCCCTCTAGTAGTCCCTAGTGTCTATTATTCCCATCTTTATGGCCATGTGTATTCAATGTTTAGTTCCCACTTATAAGTAAGAACATGCAGTATTTGGTTTTATGTTCCTGCCTTTATTTGCTACCTGAAACAGCATGGTACTGGCATAAAAACAGACACATAGACCAGTGAAACAGGATAAAGAACCCAGAAATAAAGCCCCATGCCTAAGGCCAGATCTTCAGCAAGGTTGACAATAACAAGCAATGGAGAAAGGACTCCCTGTTCAATAAACAGTGCTGGGATAACAGGCTGGCCATATGCAGAAGATTGAAACTCAACCCCTACCTTTCACCACATACAAAAATTAACTCAAGATGGATTAAAGACTTAACTGTTAGACCTAAAACTATAAAATTCCTAGAAGAAAACCTAGGAAATGCCATTCTAGACATCAACCTTGGCAAAAAAAAAAAAAAAAAAAGTGACTAAGTCTCCAAAAGCAATTGCAACAGAAATAAAAAATTGATAAATGGAACCTGGTTAAACTAAAAGAACCTCTGCATAGCAAAAGAAACTATCAACAGAGAGAGTAAACAGACAACCTACAGAACGGGAGAAAATATTTGCATACTATGATGCATCTCACAAAGGTCTAAAAGGCCATTTCTCATGTAATGGTTTATAAGTAGTGTGTGGGGATCACTCAAAAATATAATGAACAATGCCATCAACGTTTTTTAAATAGAAAATGCAGTAGAAATTTTGGGTGATTATTTCATCTAGTAACTGTAAAAACTGAGGCCAGGGCATTAAAATGTGATTCAAGGAGAATGATTTTTCACAGGTGCTAATCTTATGCAGTAGGAATATCTAATCTTGTCAGCCCAATGTGATTCAGGACAAGGCAGAAGGCTGGAAGAGTGGGTGGAGCCCACATAGCCTTAGTGGACCTTCCCTAAATGTCACTTCCCAGAGACAGGCTCTTAATTCAAAGCTGCTTTAAGGTTTTGAGTTACCAGGGAATCTATTCAGCTAGTTCAGTCTTTAAGATATTGAACAATGCCTTAGTGAATGAGGAAAGAACGTGACATGCTTAGAGGGTCTCTTGTCTATTCAAGGAGTTACTTTGGACTGGAGAAAGGGGAGGAAATGCCCCTTCCCCTGAACTTTGAAGATTGGTCTTCAGTTAGCACATATAATACATGTGTCCTGGGTCTTCATGGCACTGTGAGATATAAAGGGAAGATTCTTATTCTAACATTTTTGAATAAGGAAAACAAAGCTCAGAGGAGGTAAATGACTTGTCCAAGGTTATATCCCAGTGAATAATGGAACCAGGGCTCCACTTAGTGTTGTCTAACCTGGTCCGTGGCTGTTGTGTATCCCACCCTGTTGTGCATTTTTTTTCAAACTCTGGCTGTTGAGCTCCTTTGGAAGGCTGATCCACAGCTCTCTCATAATTATTTTCTGTTTTTTTTTTTTTTAATGGAGTTTTGCTCTTGTTGCCCAGGCTGGAGTGCAATGGTGCAATCTTGGCTCACTGCAACCTCCGCATCCTGGGTTCAAGCCATTCTCCTACCTCAGCCTCCCAAGTAGCTGGGATTAAAGGCATGTGCCACCATGCCCGGCTAATGTTTGTATTTTTAGTAGAGATGGGATTTCACTATGTGGGTCAGCTGGACTCCTGACTTCAGGTGATCCACTCGCCTCAGCCTCCCAAAGTACTGGGATTACAGGCATGAGCCACTGCGCCCAGCCTCATAATTATTTTCAATCCCAACTTCTAGTACAGATGTTCTCCAAGTGTGGACCCTACACTAGAAGCCTCAGCATCACTTGTAAAAGTGTTAGACATGCAAATTCTTGGGCCCCACCCTGGACCTACTGTGTTTTAACAAGGCTTTCAAATGGTTCTGATGCATGCTAACATTGGAGAACCACTGTTCTAGAAGTTCTTAATAAATATTGTTGAATACTTCCTAGAATCCCCATAGACCTTCACTGAAATATTTAAAATATTTAAGAATCCCCACATATATTTTTATTGGAAAGCTTACGATTCCTGCTCAGGAATCACTCATTGTTAGCCATCCCCAGTCAAAGAGAAGAGTATTTTATCACACAATGACAAGGAAGCCCAACACTAAGTTCTCGGATATGGAAAGCACTGAGGGGAAAAAAGGCACCATAGATGGGTCAGACCAGGTATAAGATCATAATGTAATGCTGTTTATTGAGCAGTTATTTTGCACCACAAACTATCCCTAAATGCTTTACATGGACAATAAATTCACACCACAACTTTTTAAGTACCACACCATATTTCTACTTTACTGAGGAGCAAACTGAAGCCAGGAAACTTTCCCAAGATTACAACCCTAGTAAGTGGCAAAGCCTAGTCAGACCCAAAGCCCAGGAGCTTCCCTGCTATTGTCTTTTGTCTTCTTGCTCTGTTGCTTCCAGAGAAAAACCCCACCACTGCAGCAAGCTACAGGGAAAGACGCTGAGTGGAAACCCACTGGGCATCCCTTGCACCTAGAACAGCACCCCACACATTGTTGATGTTTAGTATTTGTCAAGTGAATGAATGAAATGAACTATACACAACATAATTCTAATAGAAGTAGTCTGAAGAGGATTTCCAGGGAAGATGGGGTCTGAGTTAGTATTTGAAAGTAGAGACAGATAATGCTGTCCAAAAGAGAGAAATGACATGAACAAAAGTGCAGACATAGCCAACCTGAGCCTAGTCAGAGGAGGTGGGCAAGCTGTTTGCCTAGAGGGGAGGGGAGGCAGGGGAAGAGGTCTTGAAAGGGGAGAATTTATAACCCTGGAAAAAGAAAGGGTCCCTGAGAGGCAGCTCAAGGAGTTTGAATTTTATCCTATTATTAGTGCAAAGTCATTGGAGGGTTCTGAGTATGGGCTCAAAAGGGCCAAAGAAATAATTTAGGATATTGTATCATATCCATTTTTTTATTTTTAATTTACAAAAGATGGAGGGAAGGTAGCTGGGCTCCAGATCTGGGGGGTTTGTTGAAATAGCAACTAAAAGATCATCTTTCAAAAAAAGCCACATACCATTTTGATTCATTACAATTTGAATGTAGCAAGAATAATTACAATATGCTTGTCATTAAAGCTTGCACTGGAATTTGATAAAAAGAGGTTTATGTTTCACTATAAACACCTGAAGTGGAGTCATAGGAAAAAGCATGCAAAATCCAAAAGGCCACAAAGTCAAAAATAAAGAATGAAAAAGTTACTATAATCCTTGTTATTCAAGGGTGAAATAAAAATAATCACCCAATCTGTTTATTTAAAATAAATATTTATTACAAATATTTATTATAAATCAACTATATAGTTTAAACACCACTTTCTTGCAAAAGACAAAGCCCTGAAAGGAAATAATTTATTCTTTTGATATGTGGGCAGATCTGTATGAACTACATTGCTCATTTAGCAATGAAAAGTCAACCAAACATGGGAAGACAATATGCACATTGCATACATACAGCACACACGTAACATCCAGCCCTAAAAAGCATCAGCAATATCCCTTTTGTTGTTGTTAGTGTTATTTTCCGACAAGCTGCCTTTTGTCTATTCTAGTTAATGTTAGGAAACCTCATAGGTCTATGCCATTATAATGTCCATTACCCATTTGAATATTTAGACAGAGTCTGGAGTGATTATTAATACTGAGAATCACTACGTTTGATCCAGTGAAGGACAAAACTGTAGTACGATGAACCAAAAGTACTAAGAAGGGGTTATTTGACATTTTTAACTGCTTTGAATTGAATAAAGTCTGTCTGTGCATGGGCATTGTATGAATGAGTTTGCCATTAAAAGTAATGGCAAAAACAGCAATTACGTTTGCACCAACCTTTATTAAATGTAAGCTTCTATGTCTAACCATGCCTTCAAATTCTTTTCTGAAAGTAGAAATGCATGTACATAGAGTGACCAACTCATCCCAGTTTTCCAGGGACCTTCCCAGTTTTAAATCCTGAAAGTCCTGGAATTCCCCCAGTCCTAGGCAAGCTGGGATGTCTACTCACACTACACATTTAACAAAGAAAGAAACAAGCAGACAAAAAACAAATCTACCAAGAAAATAATAAAAATGAAAGGACACTTTTCCGATGTCCCACCCAGTAGTAAACGCTGCTTCCCAAGACATGAAAAACATATTGTTGAGTCTCCTATTTACCATTTATTCCATTCTGCCGTATACGTAATATAATTATTATATTAACCTTCATCTCTCCATAGGTGACTGGAAGCTATAATCACTTCCACTGATCAGAGCCCTTCTATGCACATGGTCTCATTTGACCCTTGCTGTCACTCTTTGTGATAGGCAGAGAAGGTGTCAGAGGCCCAGAGATGAGCAGCCCCCACTTCTTAGGGGAGCATCAGCACAGGAACCCAGGATTTCTGATTCCCAGTCTGGTGGTTTTTTTTCCATCACTGATCATTTACATTCTCTTTATGACATTCAGGCCCTGGTCCTTTACCTATATAACATAGAGAAATAGGCTATTTATAATTTACAACATAAATTAAGCCAAAGACTTTTAAGCACTTTTTAATTATATTGTATACCTTTCAAGTGAGGGTGATGAATGGTACTGTACCCCTATTTCATAGTAAGAGAAATGAAGGCTCCAGCTAACTTGGCTCAAGTTGTACAGCAGTTGCACCTTAGAGATTGACAGGTAACATATTGTCTTGTTCTTTGTAATCTGATATACTTGGATTTAAAGCACATTTCAAGATTTTTTTTAAGATTAGCAACATAACTATATACATATATATTTAAAATAAATGTCCATATTGATAGAGACCTAGACAGAAACAAGCACTTGCCTGCCCCAATGAGAATCTGAGGGCACCACTGGTTCCTGGCACACTGGACTGAGGATGCCATCTATACATGTGTTGGACAGTCACTGTTGGCCAAAGTTAAAATATACATTTTAACTTTGACAGAAATACTTTTGTTTCAGTTGCATATCGAATGACAGGAGCCACGTGGGCATCACTTTAGGATCTGGTTACTCCTTGGCACCTAAGTTACTTTCTATTTCATTAAAAGTCTTTCTTTCATCTTTATTTGCCATTCTCCTGTATCTGCTACATGGCAGGCTAGTGGGCTTGAATTTGCTGGGGTTTCCAGTCCCCAGGTCAGGCCGACCCCTGAGTGTGCCTCACCAAAGCTACATCCTGCTCACTCTCCAGTTCTAAATCAGAGCCTTTGGAGGCACAAGTAAAGGGACCCAAGGGCAGATCAGAGGGGTTTTCCTCTTCATATATTCTTTCTTTTTTTGTCACCTCCCTTTTAGCTTACTTTATTTGTTTTAAAAATACAAGATGACTGTGACAACTCAAACCTTAAAGAAATATATAGGTCTACAATTCTTTATCTGTAATCCTGAAATTCAAAAAGCTCTGAAAACTGTAAGTTCTTTCATAAGTTTGTGGAAATTCACTTTGAGGCAAAACTTCCTTGAACTTTAGAGATGATTTGTAGTCCATCTTTGCCCCACTTGGTGCTGTGGAGATGTGATTATAACAGACTTGATTACAGCAGTGTGGTGTCCCAGAGCCTGCAGGGGGTGGGGATGGGGTTACATATATATCCACACATGTTACCTTTCTACATTCCAAAATATTTTGAATTTTGAAACACATCTGTTCCCAAGGGTTTCAAATATTTCTTTGCTTGAAACCACATAAAGAAAATATGAAGACTCTCCTTTCACACACCCCTTGAATGCACCCACCTGAAGAAACTGATGTTATCAGTATCAGGTCCTGCCCTCAACTCCTCTCTATGGCATGCCCTCTCTCTCTCTCTTTCTCTCTCTCTCTCTCTCTCTCTCTCTCTCTCTCTCTCTCTCTATATATATATATATATATATATATACACACACACACACAGTAGTAAACACTGCTTCCCAAGACATGAAAAACATATTGTTGAGTCTCCTATTTACCATTTATTTCATTCTGCCCTATATATAAATATAATTGTTATATTAACCTTCATCTTTCCATAGGTGCCTGGAAGCTATAATCACTTCCACTGGTCAGAGCCCTTATATGCACATGGTCTCATTTGACTCTTGCTGTCACTCTGACTGATAGGCAGAGAAGGTGTCAGAGGCCCAGAGATGAGCAGCCCCCACTTCTCAGGGGAGCATAAGGACAGAAACCCAGGATTTCTGATTCCCAGCCTGGTGGTTTTATATATAAAACTATATATATTTCTCCTCTCTCTCACACGTACAATACGAACACATGCAAGATTTTGTTTTTAAATACAAAAAGGGATCACACTGTTCTTATTACTTTGTCATTTGCCTTTTTCTCCTACTGTGACACTCCCTCTAGAATAATACATAAGAATCAAACTCATGCTTTTAAATAGCTGTATACTATTCTATCATATGGTTATATCACATTGTAATCAACTATTCTGCTTTTTTTTTTTTTGAGATGGAGTCTTGCTCTGTTGCCAGGCTGGAGTGCAGTGGCGCCATCTCGGCTCACTGCAACCTCTGCCTCCTGGGTTCAAGTGATTCTCCTGCCTCAGCCTCCCAAGTAGCTGAGACTACAGGCATGTGCCACCACCCCCAGCTAATTTTTTAGTAGAGATGGGGTTTAACCATGTTGTCCAGGATGGTCTCAATCTCTTGATCTCATGATCCGCCCGCCTCGGCCTCCCAAAGTGCTGGGATTACAGGCATGGGCCACTGTGCCCGGCCACCTATTCTGCTATTGATGAACATGTTTTCATAGTATTTTGCTTTTGAGGATCAAATATTAGTGATTATATTGTAAAAGGAATATATATCTACAGGGTTTAATTCATTTTATATATATTGGGATGTTGGTTGGCAAAAACAAACAAACAAACAAAAACACCCACAAAAAAACACATTTCTCTCTGTCATACAAATAGAAACCCTGAGACAAAGGGTGTTCATTTTAAAAAATGAAAAGAAAGAGTTAGCTGCAAGCGAGTTATTTTTCCTGCAACAGGCAGGCTTTCTATGAACTAGAGGTTGCACAGAGGCAGACTGCTAAGCCACTGAACTGCTCAGCCATGGGCATCAGGAGCTCTCAGGACAGCACCTTTAGAGAGCCCAGTTTACTAACCCAGCCATGTCATGTTTCCATAACTTAACCCCTGGAGGTAGGGTCCGACATCTGACTGGTCCCACAGGCAAAGAGGCAGGTAACTTCAGGGGGTGCAGGATGGGGCCTGTTCGAGATGAACATGCTCAGTGACTCTAGGTTTGGTTGGCTTCTAACAGACAAGCCAAGTCATGGAATTTCAATAAATAATTTAACCTCAGCTCCAGTTTCAGCTTCAGTGTCCACTTTCAGCACCTGGCTGCCATTGTTATTTGCAAGCAGGCTCCTCCTCTGCACGAGGTATGGAAATTTGGCAGAGATTCACTGACATTTTTAGAACCCAGTAGGGCCAGATTACTATGAACAAGAGTGGAGTTTTGTTTTTGTTTTTCTTTTTGTTTTTCCTAACCAAGAATTATGTGAAATCTGGATGTGCAAAGATGCACTTTTTAAATGAAAAAGAAAAGCTGGCTATCACTGACCCAATGCATCGGTTTTAAAGGTCTTCCGATTGTTGCTGTATGAGGCCTTTATCTTGCAAAGGTTCTGAAGACCAGCCTTCTCAAACACTAAGAGGCATAAATCACTTAGAGGTCTTACTGAAAATGCAGGTTCTGATTCAGTAAGTATGGGGCTGGCCTGAGAATCTTCATTTCTAATGAGCTCCTAAAGGATGCTGATGTTGCTGGTCTGTGGACCTACTTTGAGCAGCAAGGCTGCAGACAACCCAGAATTTCCTCCTAACAAGAAAACTATCCCTCTTAGGGCCTTTTCTGGGAGTTCCAGGGGAGAGATAAAAAGCTCTTAATGAGACTTGATTGAGAGATAAACTTACAAGAGGACCCTGGAGCTGTAGGACATTGTGTTCTAGCTGGAATTTCAATCCACTAACAAAGAAGACAGGATATGGCAGTGGTAGGTTCCATTATTGTATGTCATCCTTTCAGAGCACCTTTGATCCTCACAGAGAACTCGTGAAGTAGGTGGGCAGCTGTTATTATTCCCAATTACAGGGATGGAGACAGCTTTGAGGCCAATTCAAGTTATCTTTGTTTTTTAAATTATTTTCTGGTTGAAAAGATAGAGAGAAAACACATCTTGCTGAAAGCTAATCACATAATTGCAAGCGCTATACAGTAAAAGTCCTTGATACCCATACTCTACTTATGTTAAATTTGTTTCTAAGCCTTGTTTCTGTTCTGCCCTTTGGTATGTCTCTGAGACACTGGTCTTTTCATGCAGGCTACATTTTGAACAACTAGAGTAAATGTGTCTGGCCCTGAACTGTATCATAGGACTGAGAAGAGAAAAGTAAAACAGGATCTGTTTTACAACTTAGTAGAAGAAACTCATGTTACAGAAAGGTCCATAAGAGCTAACTAGGAGGACATAGGGGAAAATTATGCTTCTCATTTTAGCTTTGTTCTTATCTTTTAATTCTTCAGCAGGCCTCTTCTCTGTGTAGAAGAGTCAGCAGAATTGCATCTAAGGTTGACTTTATAAATAAAACATGTCATCACCAAATAATGCTTACATTCTGTCCTACGAATCCTAGTTGAGACCTCAGAATTTTCTATATTATGTTTCCAGCAGCCTCCTTCAATAATTGGCAGATGAAGCACAAGTTGCAATGTTTCTTTGCCATTCCTGAGGCTCCATCAAAAAACAATTTGAAGGGGCTGATCCTAAACATTAGATAGGATCTAGAAGACTATCTGTCATTAATGCTCGAAGTTCATCACGTAGCATCATCTGTTCTAAACATAGTCCAACAATAGCAGGCTTCCTTCCTTAGGTGGGTCTTGTACGTAAAGGAAAGGTTGGGACTTTGGCTCACCCTGGCTTAAGAGGGTAGAAATAGTTTGGTGGGGGTTTGGGTGGAGACGAGATGACCATAATAAAATTTTTTTAAAAACATGTACAACAACCCTGTTCGGCACCTTCAAACTAAATAAGATATAAGTGATATGCTTTGTTGATTGTCAACGATTACATATACTTCTACTCTAGACCTATGGATGGAACAATCTCTGCTAGAACTGGAAATGCATTTTCACATATTCTATATACCAGATGGCTGATTTGAGGAATCCACTCTGTGGATAGTAGTATTAGAATGTGGTACCCAAAATGTAGTTCTTTTTGTGCTTGTGAATTTGAATGCCCCAAGAGCATCATAGCAAATTCTAAGACTTACAGAAAGGATCCAGTAGAGGAAAAAGAACAATTTCTGTACCTCATTTATTTTGGAGTCCACCAATGGGGCAGTTTTGTATTTTTATAATGGCCACTTTCAGTTTTTTCTCCTAGACATAAAGTGGAGAATTTACATTAGAGCTTTTCATAAGCAGGGATCACCTCTGACTCCTTTGTGCCCAATGAACAAGTGAGCATAAAGAGAATCAGAGAATTCAGATGTAGGCATTGTCTAGTTGTCCCTTCATTTCATAGGTAAGGGTGCAGAATGCCAGATCGAGACAGTGACTTGCTCAAGGGCACATTCATCTTGCAGAACAACTGGGACCAGTATGCAGGTTGTCTGACTTCCACCAGTCAGGCAGAAAAGCAGGGTGGGCAATCTGTCTCTTGTAAATGCAAAGGAACTTGTGAGAGAAAATATGGTAGGGCTTGGAAAAATTCCCTTTTTGAAAATAACCACTGACTCCTTCATCTCAGGTTGTGGCTTCCTGGGTGAGGGCCTGGACTATTGTGTGTGTGTGGTATAATTACTGGGTAGGTTTATTTTTTTATGGGAGTACAATAAAGAGAACATTTCCTGCCTTACTCTGCCATTTGAAAAAGATTTTCATTTCCCCTTTTGGCCTGGGGATTACAAAAGACAGACTCCTTTCCAATTACAGCTCGGTCTGAGCTTGAACATATAACTCAGCCAGCAGCAAGTTCAAATTGATTTTTTTTCAAGGCTGAGAAAACGAAATTGGGTCTTCTTGACACAAAAACTGGCTTGGTTTTTTCTGTAATTGTGAGGCTGTTTTCAAAGCTCCCTTCTAAAGCAGAAGATATAATCATCCAGGACTAACCACAGTCTTCACTGTAAGTTCTATAGGGGCTCAGAAGAAATTAGTTGGGTGGGCCCACATGACAGGGGCACTTGGCTGGGAGAAACATTTCCCTGTTGCACAGTGGCAGAGAAGGACTTTCTCCAGACCTGTGACCTTTAATGTGCTGGCTGGGGGTGAGGAGAGGGAGGAAGGAGGAATGGGCCCAGAGGGCAGAGTGACCTTGAAGATGGCAGATGCACTGAGTGCTTTCTGCCAGGCACTGCGCCCCCATTTTACTTGTGTTATCTCCCCTAATCCTCCCAATCACCCTAGGCGGGAGAAGAAGGAACATAGTGAGAAAAGACAGCTACACAGCTTCCCTTCTATCCTTCCCCTGGGAGCTCAGGACCTGTCGTAGGAGTGTGGCTTTCTGTCTTTACCCTGAGTAAATCCTCCACGATTAAAAAAAAAAAAAAAAAAAAAAACCTTGATGTGAATGTGAATCCATACCATTCAATAACAAGGCAGGATTTTTCTTCCTCTGTCTTCAGCAGTTTACTCTTTTAAGGGAATAAAATGAAAGATAAGCAAGGGTTAGCAGGAACATCTCTCGAAGATGACTTTCCAAAGGATTCAGTTCTGTTTTTCCTGTCTTCCCTGATTATGTCTAAATTACATACGTTCACGATTTTGACTGAGATTTCAGCCATCTCCATTCAATAGCAAACTCCATCCCTACCGATCGTCTATGTGGCCTTGGAAAAGTCATCTGAAGTCTTTGGATCTCAACTGCCCTAGTCTGAAGGAGTTGGATAGAGCAGGAGGGGGTGGGGGCGGGGACATGGGGTGGGGACAGCCTTCCAAAAAGGGTGCTTCTTCAACTGCTTTTTAAGGTAAGGTGCTGAGAATACTATGGAAAGATGCTACAGAGAAGTTGTGAGAAGGCAGAGCCCAGAAGCAGCTAGCAAAGGTGGTCACAGGTGGTTCTTCCTTTGTGGCCTGATTTTCCTTGCAATCTACAGTGCTGGCCCCTCCCCTGCAGATCCAGCTGCCTGTGTTTTCAGAATAGAATGCTAGTCCACAAGCTCTTTCATCCTCTCGGCAAACATTTATCCAGCCCGTGCTGTGAGCCATGCATGGTGCTGGGAGAGAGGACTGTAGTAGCTTGTGGAGTCTCTACTCAGCCATTGGAATTTTTAGGTGCAAATAAAAGATTTAGTTATTTTCACCTTCTCCTAGCCACATTTTAGGAACAGAGTGTCTTTCAAGCCCATCTTTTCTAATTTATTCACTTTAAAAATAACAAGATTAAGACCCAGAGAGGGAAAATTACTTGCCCTAGGTCACACAACTCTTTGTGCCAAAACTAGGTCTGGAACGCAGAACTCTTAATCTTCTGCTTTTTATTACATTGCCCCAAATTGCTTAAAGGGCTACCCAGGGAATTCAGTTCACCAGGGAACATCTTGCTTCTCCAAACATTCTTGCTAACAAACATCTTACTGCACAAGTATAGGAAGATGTCACTATTACAAATTCATAGCACTCATATTAACGGCAAAGCTAAAACATTCCTATAGTCACCCGCCTCCAATTAATTAAAAAGGAATGTGTTGTTTTTGAAGTCTTGCCCTTCCAACCAGCCTTGAAGTAATTTTAAATAGAAAATTTTAAATGGAAATTAAGGCAGTTTTGTGATAAGAGTGCCTGCCCTTTGGTCTGGGGCATCCATTGTGTGAGCTAGTTTTTCAGAGCTGCAGAAGTAACAAGTTGGCAGGATCTCACATAGGAGATAATAGATAAAAACCTACATGTCTGGTTTCAGGACCCCCAGGAAGCTATTGTTGCCCTTCTTCCTTCTTTCCCAGTTCTTTAATCAGTTTCTGGCAGACACCTGCAACCCCACTATTGAAGCTTCATCTCGTTGCTTACATCTGGGCCATGATAAATAAAAGTACCCCAGGAGGAATAAGTGCTTAGCAGTTACCAACAATTCATACTTAAATGTGAATGCTTTCAGAGTTGGCATTGAGAGATACAAGTGGGGAGAGGCATGCTGGCCAAGAGTGGCTGAGGGGTTTAGAGATGCATGATGGTGGAGATAGCAGATTGGGAAGACACAGAGACCCCCAGAAGATGAGCATTTGACTGCCTTATGGCTTTGCCTGTGACTAGGCTGGGGTCCTCAGAATGGAGGAAGAAAGGGAACTAGAGAAATTCTGCATGGGTTTTCCTAATAGAGCATGAAGAAGATCTGCTTGGAATTCCCTGCACACCCACTGATATGGTTTGAATGTGTGTCCCCGCCAAATCTCATGTTGAAATGTGATTCCCAATATTGGAGGCAGGGCCTGGTGGGAGGTGTTTGGATCATGGGGTTGGTTCCCTCCTGACTTTGTGCCCTCCCCATGGTAATGAGTGAGTTCTCGCTCTGATAGTTCACAGGAGAGCTGTGGTTTAAAGGATCCTGGTTCCTCTCTCTCTCTCTCTCTTGCCCCTGCTTTTGCCATGGAAAGTGCCTGCTCCCATTTTGCTTTCCACTATGATCATAAGCTTCCTGAGGCCCTAACCAGAAGCTAAGCAAATGCTGGCATGGCACTTGTACAGCCTGCAGGACCATCAGCCAACTAAATCTCTTTTCAATATAAATTACCCAGTCTCAGGTATTTCTTTACAGAACACAAAAACAGCCTAATACACCTGCATTGTTCAATCCAGCCTCCAGGCATGTGCTTATGCCATCACTTCTGCCTGGATGGCCTTACCTGCCACTTTGTATGAATAAACTCTCTTACCTTTGAGGCTCACATTAGGCATTGTTGCTGCCCCAAATCCTTCCGTGAACCCTTAGGTGGGCTCCTTCCTGTCCCCACTCCACCCATTCTCTACTACTACTGCACTTCAGTGATGACCTGGCCATCATGTCTTTACCTTTTGCTGCCTCTGTTGTGTGATAGCTTCTCAAGAGAGGGACCATGTCTCTTTCATCACCACATCACTACATCCCCAGTCTCTGGAACCAAGCTGGCCCTTGGTAAAGATGCCCATCTGGCTGTGTGGATCCACCCTGCCCAAGTGGCCAAGTGCCTGCATATAGTTGAGAGTGGAGATACAGCTTGCTGGTACTCCACGCAGCCAAGAAAGCCCAAAACAGGACCTTATGAGGACCCTGCATTTTTTAAGAAGCCACATTTTTCACCATGGCTGACTAGAGGAAGGTGGCTGGAGAGAACAAATGTGGTTGGGTACATATGGCCTGTGGTTGACCACATGAGAACTTGAGCCCAGTGACTAGGGTTTCTGTACCCGGTCACAGCACACTCTGTCACCCTCAGGGAAGACCCACCTGGCAGAACTTAAGAGTTCTGTGTGGAGATGCAACCATAAAAATATCAGTTGGCACGTGAAGTTCTTGGCATTGTTTATGGCTGCATTGACTTGAGGTTCTTCAGACATCTTGATCCAAAATGGGCTCTCCATGCCCTGAACAACTCAAAATGGTGCACTTCTTTCAGGGCCTGTGCAGGGATGGAAGGTGAAGAAGAACAGTGTAGAAATGGGGTGGGAAGTAGGAGTGGGGCCAGGATGTGAAGGAGTTTCCAGTTTAGGTAAGGAAAAAGGAAACAAAAAGAGGAGGGAGAAACAACGTCCTAAGTGCTACTGTCGGTGGTTGGTCCAGCCCGTCACACATCTCCTGAGCCCAGAGACTCTGATGCTGCAAGTCTACAGTGAGGTCAGGGAGCTCATTTGTTTCTTTGTTTGTTTAACAAGCTCCTTTGGTGATTCTGTTGGACATCTCCCACTGTGGGCACCACTAGGTCAGAAGTTGTCAGTCCTGACTGAACATTAGAATCACCTCGAGAACATTGAGGGAAAAGAATTCTGATGTCTGAGCCCTACCCCCAGACTAATTAAATCAGAATATCTGAGAGTGGGGCTTGGGCATTCCAGTTTTTAAAATGCTTAGTTGTGTGGAATTTTCGAGCTCTAAAAACATACTTTGTTGACATATCATAAACTAGTAATTTTGCAAAAACTTTTTTCATAAGTTCTCAGATGTACATGACCCTAATTAATAAACCTCAGGACTCAGATTTCATTTTAGTGTCATAAGCTTTCAATTTGTTATATTTGAGTTTGGGATTCATGAGTGATTATTGAAGCCAACAGAGAGCTAGGATGACAGATTTTGGGATGTCTCTAAAGTCTTTCCAGCCCAGCTTATCCTATTAAGAGGCTATATTCAAAACTCAACATTCAGACAACCAGAACAGAAGGGCAGATGAGTAATAATTGAGGAATCTCAGCTATGTCAGGATCCCAAACACCAACCTTTGTAGGAGTAGCAGAGCTCAATATCAAGATATCCTTGTTTGGTATGAGGATTATAGGAATTGCAGGCTTATTCCTTAAATATAGGGGGAATGGATTCACGATCAAGAGCTGCCATTAATTTCCATAGCATCTTGGATAACAAATAAGAAAAATGTCAAGAGAGGAAAGCAAAGCTTTTGACAGTGGCCTCATTAAGTGGAAAACATATTTCCTGTATTAGGATGGGGATTCTCCAAGGGAGGCTTAAGTGAGGAGACCTCTTCTTCAAATTATACCAATGTGGAAAGGAGTTCTGTTTATTTGAGGCTATAGATTTGTATTGCTCTTTGGTTTCCTGTGTTTTGGTACATTTCTGAGGTGGAAGAATTCCAGATTTCAACTTTCCTGAACCAAGCATTGAGAGCCTTAATCAGGTCTAAAGAATAGGATGACAGTACCTTAAAGAGCTGTGAAAATGTTTCCGGATGTTGAGAGAACACAAAGGCTTCCAATAAACTTCAATAGAAAACTTCCAGGAATCTGTCCCGGACCTGATCCCTTAGCTTCAACCATCTATATTCCTTGGGTTCCAGCCCTTCTCATCTTTGACTCTTGAACTACTTGAAAAAGGTGTTTGGTTGGAGGGTGTTGCTTTTCACAGAAATTCAATAGTCTTATAGAGAACAGACATGCATGTATCTATCATTGTACCAATAGTTAACCAAACATGAGTCACTTTTCCCTCTCTCCCTTCATAGTAAATGCATGACTGACCTAGTTTAGGAACACTCTCCTCTGGCCAATGAACAATAGCTGTAGTTCTTCATGTATTTTCTTTCTTTGTTGAATTTATTGCTTCATACACAAAACCCTGAACGCTAGGTACTGTTGAACTTTTGTGCCATCAAAGAGAGGTCTATTGACTCTTCATCAAGGCATAATATTTCATAAATAGGGTGTTTAACAAGCTCTTCCTAAATGTTTGCCTTCTGCGGCCATAAAGACAGTAGCTGTAAATGTATAAAGTAAATACTATATGTTTTATACATATTGTCATCCAATTATACAACTCTGCCACCAATTTGAAGATAAGGGGCCTGAAGCTAAGTGTGTATGTGAGTTGCCTGCTGAGTAACAAACCAGCCCAAAACTTAGTGGTTTTAAACAATAACAACATTTATTTTGCTCAAAAACCTGCATTTGGCCAGGACTTGGTTAGAATGGCTAATTTTACTTCACTAGATGTCATTTGGGACAATTCAAAAGCTGGGGGCTGGAATAATCTGAAATCTCATTCATTCTCTTGTCTGGTTGTTGAGGCAATCTGTCATCTGAAAACGTTGCTGAGACTATTAGCTGGAACACTACAGAGAACCTCTTCATGTGCTCTGGGCTTCCTCACAACATGGTGGCTAGGTTCCAGGGGCAAGCATCCCAAAAGAGACAGAGAGAGAGACACAGGCAGAAGCTGTATCACCCCCTATTACCTAATCTCAGAAGTCACACATTGTGTCACTTCTGCCATATTCCATTCATCCAGGCAGTCACAAAAGCCTGCCCTATTTTAAGAAGAAGGGAAATGTGGACTCCACCTCTAGCTGGGGCTGTGGAAAGGTTATGAAGGACATACGGGATTGGAAATAGTGCTGCAGACATTTTTTCTGCTGGTTGGTGTCAGGGGAGGAATTTGAACCCAGGTTTGCATGAGTCTATACAATGCCCTTAATACTGTACCACAGTATTCTGTGAAGCTGAGGACTGAAATCTGCCTCTACTGCAATGGAATTTAGCTGTTAAATATTACACCTGGGCTAGTGAGCAGAAACAGCCAAACTTGGAGGCAGAGAGTGTGGACTTTGGGCTCTCCCAAGGCATGGTGAAGGTTGATAATATTAACATATGAGAACCATTCTTCCTTCCCAAGATTGGTGGAATCACTTGGAAGACATACCAAGGCCATCAGTCTTACATTTCTTGAGTACTTACAGGTTTCTGAGAGTAGATAAATAAAACAAATCACTGAGTCACATTCATGCTAATGGAGCATAGCAACTAGATTATTGGAAGGTCAGATCATTTAGTTTTGAAAAATAGTAATAACAAGGCATATTGTCTGACTTATAAGAAAACCTCAAGTATCTAGTAACTGGCAAGATATTTAATTGAAATGAGGCAAATTCTAGAATAACATATGACATTGCAGTGAGATAGGCTAGGAGGTGGAACCAACAAGGGAGACTTGAGCCAAGCAAGCCTTTCAACATTTTCCCTTGTTTTCTTTCCTTCTCTGACTTTCCTTTCTACTTTTTTTTTTTAAGCTTAGGGTAAGTAGCATGTTTATAGGCCTAGAAGCCAGAGTTATTGCTGACTTGGGAAGGACAGTCATGTTCTCAAGGTAAGTTCTCCAAAGAGCACCAAGCATGGAGGAGAAGAGTGGTGAGCTGAGAGGGCAAATGCCAGAAAAAGGAGGATGTCAGCAAGAAAAATAAGGGGTCCACAGGCAGGCCAGTGCATAATGTGCAGTGCCTACTGCCAAATGAAAATGAGGGACCCTATGCTCCAAAATTATTAAGAATTTCAGGATAGCAACAGCAGAGCATTAAACCAAGTTTAATGGGGCCCCATGCAACTGCACAGACTGCCTGCCTGTTAAGCTGGCTCCTCCCACCTAAGAGGCACCAAGTGGCAAGGGAGGCTGCAGATGGCTGAGCTTTAAGAAGAAAGGATAATCAAAAGTTTTAGCTATAAGACGAATATCAGGTAGGATGAAGACACAAAGGAAAAAAAAAAGAATTGATTAACCCGGAAACAGATTGAAAGACAACAATTTCAGAAGTTGTTAAATAGAAGAAAGGCTGGCAAGAGGTTTAAAAGAAACCCATTCATTTATTCAAATAGCGGGACATGAAATAATAGAAAAGAAGCCATGTAGGAGTAGAAAGAAGGGGCTGGGAGAAGGGACAGTGGTGATGAGTTGGAAAGGGCAGTTCTTTCTCAGAGAGTGTGTGAAGCACAGGAGGGTGAACATACACTCAGTGGCAGATGGACGTAAAGCTCAAGGCAGGCTAAAGGACAGACACCCCAATGGGCCATGAACACAGTGGCACTGTGCAACATACAAAGTTGTAGGCAGCCTTGGGCCCAAAGCCACCATCAGACCAGGCTAGTTATGCATCAAAGGCACCACTGGATCCTGCTCACTTAGAGGCGTAAACCAAGGAGCCCGCTAAGTCTGGAGCCTACAAGTTCTTTTGGGAGGGGACATGTACACAACTATATTCAATTGTTTACAAAACCATCTGGTGAGCTAAGGTGCAGATGACAGCTACTGAATTAATAGGTTACCTGAATCAAGTAAAATATTTAAATATGCCAGGTGTAATGGTTAACTTTATATATCAACTTGGCTGGGCCATAGTGCCCAGATATTGACCAGACATTACTCTGGATGCTTCTGTGAAGGTGCTTTTTTTTTTTTTTTTTTGGATGACATTAACATTTAAATTGGTGAACTTTGAGTAAAGCAGATTGCCCTTTATAGTGTGGGTAGGCCTCATAGAAAAAAAGACTGACCCCCTCCTCTGAAGAAATGGGAATTCTGCCAGCAGGCTGCCTTTGGACTCGAACTGCGGCTCTTCCCCGGGGCTTCAGCCTGCTGGCCTACCCTGCAGATTCTGAACACACCAAGCCTCCACAACTGTGTGAGCCAGTTCCTTAAAATAAATCTCTCTCTCTTCACACCCCAACTGATATGTATTATATATATGTGTATATATATATACACACACATATATATAATATTATGTTATTATAATGTATTATATAAAAATAAGATGTGTATACGTTTCTCCATATATAGTAGATATAACAGGATGTGTGTGTGTGTGTGTGTGTGTGTGTGTGTATGTACATATATGTGTATGTATATATAAATACACACACACACACACATACATGTTGTGCTGGTTCTGTCTCTGGAGAACTCTGACCAATATACCTAGAATTCTTCATATCACATTGCACAGGTAGTGGTCTACATAGAGCTAATTAAGCCCATACATTAAACTTTAGATAAATGTTGAGGATCTCTGTAGCCTCAAATGTATACCTGTTACCTGTTTCTTGAATGAAAAATGCCTGGGTGACCCCAGTGAATTAGGCCTTTTGTGGCTTCTGAGAAAGGAAATGTTGATTTCTTCAAGGGTAGACCTCTCTGTCCTCATGTGGACCACGTACCACCAAGTCCCATCCCTGCTAATTGAAGTCTTGCCAACCAAATTATTGGAAGGATAGACTGTTTGGTATTAAAAAAAAAATAGTCACAACTAGAAATGTTGTCTGACTTACACTAACTAATTAAAAAATGGGCAGCTGGAAATATTATTATAAAGAAAGCTTCTTTGTCTAAACAGTTTAAATGAGCTATTATGTTTAAAGAAAGTCCTTTTCATGTGGCCTTTGCCACTTTGTCACTCTTTTCTAGAGGACAGCAGCCAGTGTGGTCTGCTCAGAACTGAGAGTCAGGAGTTAGAGAGACCTGATTCTGCTATGGGAACCAGCTGTGCTACCATGGGCAATTCATTTAACCTTTCTGGGTCTATTTCTCTACCAGTAAAAAGAAAGAACTGGAGTATAGCATTCCTGAGGTCAGTTACAGCCCTACTGTTGCTTAATTTTTATCTGTACACTTAACAAAATTATTTAATCACTTGAGTCCTCAGGGACAAGTTTCATGGGCGACAGCAACAAAAAGTGGAAATGTGACGTAAGTGGTGACTTAATTATCTTTCTTGAGAAAACTGAGGTTTCTTTCCTAATACTTCATCCAGGACTTAACCTTGCCAGGTTTTTAAAGAAGTCAAAGGTCACAAAAATCTTACATTTTGAAATAACAGACATTTAAGCATCTGATGTAGTCTGGGTCCAATCAGGAGTGAGAAACTACATGGTAGCTTAAACAGGAGAAATTCAACATGAAGTTTTAACTAAGATAAAAGAGTAACCATGACATATAAGGAAACTCTCTATGGTACCCTAGGGCTGAGGGAGAGGAGCCAGGGAAGGACAAACTTAGAAGTGGTTTGGAACCTGGCACAGAAACTCACTGGTTTGATCAGGCCAGAGCTGGTCTGGAGTCGCTGAGCAAGCAATAGCCCACTCCCCAGAGTTCAGGCAGGGAGCAGGCAATCAGCATCGGTACAGCATGCAGCAGGATCTAGGTGTTAGTGGAGAAGAAGGCCTTCAGGACACGTGGGGCTTGCAAAGGGGGTGACCAAGCTGTGTGGACACACTGGCCATAGGCCGGCTGGACATAGGCTTAATGGGGACTTTGGTTTCTGTGTCAAGAGTGCTGGGAAGGTTATTGCCAGGCTGAGGCTATGAGGTGCCAGGGGGGTTGCATGCTGAGCCTATAGCTGGGGTGGCTCCACTGCGTGCCCTCACAGCTACACTGCCCACCCCCAGCCCACACCACAGCCAGCAAGAAAGCCTCTTCCTCCTGCAGTGCCCCTCTAGTTCTCCCTGGTGAGAAAGCCTAACTTTGTGCTCACTTTAAAGGAGAAATGTTTAAAGAAATTCCCCCTGTTCTCACAGAGCATATATTCAAGGGTGCATTGGAGCTGAAAGGCAATAAATTGATAACTGACTCATCTATCAAGCTTCAATGTCATCTGGTCACTTTCTATAATTCCTTCTTGGATCCTCTCTGAATGATTCCTCCCACTTCTGGACTTGGGTACCCGCGAGTGACTTTTGGCCAATTATCAGCTTCCCCTTCATTATCTGGAAACCAAGTATTACATATCTGGTGTGTTCATGGAATGTCTTAAAACAATGGTTCTCCAATGTGGTTCATGGACTTCTGGGGTCGCTAAGAGGCTTTCAGGGGTTTTAAGAGGTCACAACTATTTTTAGAGTTATATCAATATGGTATGCTTCTCTCTCTGGGATTGGTATTTCGTGGGTAAGTTTACTAGTGTTTCAGCACAAATCCAAGCAGTGGTATAAGTGTGACTAGCCAGTCATGCATGTGCAGAAAAAAAAAATAGCCTCAATTATGAATGTCCTTGATGAAGCATTAAAAATTATATAATGTGATTAAATCTCAACCTTTGCATACATGTCTTCTAAACATTCTGGTTGATGAAATGGGAAATGCACATAAGCTCTTTGGCTGCATTCCAAAGTCTGATGGTTGTGGAAGGAAAAGCACTTGTATGATTGAGTTGCCAGCTGAACCAGCTGCCTCCCTCACTAAGCAGTTTTTACCTGAAAGAGCAACTGGCTGACACACCATGCTTACTCAGACTTAATATTTGTCAGTATTTGCTTCAGCCTGGGAGGCAGAAGTTGCAATAAGCTGAGATCGCGCCACTGCACTCCAGCCTGGATGACAGAGCAAGACTCTGTTTCAAAAACAACAACAACAACAACAACAACAACAACAACAAAAGCCCCATATACCCCAACTAAATACCAAGAGATTAAATGTGGAAGCCGACTTCTACTAAGTCAGATGTTAAAGATTTTGTAAAAATATAAAACATTGCCACTTTTACTAAATTTCTTGTTTTTAGAAAATATAGTTATTTTGTGTTAAGATGTTGTGTATGTTAATAGACACATTTATTATAGCATTTTTCTAAATATTTAAATGTTTTTCAGCTTTAACTTACAACACGGTAAATATCAATAACTATCATCCACATAAACAAAACCTTTCTGGGATCCTCAACAATCTTTAAAAGCATAAAAGAGTTCTAAGACTAAAAAGTTTGAGAACCGCGGTCTTAAATAAATCTCCATTTTCCACTTGAATTTACAAAATTGCAGGAAGTTATAGGTGCAGTGGTTGAGGCCAAGAGGAGGTAACTTATCTAAGGTCATTCACATAGTGAAGTAGAGGCAGAGATGGATCTAGAACCACAGTCTCCGGCTAGTGTGCTACATAACTCAGGGTAACCATGTATGTATGTATGTAGTATGTATGTATGTATGTATGTAGTATGTATGCATGTATTTTAGGATGATTTTCAGAATGCCAGTGAGAGAATTTTGAGATCCTCAAGCCACAAAAAGGGAGGGACATCACCCTCCCCTCAGCATGCATCCATTTAAATAGGCACTGAATATAAAGTAAGTTTCAGGTGCCTGTGCTTGTTGCTGCTGAAGACAAAGTAAATAAAACTTCAACTATGTTTTGAGGGAGCCAAGCTCATCATATATGGAGAGAGCTCACATGAAAGGCAATATATAATAGCATATAATATGAAGTATCCAGCATATAACAGATGAAGTGCAATCATACAGCCTATATAATTACATTATGCTACTACTACTGGTATCACCATATGGAATATTATATGTGGCATGATATTTTATAATAAGTTGTTATATACACTGTATCTAGGGAACAGGAAGTACTTTAGGATTATAGCTGGCAATCATGTTCAAAGCAGAATCATGAGCTTGGGAAGTTTGCCATTAGCTGTTTATATATATATATATATATATATATATATATATATATATATATATATATATATAATTGTCTTTTTGACACTTCCCTGATTGCATCAGTTTCCAAGAAATTGCTATACATAGTATAGCTGATAGCAGCAGAAACGGATTCTCTCACAGTTCTGGAGGCCAGAAGTTCAAAATCAAGGTGTGGGCAGAGCCAGGCTCTACTTGTCTCTTCTAGCTTTTGGTGTCTGCCACCAATCCTTGGCGTTCGTTGGCTTGTAGATACATCACTTCAATCATTGCCTTCATCTTCACATGACTTTGTCCTCTGCATGTCTGTGCCGAAATTTCCCTCTTCTTGTAAGGACATCAGTCATGTTTAGAGCCCATTCTAATCCAATATGACCTCATCTTCAAGTTGATTCCACCTGCAAGGACCCTGTTTCCCAATAAGGTCCCATGCACACATTCCAGGGGGACATGAATTTGGGGGAACATGATTCAACCTAGGACACTGTTTTTGTGCCGGTCCCTGGCCCCCAGTGCTCAAAATCTCTCTGGAACAAAGTACACCTGGGTTTTCCCTCACACTTTTCAGGATGTGGGGCCCAACTGAGCCCCACCTGGTTCTTCTCTGTTGATGTTTCAGATGGTCGTCACAGATCACGATATTTAACCCATGAGTTTAACAAACAATTTCTTAGGGCCGCAAGGCTGTTGGGATTTGAAGGGGAATAGAAGAAGCTGAAAGAGGGACACCCAGACAGTGAAAGTAAATGGTAGCATCCTCGCATATTTCTATTGGTCTTTGACAATTTTTGTTTACTAAACCCAGAATCATAGTTTAATACAAGATTAATAAGACATAATGAAAATGTAGGGAGCCATGAAGGATACCATGCCCTATGCTCCTGGCATAGCTGATTGCACACTGACCAGAGGATGTCCATACAATTCAACACCAGCCCTCCCCAGCACCTGGGGAGGACCTGTTACCTGGCTGGACCCTCAGGCTGGCTCCAGGCATGCAGCTCAGAGCACTGGATCTCTAGCCAGACCACCTGCGTTCGTCCTGGTTTCACCACGATGATAACCTTAGGCCAGTTATTTTATCTCTCTGTGCCTCCATTTCCACATTTGTAAAAGCTGAAAATATCCCACTTCACAGGCTTCTCAGGAGAAATAAACAAGTTAATAACATATGTAAATCCTTTAGAACAATGCCTGACAATATAGATATGTTATTATTAACATTATTATTATATGAATTTTTTATGTAGTTGAGAAGTCCACTATTTTGCTAGTTCCTCCTTCAATTCCCTTATCCTCCCACCACCACCACCAGAGGAAAACAGATAACAGTATATGGATCTGGCTTCTGTTTTTGTTTTTGCTTTTTTCTTCAGTTCTCCTCTTGTTACTTCCACCATAACTGGCCCTGGGGAAATTCTTCCTGTGTCGGGATGTCTTAAAGGACCGAGAACCTGGTACCTGTCAAGTGCTTCTTGAGAAGTTCCTAGGGAACGTACATCATAAACTCAAGTTAGCACCAAGCTATTATTAAATTGATAGCCACCTGTCTGAGCATGCTTTATTGGTAACTTTACCTCCGTGGGAAGGTGTAGCGCCCACACTGTACCCTCCTACCTTTCCCATTTTATATAACGGAGTCCGTGCTTTCTCAAGACTCAGGGGTGGGTCTGCTTCCAGCACTGAGGAAAAGTGAGAACTGAATAGGGAGTGGGGCTTTTGGTGTAGTTAAGAGGGAGGTAAAATAACTGTAATTTCATAGCAATTACATGCAGCCAACACTGTCAAAAGTTCCAGTTTTCCATTATAAACCTGAGCCCCTGCTGGGAGCAATTTGCAAGGTAGAAAAAAGCACACAATGAGGTTCTAATGTATGAAAGAAGGCATCGCTGCCTCCCCATCTGAATGCCATAGCAAAACAAACCTCAAGGGAGAAAACAGTGTGTTGAGCTTCGAGAACGCATTTGTTTTCTCCCTTTCTTTTGAAAAAAAAAAAAAAAAAACTCAGTAAGCCCCCATTCCTGGATATTGGTCGGATTGTTTACAGCTTTGTACGAGTCTTCAGTACCCTGGCCCACACAGGCCCTTCCTGTCAGTGGAATGCCCTGCCAGGCCACCTGCGGGGGCCATGGTTTCCAGGGCAGCCAACATCAGAGTCTGGAGCAAATGGGTTATTTCTTCCTCTAAGTATTATGTTGGGGGCCAATAAACCACCCTATGGAAATGAATTCTACAGAGACCAATTCCCCAACCTTTTTTGTTTGTTCATAGGTTTGCTTGAAATTAATTCTTTATGAAATTCAGGGATCTGCAGCCCACTCAGAAGTGCAGTAAAGATGGACTTGCTTTTCAGACCTAAAAAAGCCTACTGTTTTGAGGAAGGGAAATGAAATGACAGAAGCACAGAACACCCAATAATAATTCTGTTATTTTTACATATGTTCCTGTCTTATCCCCAAGCCCACCTACAGAAGGCCATAAGCTCCTTGGAGGAATTCAATTTTCAATCCCCTGGCTAATTTTCTCCAGTGTCTTGCACATAACTGATAGTCAATATGTATTTGTTGAGTAAAAGTGTAACAAATGAATGGATTATTGACAGTGAAGGCCAAGTACTAGCCAGAACTAAGTGGTGTATTGATTAAAGCCTTGAGCTTCCTGATTAGCCTCCATATAGGGAGATGGGATCAAAGTCTGAGATATTTATATTCATGACATCCAAGGACTGAGGGGTGGGGGAGGGTAAACTACAGAGGAACATATTTTGGCTAGGTAGCCGAAGGAAAGCATTTCTAATTGTTAGAGCAATCCTCAGAATGAACTGCTTTGAGAGATATTAATACAACTGACTGGTCAGTGGAGATATTCAAGCAGAAACTAGATGATTACTTGGGGGTGTAGATGTTGGCATTCCAATATCATTTGTGTCAGACTAAGTGATGTTGCAGGTCTATTTTTACCCCAAGGGTTCTATGATTTCATAAAGTTATGATTCTGCATAATCATCAAGTTCAATTCAGCAAGTATTTATTGAGCCCTTACATGCTGCCAGGCATTGCCCTGCGTGGACATTAAGGCAAAAACTAATAATATCAGGCTACCGCCCTTTGAAGTTGCTGGGACATGGTTTTAGTAAGGTCTCCTCAGACCTGCATTTGGGTGTTACAATCTTATGTTCCCCTTGCTAATTGCACCTGCCCACTCAGGACACTGGTTCTCTTCTTTCCAGGCTGGAATCGATGGAGAAAGCATCGGCAACTGTCCTTTCTCTCAGCGCCTCTTCATGATCCTCTGGCTGAAAGGAGTCGTGTTCAATGTCACCACTGTGGATCTGAAAAGGTAACGTACGTTGCATAAATGAGGAGTATGTTTAGCTGCATGAACAGAGAACCTTCCATGAAGGAGGGCAAAAGCCTTCCGTGGCTCCCAGCAGCCCCCTGCTCACACGTCATTGTCCAGAACTGTGTCTCAGGATCCAGTCTTAGCTACAAGAGAGTCTGCAAAGGCAAGTATTTCACTTGGTGCCCAGCACTTCACTGACCCGATTAGCAAGTTACGATTAGCAAAGAAGAAGCAAGGAATGGACAATGGCATTGCAACTAAGTTTCTGGTGCACATATGGGCACAGACATCTAAAAACATAGGATTAGTCATTTCAGTAGTACTAAGGCCATCATCCGTGGGACCCTAGCAGGACTTCAGGTGTGAGAGTCTGAGTCTTCAGAGAGTTGTGATCTAGACCCTTTCCCATGCTATGTTCCCAGCTTTAGAAGTCCTCAGTGTGACAGTTCTAGATTACAGGCTTGGACGAAAAGCAACTACTGTTCTGTTTTTAGAGTGCAGTTTAATGACTTACAAACACCAGGAGCCACACTCTTTTCACTCCTACAGAATGTATTCTGTTTCCTGTCTTCTACCTGTTGTTTAAATGTGGAACAGCTCGAGGCTCACCCCATAAGTGTTCATCTTCTGCCTCTACCTTCATCCCTGGTGAGCTTGGCATATTCTCCTTGTTATCTTTATGTGAATTGTTCTACACCCAGAGCCCTGCTATCATCTAGATAGTTTCACTTGGATGTTCTCTTATCATGTATGTCTAACATTGCATACATCAATTTGTATCCTTTTCCTCTGAGTTGAGCTCTTCTTGAACTCCTTTTTTCTTCTATTTTCTTTTCTTTCTTTTTTTTTTTTTTTTTTTGAGACAGAGTCTCACTCTGTTGCTCAGGCTGGAGTGCAGTGGTACGATCTTAGCTCACTGCAACCTCTGCCTCCTGGGTTTAAGCAATTCTCTGCCTCAGCCTCCCGAGTAGCTGGGATTACAGAAACATGCCACCATGACAGGCTAATTTTTGTATTTTTAGTAGAGACGGGGTTTCACCATCTTGGCCAGGCTGGTCTTGAACTCCTGACCTTGTGATCCACCCACCTCGACCTCCCAAAGTGCTGGGATTACAGACGTGAGCCACTGCTCCTGGTCTTTTTCTTCTATTTTCTAGGCACTAAACACTTCCTGCTCCTTTCTATTGCTGCCTTCATTGTTGATCAGTAGCCAAGTCTAGAGCATTCTCCTATTGCACTCTCTCTTCCTCCAAACTCTCTTTTTCATTCTCAAAGCCTACAACTGGTTCAAGTCTCACCACTGCCACCCTGAGAGTCTCATTGTTCTTCAAACTGGTCTTCATCTTTCCAGGTTCACACATTCTCTTTTTCTCTCTCTCTGACCCATCCTTTATGTGATTCTAAGGTTATTATTCCTAAAATAATGCTTTAATCAGGCCACTTTCATGCACAGGAAACCTTTGATGTTTCCCATTGTCCATGGACTTGATGCATCCGAAGCCCCGATTTGTCTTTTCCTTCATTCTTCCCAACACTCTTTCCCAACACTTCTCACCGTGACCTGTCTACTCTGTCAGGCTGGCCTGCCTTCTGCTGTTCTTCTTCCTTTGAGCCTCCATCCCTTGGCAGAACTGCATCCTCTGTCTAAAACAGGCCCTCTCTTCCTTCTTGTCCCTGGCCCCAGGCTCAGCTTCAGCCCATCCCCTCTGTAAGGCCTACTCATACCCATCCCACCACACTCATACAAGCACACCTGTCAACCCAACCTCCCTCCAGACTCACCCAGCACCTGTTGTCTATGTTGCCTTGTGTCGTGATTTAGTGTTTCATCAAGTTCTGAGGTCTGCACCCCTAATGCTTTACAACTGGTAAATGCTTTCTCATTAAAAAAAAATCACATAATGTATAATCCTGTGAAGGAGGTCTTACTTCTCCGTGTTATTTGAGAAATAACTGAGACAGATATATATGAGACTCGCCCAAGATGCCAACTAGAAATTAGAGGGGCTAAACGCCATCTGCTTGGTTCAAATACTATGCTCTTCATAATACCTCAGTTATGAAGTTTGTTTCATCTTTCAAATGAGACCTTCAATCCCTCAAGGACAGACTGGAATCGTGTTTTAAGTTTGTTTGTATCCTCCATAGAAACTAGTTTTTCACAGGTCCTCAAATACTATCTGTCAAATAAATGAACTTGCATCCACTATGCAATTAATGTCTGTGATAACTAAAGAGAGCAGCAGACTTATGAAAAAGCAGCTTCCTTCAGTGCAGAATTGGAGGTGTTTGGATTACCATGTGTGAGAGAGGACTTGTATGTTTGCTGGAGAAGAGAGTGGGAGAGGGAACCACCCCTGCCCGCGTGCTTCAGATGGTTTGGTTCCTCCTTCACATGATCACACCTGGTCCAGCCAACACCCCTTTGACGTAGACCAGGCATGTAGCACCACTCCATTTTTACAGATAAGGAAACTTTCTTACTGCCCCCTCTACCCATGAACACACACATTAATTTCTAAGAAAACTGATTTATTTTCCTGGCACTACACTTTAGTGACTGAATAATCTTGAACTTTTCAGAGCCTCAGTTTCCTCATCTGTACAATGGAGACAGTGTCTTCTTAATCAATAGGATTATTGTGAGAATTTATCGAGGCAGGCCATGTAAAACATTTGCAATTGGTCCTGTACCTGACTCATAGCAAGAACTCGTTGCATGTTGGTTATTCTTAGAATTATCACTGGGTTCATGGAGCTGGCAATCCAGTAAGGAAAAGAAGACCGATCCTCATTACATAATTCATAAATCATACCTGGCAATACGTCATCCAATGCTAATGATATAGTCTCAACTATAAATACTGAAGCAGGGTCAACAAAGACAGAGGGCTGCAACTCTAGCTAAGCGTCGGTGGCCATAGGCAGTACTTCCCAAGGGCGTCTGACTCCAGTGGCCACAATTCTCCAGAATCCCAGGAAAAAACCCACCACCACCACCATCACCACCACCACACATTCCTGTATCTGTAAGCCACAGAGAGGTGACTGAGAGCACACACGTTGCTGCCTTGTGTCAGCTCTAAAAAACAGGAGCAAATAAAGAATGTCCTTTCATTGTCTAAAATGAGGGACATGCACAAAGTAAATAAAGGGACTAAGTAAATTAGATTTTAAAAATACTTTCCGTCTCAGTTGTCTGAGTTCCAAGTGCCTCAGAATGCAGCTGGAGAGTGTGTGTGTTTGGGGAGGGACATGGGAGTAGCACAGTAATTGAAATTCTTCTCTTCCCCTCCCAAACTGATTACGCCAGGAATTTGTTTCATTACAGACTCCTCTACTCCCACTGTTTACTTTTTTTACAGTTTCTGCGTTTAATGTTTTCCACTCCCGACTCCCACAAGAAATGTGGCATTCTCAGAGAGAGCATTTGGGGTGAATCCCAGCACCGTCTTGGAAGTCGCCACCATTTTCCCTCCTCTTCCCTAAACATTTTTAGTGTAACCCTCCCCTTTCCCATTTTCCCCAATCTGCCAAACCTTCTTCCCCCTCATTTTGCTCCATTCTTGCTCTTGCATTCTGACCAGCTGGCGCAGACACAGAAGCACACTCCTGGATATTAACAGGACCTAGCCGTGTCAAACACAAGGCCACTTTCCTTTCCACTGCACTTGGCCTTCCTGCAGGTAGTCAGTGTGCTCCCCAGTGCACGCCAGAAATGCCACTTAGCACTGCTGTGGGCTAAGTGCAGGAAGTTCAATTAATTGTTCAGTTAATTAATTGTTCATTCATTCAATTGGGACTGCGTTCCAGAATTTCACCCACTTCTCCATCATCTAGGCCTTTCTTTCAGGATAATTTAGGACTCTTGGGTCTCCTCTTTCCCAGGGGGGAGAAATGCACTGTTGCTTTGGTTATCTTGGATTTCTTTAAGTGTCTGACCCAGAAACTAACAGGCACACCAAAGAGCTTTCTGTCTTCTTAGGGAGCAAATTTGCTGCCTATTACATATATATGTATGTGTTACCTAAAAGATCCTACTGGGCCCAGCAAAGTTTGCTATAAGAAGAAATAACTTTCATAAATCAAGTGATCTATTTGAATCCCATCACAAAGCAGAAGTTGCATTTACTTAGAAAATAAATTGTTTTTAACTTAAGATAACATTTAAGTAACCCCATAATTTTTAAAAATAGGCACAATTTCTGACTCCTAGGAGATTTTTGATTTATGTATGTTGAACAGAATTTTTAAAATTTAAAGAAAAATAACTTCTTTCTAGTAAATCTAGTAAATGTTCTCAAAATAAGTCTTATTTTGAGAACAGTAGATGCTTGAATTAAGTTAAAATACTGTGAAAGGTAGACTATGGTGGAGCATGAATACTGTAGCAGTGGAGTTGCCTACTGGTTCTCCCCACATTTAACTGAAAGCCGAAAGCCTTCATAACTGGATTGAAGTTTTTACCAATTTGAGACCAACATTTGATTTCTACTTTTGCAGCTAAAATCACTCATTTTTAAATTTAAAATGTATGAGTTTTTATTGCTGTTGTTGTTTTGAGACCGAGTCTCACTCTGTCCCCCAGACTGGAGGGCAGTGGTGCCATCAACGGCTCACAACTGCCTCGAACTCCTGGGCTCAAGCAATCTTCCTGCTTCAGTCTTCCAAGTAGCTGGGACTGCAAGCACATGCCTCCATGCCCAGCAAATTTTTGTTTGTTTTTTTTTTTTGTAAAGATGGGGGTCTTGCTATGTTGCCCAGGCTGGTCTCGAACTCCTGGGCTCAAGTGATCCTCCCACCTCACCCTCCCAAAGTGGTGGGATTACAGGCATGAGCCACTGTAGCTGAATCAAAAATGCATGCTTTATTCATGTAGCCATTAAAAATATGTATCTACTGAGGGCCTCCTATATGCCAGGCATGGTTCTGGGTCCTTTCCCTCATGGAGCTTGAATCGTAAGGCTTTCTCTCAGGTATCTTCTTACTCACCAGTAGGAGGTTCTTGGTTCAGAATCCTTGGTAATAGCCTACCTGGTGTTTGTGGAGCAATAATCTTAGCAATAAGAAGACTTTTGAAAACATCTTCATTTAATAGTTTTGTTTTCAATCTAATAGTTTGTTTATTTTCCTGGCTACCCAAAGACCATATCAGGGGCTGTTTATAACTCAAAAAGAGTATTCTGTTGAGTGTGACAAAAGGCTGACCAATGTTAGACATTAGTTATTAGATATTAAAATATAAGTTACACACAATAGAAGCATCTAACTTGAACAAATGGCCCAAACTCCCAATTTTTTGTATCTGGAGATATTTATTAGGAGAAAAGTATGATCTAATTCATTAATTTTTAAAGTATGGAATTATGTGTAGCGCATTTTTGTTAGGCAGATTGGTGAAAGAGCTTTTAAAAGCAAAACCCCACCTCTCCCCTGGGTAATTAAAGCTTGGATCTGACTTAGATAGTCACCTGGATTCTCTCCATTTTTTCAATTCTTTCATTTTTTCAACTCCTTCATCTTGACTTGTTCCTCTCTCACTGACTCCACTGGACACACTTCCTGGGTCACACCACATTCTTTCAGAACTTTCTCCAACCTCCCCTGCCCTATACTGCATACCATAAATCTGTTTCACCTGACAGGCATGTTGGATAGCACAGGGCATCTAAGTTACAATCAATCTTAGGTTTCCCAGAACAGGAAGCACCCTGCTGTAAGCCAACACCTGAATCTTGCTCTCTCTACAGAAAGCCAGCTGACCTGCACAACCTAGCCCCCGGCACGCACCCGCCCTTCCTGACCTTCAACGGGGACGTGAAGACAGACGTCAATAAGATCGAGGAGTTCCTGGAGGAGACCTTGACCCCTGAAAAGTAAGGATCTGTTTCTTTCTGGGGCTGTTGAATGGGAAGGGTTCATGCTGGATCTATAAAGTCCTGGTGTTAACTTCGGGCAGATGCATTTCCAAAGGAACCTCACCAGTCCAGAGAACAGGACCCTTTCTTCAAAGAGAGAGCCTAGGACCCCCAAAGGGCTGCCAATCTCAAAACCACTCCACAAAATCCACTCAAGAGTAGATATGGCCTATGAACAAGAGCCAGTCACTCCTACCTACACAGAGTGATTTTAGGAGCCCTAGGATACCAGGCCTCCCTCGCCCCAGTATGTTCCTTCTCTCCAGCTCACTTTGCTTGGAAGACGTTGAAGTGAGGACAAAGTTTCCTTCATTTCAGAACCAGAGCCGAAAGCCTGACAGAATGAAAATAAGTCAGGAAAGGGTAACCCAGTGACTTAAAACAACATCCAGGGTCTTAAACCTGACCAAATCTGGTCTGAGTCCACAATTAAACAGATGAAAAAAATCAACTAAAAGCAGCAGCTCCTCTTCTGCAAACAGGTTCAGGGAGAGTATAGACCGTAGAGCTATAAGTTCTTGTTGGGTGACACATTGCTACTGATGGAAAAGAGCAGTAAAAAGAAGACAGATGGCTTCTAAAATTTACCCAAGCTAGACTTGTTCATTAAAGAATACTATTATCAAGGATTAAAACAATCACAATTTTTGAAAAAACTAGAAAAATAATATTACATATAGAGTGAGGCATGAACTTTATCCTGTAGGGTATTATCCTGTAGTGAGTCCTGTGGGATATTCTGAAAGGGATTAAGCACAGGAGGTGGGGAGTCCGTTTTAAGACCTACTTTAGAGGTTGAGGGAAGTCGGTATCCTAGAGGACCATGAAGCTGGAGATAGAGGAATTAATTCTGGGGAGCCATTGGTGACTGTCCAGGCAGGACGAATGAAGGGCTAAGCCAAGACAGGGCAGGAAAATCGGGGGAGAGGAGTAGGAAGGGTTCAGGACATACTGAGTAAGTAAAGTTAGTGAGATTTGACTACTAAAAACCACCATCCTGCATTTATTTTAAAGTTTTATTTATTCATCAACACTTTTATAGCCTTCATTTTGTGTCAGGCACCATTCACAACACTTAGCTAATATGATTCATTTCATCCTTCTAGCATCCTAGGTACTATCATTATCCTCATTTCACAGTCAGGACAGGGAGAGAGTAAGTCACTTACCCAAGGTTGCACATCTAGTGAATTGCTGTTAAAAAATTAAAACTGCCAGTCATGCTCCAAATAAGCCTTAAACAATCATATATTCTTCCTTAAAAATATTCTTTGTCATCCATATTCAGTCAGCTTATTTGCACACTGAGAGTGAAAAAGCCACCTCAAGCCCATTGGAAGCAGCTGAGTATAGACTCTAAATAAGTGCATTAATTAAATCAATAGGACAGCCCCACATACACACACACATCTCTGAAGAGGACACCAGCCAGCCACTTCACTGGAATTGCCCTGAGGGAGCCCAGACTCCATCCCCCTCCCCGGGACTCAACCTCATTGCTAGCACTGATTTGAAATCCCACATGAAAAAAAATGCTGTTTTCAATAACTAGAGTTTAGACTTTGCCTGGGAGACCCATAGAGGAAAGTTCATGACGCAGTTAACATTTTCCCTCTTAGAAGTAACACTGGCACTCAGGAGTGGGGGCTTCCGTCATGATCATTAGGAAGTGGAAAGTGGAAGCAGTGAGGAGCAGAGGGGCCCATTTGGTCTGTTGCCAGGCAGTGGATGGAGGGGTGAGGGGCTGGGGTACAATCCTAGTCTGCTAGTGATGTGCTGTGACCTCTTGAGCCAGTCCCTTCACCTCTTGAACCAGTCTCTTCTCTGCTCTAGGACTCAGTTCCCTTCTCTGTGACAGGATATCTCCCAGAGCCCTTCTTGCTCTCTGATTCTTCACATGCCCTTTAGCCAGGTTCCCTCACCACTACCACACCACCCCCAGTGCAACTGTGCCTTTCCTGGGCTGCTTCTCTAACTCAGGGGTCTCCAATCTGCAACCACGGTGGGACCACAAGGTGGACAGAGATCACTGGAATTGTATGCCCCATGCGTCCTTGAACATTCTTCCAGAGGCGAGTCATCATCTGACTTCGTCATCATTTCATCAGATTCTAAGTTTCCATGATCCAAATAGAGCTGGGCAGGGCTGGATGTGGACCCTCCCTCCACTCCCTCCTCTCCACCTACCTTCCCTGTCCTGAGCTCTGCTCCCGCTGGTCCAGGTCCTTCTCTGGACTGCAGTTGTGTATAGGAGGTTTTATGAAGTGCATTCCTGCCATGTTAGTGACCTAACAATCCACTACTCTCAGGTAGCAGAACGCTTGATGCTGTTAAAATGCATATCTCCAGAAGCCTACCAAGGTGGGGGCGCCAAGGGTGAGGCCATCAAGTATTCCAGAGCATCCCAGGATTATACCTTAGATGCCTTTGCACCCATCAGACTGAGGCAGGTGCCACAATTACCTCCCAGTAAATGTCACCAAGCCAGTGCCTCAGCCCCATAGAGACCTGCTGGTCTGCCCAGAACAAACCACCAGCCTCACCAGCTTCCCCAGCGACTCAGGCTGGGAGATGGAGTGGCTGGGAGGTTGTCAGGCCTCTGGAGCAGGACAGCCTGGCCTTCTGGTTCTCTAGGGGGCAGCAAAACCCTCATAACCATTCACCAAGCGCTGGTCGGCCATGTGTTTCTCATCATACCACTATTTGTAAAAGCTGCCAAAAGCCAACACATTATGGGAGGCTTTTTCCCTTAGCTTTATTTTTTAAAGGAGAAAACCACATACAAACACTCCAACCATTTTTTTCAAATCACATTTGATCCCAGGGAGCATTTGGTGTCAAAATGAGGAATCCAGGAAGTCTCAAGTTGTTTCTAAATGAGACTAACATCCATCCCTCTCCTTAGATTGATCTAGTGAACACTCGACAAGGAAGTGTTGTGATTAATGCTGGGATTACTGTTGAGACATTCTGGCCCTTGCCTTTCATCTCCTGAAGTGGCCAAAGTTTCTAGGATTCAGCACTGAGAGTCAGGAGCCCTGCCTCTGGCCACCTCTCTATGAGTGTTTGTCATATGACCTTGGACAAGCCTCTCTCCCGCTCAGACCCTCCTTGCCTTCTCATCTCTAAAATGAGGGGGTGAAACTACATAGTCTCCAAGATGTCTTTTGTTGCATGTTCCACAATTCCATGAGTTTCTCAAAGTACTCTTCCAGAGCTGGTTATTGTCTCAAATAATCCTAGCACATAGATGCTGTAATAAAAATTCAGGAGGGTAAACTGATACAGTCTATTTACACAGCATGTCATTTAGTCAGTCATCTAGCAAGAATGATTTAAGTATCAACAGGGTTCAGAACACTGACAGAATTGGAAGACAACTTGAATTCATTATTTTACAAAATGTATAGCGATAACTCACCACAGTAAAAAACAAGAAAGTTCTGACCCTCTGGGAGGTAGAGAAACAGCCTCCAGACCTCCCACAGGATGGCATGGTAGCTGGGGGCAGGAGGTTTGGAGTCAGAGTGACTCGGGTTCAAATCCATACCACTAGGTTGTGCTATGTTGCAGTAACAAAGCGGCCATAAAATTCCAGTTGCTTAACAGAACACAGGTTTATTTCTCACTTGAGCAAATTCTGAGAGGGTAGGGTGGCCCTCTTCCATCCTGTAGTTTTTGGAATACATGCCCTCCAAGGCTCCTTCAGGGAGAGAGAGAAGAAAGATCTCCCAAAGTGTTTTGCAGGGCCAGGCCTGCAAAAAAAATGTCATGGTGACATTACTTTCCTTCCTATGCCATTGGTCAGAATCCACACGTGATCCCAACTTAGGTGAGAGAGAAGCTGGGAAACAGAATTACATGGCTATTTAGTGAGTATGCATATTCTCCGCTACAGGCAAATGACCTGAATTCTCTAGAATCTTTAATTCTCACATCTTTAAAACAAGAACCATACTGTTGATCTTATAGGGCTATTGTAAAAAATAATACTAATGAGCCTAGAGCCTGATATGAAGTAAGAGCTCATTAAATGGAAGCTCAAGGAGTTAGAAAGAGTGGCCAGTGCCTGTTTTGGGTCTGTCTCCCAGGTGCAATTGTACAGACAATTGGTGACCTTAGGTCTTAAATCCCCAGATCCTAGGGGATATCTTTTAATGAATAAGCCAGGCCTCTTCCACCTCCAGAGATCTTTTGCTTACACAGCAGACATGAGTCAAACAAGCACACAGTCAAGGATTAGAAAAGTCAGATGCATTAACGTCCTTCACGTGTGAGGGGTTGATGAAGTAAGGAAGTGGGAACAATGGAGAAGGGAGAGAGAGAGGAAGTCTTTCCACTTTTCAGCTCGTGAGAAAAAGGAGGGAAAACACTTAAGCTGCCATCAGCAAGGCCATTCCATCAGGACCGTCTTTCTTTTTCTCCAGGGTATCTATCCCCAAAACCAATCTCAGGGCCTAGTCCTCAGTAGGTGTTTCATGCACATTGGTTTAATTGCATGGTGGGTATCCTTTTGTTCAGTGTCTTGGTTGGCTGTGGCTAGTCAGTGAGAAGTCAGCTGGGACTCTAAACCAGATAGGGCACTTACCATCTGCAATGGTTTTCTCTTTTTTTGCTACTATTTTCTACTTTTGAAAAATTTTTTTTTTTTTTTTTTTTTTTTTGGTGAGAAGCCAACTGTTTTACTTCCCAGAATGAAAGTTAAGTGCATGCATTTGAAATAAGATATCCTAAAAACCGGGTGGAGAGAAATTTTCATCAGTTAGATCAGGAGTTAGCAGCTTTATCTGTAAAAGGTCAGATAGTCATGTATTTTTGGCTTTGTGGGCCCTTCAGTGTCTGTCACAATTCCACAGTGACACTGTGAAAGAAGCCATAAACTAGTATGTAAATGAATGGGCATTGCTGTTTCAATAATATTTTACTTATGAACACTGAAATTTGAATTTCATATTATTTTCACGTATCACAAAACAGTATCCTCCTTTTGATTTTTTTCAAGCATTTAAAAATGTGAAAACCATTGTTAGCTTGAGAACCTCAGACAAATAGGGGTCATGGGTCACAGTTTGCTGACTCCTGAGTTAGAAAAAATTATCATCTCTTTGATTATCATCAGATCACATCCAATGTTATTTCAAAGCTGTTTCTGTGAGTGAAACACTCTTCCTTAGCCTTTTAGAGAAACAGAATGTACTTTGTAGCCCGCTTATTTGCATATTTAAAACACGCCATAAATATGGAGGTAAAATGAATGCACTTATCCTATATAGTATCCTCCCCCAGTGTAGTTACTGAAAGTTGCGAGATTAACATCTTAGAGACGCACTTCCCACAAGAACAAAGCTCAAATGGAACACTGCACTACACAGTAAAATCACAACGAGTCCTAGTGCTTGGGAAACAGGATGACACCACCACAGCCCCCTGAATACACGATCCTCTGTCATCATCTTGGATTTGGTACCACACATCCCTGTTTGGCCCAACCTGATTGTGAAGAAATGATCAGATGACTGAAAGTCTGACCAATTGATGAGATACAGCAAAACAAAGCAAGAAACCCAAACAAGCTGTCCACTGAGGTGCATTTTCTAGGCCTTTCTGTCTTTACATTATCAAGGAGAAACAAAGAACACTTGGCATTTGTTAATAGCAATTTAAGTCTATCGATTCTAATAGCATGCTGGATTCTATGTGAGAAGGCCAAAATAGAAAGAGATGACACTGAATTCCTGTGTCTTGGTAGATTACCTAGTATCTTGCAGGAAGCCCTGCTGTGTGCCCCCAGCCACAGCAGATGAATGTGGTGATTCTCAGTATACCCAGGAAGACATGTGTGTGGAGCATCGGTGCAAAGCACCCCCTCCTGATGGATGGAGACAGCTCCTCCAAGGTGGGCAGCTCAGCCTTTAAGGTTCTGGGGCTTTGAGAATCAACAGCGGAGTTTATGAGAAGCCACACAATGTGGAATTTAAAACCTAGTCTTCCACAGTGAAACTGCCTGGGTTGGGATCCTGGCTCTGCCAGGCAGCCATGTGACCTCAGGCAAATTGCTTAACCTCTCTATGCCACCGTTTCCTCATGTAGGAAATTAGGCTAATAATAGTACCAATAGAGTTGTTCTGAGGAGTAAATGGTGAATACGTGTAAAGGGAATAGAACAGTGCCTGCCTGCTGCACAGTAGGTGCTCAATGCAAATTACCTTTCACTGTTTCCAGAGAAGCAGTGGAGGGGGAAGGACACTGCTGTAGGGCCAGGAAACCAGGTTCTCATCGTCCCTCCACCATTTATTAGCCATCAACATTTATCTTCTCAGGTATCCAGTTCCCTTCCATGTAAAAGGAGGACAATAATGCCTTCCTTATCTGCCTCACAGCAGAGAGCTGGACTCTTCCAATGGCAGTATCTCTGAAATTACACAGCCACCTAACATGGCCCCAAAAGGGGCCCCAAAAGGAATCCTAGCTCATGGGCCAGTTGAGTAACAAAAAAGCATTAAAGAACAACAAATATTTTTTAAAGTCTTGTTTGGTTCGAACTATCAAAAACATCAAAACAAACAAAAAGGATTTTGCTTTTTAAACGTAAGGCAACCCACCAGCCCACAGTCAAAAACGATTCACCCAGAGATCACAGAGGTGCACATTCATTGAAAATAATGATAGCCTGGCGACTGTCTCCCATCTCTTCCCACCACTACCTGGCCATACCCATAAAATGCTTATGAAATAATATTTATTTGAGTTGATTTTTTTCATTTTGATGGGGCTAATGAGTCCAAGCCCTGGGTTCCCACATGAGCAAGTTTACCTCCTTCAGTCTCAAGGCCAATCGTTCTAACTCCAGCCTGCCTCTTGTATTATTGTGGCTTCAAAATGAAAGACTCTACGAAAGAGAGAGAGAGGGGGGCTGGATCATTGCAAATGTATCTCCAAATAAAATAAAATAAAACAATTGAAAACACATGTCCTTTTTTGGAGCTTGGTAGTTTCTGCATGTTATTACTGCACACAAATAATAAGCATGTAAGGGCATTTCAGAAGAGGACCGTGGGTATTCTTCCTTTGGAGAAATGGTTTAATGCTAACATACCTGGCTTCTCCTTGCTCCCAGAATTAGCTCTGTGTAGCTAGGATTATAATCACAGGACTGGCAGTAGATGGTTATTTTAGCGGGTAAGGGAAGTGTTGAGAACCCTACCAGATAGAGAGGCAAGCTCAGAGGGAACTTTGATTGCGCCATCCCACTGGCACATCCTTATTGGTGGTCCCAAGAAAAGGACACATCCTGAGACCCCTGAATGGCATTCTGGTTCTTTGCCTAGCAGACTGTGTCACCCTAGGCAGATCTCAGCACCTCACTGGCCTCTGGTTTCTTCTATGGATGCCCTAGGGCTGAGAATGCCCACCCTCCCTATAGTATGAGGATAAAGACCCCCAAAACATTTTGTAGATGCAGCTGGAAAGGGAAGTATTGCTTATCATGATAGGGATAGGCTCACCCTTAAAGGAGCTCCAAGTCTACTGATTCACAGAACACTGCATCCTCCATTCCAGGTACCCCAAACTGGCTGCAAAACACCGGGAATCCAACACAGCGGGCATCGACATCTTTTCCAAGTTTTCTGCCTACATCAAAAATACCAAGCAGCAGAACAATGCTGGTGAGTGACTCCCTTCCACCAAGAACCCTTGGCAGTGGTCTATCTGCTGCCCAAGGCATCTTCAATTTGCCCATAGGCATGTCAAATACTTGGGCCAGAGAAGCATCTGGAACCAATACTGCTTATTATTTGCCCCCACCCCCCGCCACCACCATCTTGTCCCCCTTGACACAGGGGAGGAGGTGGTGGATGCTGCTGCCTAGCTGGTGCAGGAGGAAAGGCTTGGGGCTTTACTGCCAAGCTGGAGAGAGGGATGCTCTTTGTCATCTGAGCCTGCCTTATTGCACAGCATAGTGCACTGCACGGAACGGTCCTCACTGCCCATTTGTCCCAAGTTCCCAACCCTGCCTGTGATCACATTAGAGCAACATATTCCCGCTTCCTTCTGGTCCCTACAAGGTTTCTCCAGGGATTTTTCCAGAGGCCAAGGGAGAGGCAGCACAGTCACTACTGTGGCAAATGTGGAAGGCAGACCTGGGCTGTGTTCTCCCCTTCTGCAGGACAGTGGGCCCTGGAAAGCCACTCCTCAAAGCCTGGCCCATCCTACATCAGGCCCTTCATTTCTGACATTGGCTACAGAATTCAGGACTTGGTTCTCTTGCGGGGCCTTCTGAAAGGGAGCTGAGTCCCCCCCAGTTATGCTCACAGCACTTTCAGTCCTTCATTTGGCATTGCCCTTTAAGAATTACCTAAAGCCATTTGAATGGAACCGTCCAATTAAGCAGGTATAACACTTGAAGAACGGTGTTAGGCCCAGGAGGAACAGGCTAGCCACTGCAGTGCCAACCTGGGGGGCTTGGATTTTTATCCTATGGGCAATGGCAGCCATTCCCTTGCCCTCAGAATGGGATGACAGGACAGCCTCACAGGCTGGATGACTGGAGTCCAGCACAAAGCCAAGCAACTTAAGTGCTCCATGAATCTTTGTGAATGAACAAGTGACTGATGCACAATGGACCAAAACAAGGGAATAGATGCTAGATGCCCCAGAAGCTCCAAGGAGAATAGCATCTCTTTGGATCAAGGCGACCAGCATATGCAGCTATGCATGGTAAAAGAGACGAAATCATGGCAGGAACAGAGTTGGTGTATCGGGAAGTAAATAATTCAGGAAGCTACTCAGGACCCAGATTGTGACAAGTGCAAAACTTGGTTCTGGAGGTCCAAAGAAGAAACAAACACTTCCTCAGTCTTCAATGCCTGGCAGATGCAGAAGGACAGGCTTCAAGTCAGTTTGATCCAAGAGGGTCTGGAGAGCTGATTAACTGCAGGTAAAAGAACAAAATAATTTCTGTCGAAGGTATTCAGAACCAGAAGCATTTACCATGGGGGTAAATGCATGAGACTCCTTTTCTGGGAGTTTCAACTGGGTCATAAAGATTAAGAAGGAAGCAGTTGGCTGAGATCATTGAGCAGAAGATGCGGGGAAGTTGAGAAAAAGTCAGGGACAGAGACTGGAAAAAGTGACTGAAGCCCACAGTGCCAGCTTGGAGGGCTTGGGTTTTTATCTTGTGGGCAATGACATCCATTAGAGGTGTGTGTCAAGAAACTAGAAAGAGAGTGGCTTCTGGGAAATAAGAAGAAGCATGTGGAAAGTACTTTCAATCTACTTGGTGCTCTTGCTTCATTGCTGCTTGAACCCTATAGTGTGTTGAGTAGTGTCCCCCCAGAATTCATGTCTAGCCTGGGCAACATAGTAAGACCCTGTCTTTACAAAAAAAAAAAAAACTTGTTTTTAATTAGCTGAGCAAGGTGATGTATGCCTGTAGTCCCAGCTATTCAGGAAGCCATGACAAGAGGATTGCTTGAACCTGGGAGGTCGAAGCTGCAGTGAGCTATGATTATGCCACTGTACTCCAACCTGGGTGAAAGAGCAAGGTCCTGTCTCTAAAAAAATTTTTTTAAATGTATGTCCACCTGGGATCTCAGAACGTGACCTCATTTGGAAATAGGGTCTTTGCAGCTGTAATTAGTTAAGGATTTGGCGATGAGATCATCTTGCATTTAGTGTAGTCCCTAAATCCAATGACTGTTGTTCTTATAAGAATAGGAGAGGGGCCAGGTGTGGTGGCTCTTGACTACATCCCAGCACTGTAGGAGGCCAAGGTGGGTGGATCACCTGAGGTCAGGAGTCTGAGACCCCCGTCTCCACTAAAAATACAAAAATTAGCCAGATGTGATGGCACATGCCTGTAGTCCCAGCTTCTTGGGAGGCTGAGGCAGGAGAATGACTTGAACCCAGGAGGCGAAGGTTGCAATGAGCCGAGATCACACTGTTGCCTGGGCAACAGAGCGACACTCCAACTCAAAAAAAAAAAAAAAAAAAAAAGAGGAGAGGAGAGGACACAGACATGTAGAGGAGAGAAGGCCATGTGAAGACAGTCAGAGACTGGGGTGATGCTGTCACAAGCCAGGGAACTCTTAGCTTTCCGGAAGCTGGAAGAGGCAAGGAAGGACACCTACTAATACCTTGATATTGGAACTGTAAGGGGAAAAGTCTCTGTTGTGTTAAGCCACCCAGCTTGTGGTACTTTGTTGTAACAGTCCTAGGAAATGAATATGGCCCCTCAGAGCCATTGTGGGAAAGAAGAGTCATTGCTGCTTTCCCGGCTGAGGACAGAGAACCAAACGAGAAGACCCATGACTTGTCTACCCCCAAGGCAGAGCTGGCTCTCGAACCCTCGTTTTCAGACTCCACACCCAGTATCCTTTCCTCTTAGCCACAAATATCTTCTTTCATACTTGTCAAAGTGCCCTCAGAAAGATTATCTCATTTGAGCCCTCCAGATTTTTAAAATTATAAATGGTGTTTACATATTATCCATATTTACAGTTCTCCTATTCCCAAGTCCAAAGCCAGTTTCCACCAAATGCCGCATATCCATTTCTTATAAACTCAGTACTCTCCAATTTTCATTGTTTCCCCTTCTTCTGTTTCACCCTGTTTTCTTCTGTAATGAGACTTGCCCTTGTGACTCCTGCTTCCCCTAACTCATTTGCACATTTCAAAGCTCCAACATTGCTGCTTTCCCAAAGAGCCTGTCCCCAGATGTGCTATTCCACCTTCTGTTTAACAAGACACCACACATTCCTTCCCTGGAACTATAACTTGCCCACACCCCTCCCTTCCTCTTTACTTGTCCTTCCTCCCACCCAATACCCCCGAGTTGTGGTCAACTGGGTCCAAAATTCTTAGGCTTAGCAAGCCAGAGGTGAAGGCTCCTGTAAGGCTTGCCCTCCTGTAGAGAGCAGCATGGCTCCTGTGTTACGGTCCCAGAGCCCCACAGCCCCTGACCCGGGAGATGGTCCATCCCCTTTCTGCTCTGTGTGAGCTCCATGGCTGTGGCCTCTCCCCAAGAGCATCAGCATTCAGGCCCAGGCCTCCTTCCACATGCCGCCCTACATTACTTTGCCATTTTTTTCCCTCTGGATCTTCAGCTCTGCACCTAGTTCTCCAACTTTCTTTCTTTAGAGGGTTTCTCTTGTATTTTCATTTACTTTCTCTTGAGCAGAGCCCTCCCTCCCCTCTACCTGGTCACTAATGCCCCAGCCCCCATACACACACTGGCCCAGGTCATGATCCTTTTCTGCCCTCTCAAAATGAAAGCATGAGAAAAGCCAACACTGTTACATGGTTCTCCATGGTGGGTCACCTCTCCACTCCACTCCTGTGGTGGCTACAGGAACCACCAAGTAAAATTTCCCTGTTGTTCCCCAAAGCCTTGTAAGTCCCCAGCTACCACAACCGAGACCCCATCCGTGGGAGCCATCCCAGCAGTACTGGAGTAATGGAGAGAATCATCCATTAGTTTGTACATTCAGTCATTCACTGATTCATTCAAAAAACCACAAGTTATATAAAGTGACTACAAGTCCGAGCTAATATTTAAAGGGCACTGCTTATGTGCCAGGTACTGTGCTAGGTTCTGGAGTTGCCAAGGCAACGAGACAAAGTCATTGCCCTCCATGAACTAACAATCTACAGGGAGCTGTAAAACAAGTACATGTGCAATTCCCGGCCTGGGTTTGAATCCCAGCACTTCTAGCTGCACAACTTTACCCAAGAGGCTTATTCTTTCTGAGCCTCTGGCTCTGCATCTGTAAAATGGACTTTACATTCAGTTTCTTTATCTGGCAATAAGGTAATTAATAATATCACCAAGGTTTGTAATGCAGGTTCATCTATTTTATAACTCAGCGCATGTAAAACCCTTAGCGCAGTGTCTGGCCTCGTAACTGTTAAATTTGATTATTCTGATTATTGCTATTAGCACAAAAATGGGACTAAGATGAATAATGACATCAGAAACTGCTGCTTCAGCTCTTGCTTCCCCCTCAGTTAGCTCTTCCAAATCTCCCACCCATTCAGTCTATTTTCTACTTTTTAAACTTTGTTGGTGCATGGTCCTCCTCTCCAAAGTGTCATCAAGGAGCGTCAGTGGCCTGGCCCAACTCTCATACCTCAGCAGCCTTGCATTTTTTTTTGTTCCCTGAGGGACGATTCTGTGCTCCGTGTTTAGGCCTATCACTGTACTCACCCCTCCTCTGTAATTTCTAGATCCAGGTCCCCTTGGTCTGCAGTAACCAGATACTGCCTCCATGCCCCCTCCTCTCACTCTTTCCAACCTGCTCTTCACTTCACTTAAATGTAGACTGGATTTTCTCATGACTCGGTGGCAAGATCCCACATTAAGTCAGGTGCTACTTGGGGAAGTTGCTTCGTTTTCTTGTGCTCTAAGATCTCTCACCCACACGCCTGGTTTTGGGGAGAAGGATAAGGACGGTGTTTCTAAACATGCTGTGTTTCCTATGCAGAGAGGCAGGTGACTGTGTATGGCTCAACTTGCAGACTCTAAAGCCAACTACTTTAGAGTTCAGAGTTCAGACACCAGCTTTGCCTCTTGTCCTTGTAACATGGCACAGGTTACTTCAACTCTGTAATGCCTCAGTTTCCTCATCTGTGAAATGGGGGTAATAACTGTGTATACCTCATAAGTGTGCTTGGAATAATGCCCACTACCACGTTCAAAGTCAGCTGCTGGGGCCAGGCATGGTGTCTGACCCCTGTAATCCCAGCACTTTGGGAGGCCAAGGCAGGCAGATGACCGGAGGTTGGGAGTTCGAGACCAGCCTGACCAACATGACAAAACCCCATCTCTACTAAAAATACAAAAATTAGCAGGGTATGGTGACAAGCACCTGTAATCCCAGCTACTCAGGAGGCCGAGGCAGGAGAATCACTTGAACCCGGGAGGCGGAGGTTGCAGTGAGCCGAGATCACGTCATTGCACTCCAGCATGGGCAACAAGAGTGAAACTCCATCTCAAAAAAAAAAAAAAAAAAAAAAAAAGTCAGCCGTTGTTCTGAGCAGTTATCTCGGGTAGACAATTGTACCTTAGCAGAGAGTTCTGGTATAAAAATGCAGTTTGAGGGGTTATACATCTTTAGATGATTAAGACGATGCCCAAGGATCAATCACATAGATGGGATGACAGAGGGAGAGGAGTCAAGGAGGAAGAGAAAGAAGGACTAGCCAGGGAGGATGGAGGAAATCGGGGGTAGTGGGGAGGGCATAAAGATGGGAAAGCAAGCTTTATTGTTGTTGTTGTTGTTTTAAAAGAGTGATCTGTGTTATAAAATGCTGCAGAGAAGGTCCTGGGAGACTTTTGCCTGCTATGTGCAGCTCCCTGAAAGTGTTCTTGGATATCCTTTTCTGTCTGCTTTTCTCATGTGGAATCCACCCATTACTCAGATTCTACACAACCAGAGAGAGCTCAGTCTGATGGAGGAAGCACAAACCCTGCTCCCTTAGAAAGGGGAGGACCAGTGGGTGATGATAGGGAACTGGATCAGGAACCCACATGGGAAGAGTGCTCGTGGTCCTGCGAAAGAGCATCTTTGAGATGGGAGAAAGCAGCACTGCATTTAGATTTGGCTGGAGGGGTTCCTCCTCTGAGCCCCACATTCACTTTTTCAATCTTGCAGGGAGAAGTTATGCCCTGGGTTTAGACCTGGAGGTTCATAGAGTGCTGAAGTAGAAGGCTTGAGGGAGGGCACAGTGTCATCCATGCCCCTTTGGCACATCCTGCAGCATCCCTGTAATTAGCAAGCAGTTAGGTCTGTCCTCCCCCTTAATCATGCTCTCTACCCAGCCTGCCTGGCACATGGTGGAGTTCAGCAAGGGCCCAGGCCTCCACCTTCTGCAAGCCAGTGCCTCCACCTCTAGCAAGCGTCGCTGTGAAACACCCCTCCCCGCCTGCCACTGGAACACCCCTTTGGCTCCTTGGGTTTGTCTCTTCCCTAAAGGGGTTTCTTTGACACCTACTTTAACATGTCCCCCACTCTCTGTCATTCCTAAGAGGATGTGGACTTCTCCCTCTGAATATCTGTCTTACATTTTGCATTTCTTACCCTCAATCTGCCATTTGAACAGACTCTAAAAATCCCTGCAAATCTCTTGGTTTTCAAGAAATTCATTTTAGTTACTTATCATAATCTAGGCAGAAAGTGCTATATTTCACTTTATTTTCCACAATCTCTCTTTCCTTATGCTTCAATCCTAGCAATACACATGATTTATTTCATGTTCTGTCCCCATCGCATATGGCAGGTAATTAACAAATGGATCTAATGTGCATCTTGAATGCTCTATTTTGATTAACTAATTTGAAAAGTCTCCTACCCCTTTTTAAAATTTCTTCCAGGTCTATCATGTTTCCCTCAGATACAGTTAATGTCCTACCAAGAATTACCATCCTTGTTTTTGGTGCCAGTGTCATATTCTCATGTGCTTTTGCCCCTTTTCTTTTTAGCTGGAGAGGAAGTAGGCATGCCTATGCCTGTAGCCTAAGACAAAAATTCAGTATTTCTCCTGCTCTATTCACGCTGACCACCTTCCATCCAACCTCCTTTTGCGCAGCCCACTTCCACAGGACTCCCTTTCCCCTAGTGAGAGGTCTGAAAAGCCCCAGGGGCAATAGTATCTCATCTGTATCACATGCAGTCTTGGGGCTTAAGCTCTCTCAGGCCTCCCAGGCGACCTGCACTAAGTGGTGTTTTGCCCAATCTGGATGGTTTTAGTCTTTCAAGGCTTCCTTTGAATTCCCTCTTTTCTTCCCCCTTCAAGTCCACTTTTCTCTCTTATTTCCACCTCTGTATTCCTCTGTCTTGGGGGGCCTTCTTTCTATTTTAAAATTTATACTCCACTTGTTCCAGAAAGGCTTTATAGCTACTCCCAGGGATGCATAAAGCACGGCAAACCAACAAAGGCCAAGAGGAGGTGAGAAAGAAAAACAAGGAGACAACCATCAAATGGAGCCCTGGGTGAGCTAAAACAGTCAGGGCAGCCCCGGGGCCTTCGTGCGCCACACAGAAGGTAGACCACAAATTTGGCTCTAAACTTGTGAGCAGACAAAGCAAAACAGGGCCCCTGGTCAGCTGCAGCTCGGTCCTCCTAGAAGATAAAAACAAACCAGCCTCCCAGAAGAATAACAAATATTCCTGCTGTGAGCCGCAGGCACGGAGGAGCTGTGGTTTCCATTTTCTTTGGCTCTCCCCTCCTGTGACTTCTCTTTCAGGCTGCTGTAGACTCCAGGCCCTGCTGACTTCCTGCTGCTCTGACTCCTCTCCATCTTCCCCCACCTGTGAGCTGTGCTCCTCCCGATCTCACAATCCCTGTGTTCTCTCTTCACCTGAAACTCACTTTCTTCCTTTCTCTCCATCTTCTCTGGAAGACTCAGGAGACCTCCCTGCAGCCTCAGGCGTGTGTCGCCAACCTCCCTGCCCCTCTCTGTCCACCCAGCACATGGGACACAGAACAGCCTGTCTGGGCTTATCTATTTTCATCAAGATGAATGGGCTCCTGCACTAGATGTGCAAAGATGTACCCCTTTCACTCGCAAGGCTGCACCTAGTTCTCTTTTTATGGAAGACTCTGAGATGTCCTAACATACTCTTCCTAAAATACTTGTCCTAATAAGGTGCTTCTAACTTCCGAAAGAAAGCCCTAAAAACCTTCCTTGGTATCTGTGACGTGCTGGGCATGTGCTCAGATTGCATTGCCCTTCATCAGTTGTAACTGCAGTGGCCATGTTTTCCAAACTGAAAATCAGATGCCTAACAAATTGCCTTCATTGAAAATAATCAAATTATAAGAAATTGGTACTGTCCCAGGAAATCCAGGACACATGTCCCCAGATGAAAAGCACCTGGTTAGGGCTAAGCCCTCTGCTTCTCCTTTCTCTCCAATCCAAGCTCAAACGTGGTTACCAGAGGGCGAGGGAGTGTACCCTAGTTCCCACCACCTCCTGGTTCCCAATTTGTTGCTGGAACAAAAAAGTGGCCATTAGCCACACAGGTCCCTGAGCAGTCTTGGTTCTGTTTCCAAATAAAGGCCAAGGTTTCCACCTCCCTAAGGCTCACATCAGAGGCTCCTCTTTCTGGAACCTGGAAGCTCCCTGGGCTTATTCTGGAAAAATTGATTGTCCCTGCCACATAGAATGGAAGAAGACTCTCGGGTTATTCTAGGAACCTCAGTGAGTTTATCTCAGAATTTGGATGATCATTCCCACTGAATGGGAACGTGATTGAAGGAGGACATTGTGGTTCTTATTAACACAATATCAATGACTGTCATCCTGCCTCTCTCATTTCCCTTCCTCATCTCCTAGAGCCCTCATATAAGGCAGCAGGGGCAAGCCAGCCACAGGTGCATTCCTCGCTCTTTCCTTGTCTTCTTGTTCCATTCAGGCCCGAATCTTCAAATTGCTCCTGTCTTCTCCTTCTAAGAGGTGCCACCTGCAGTGGGTCATGCTCCTGGCTGATGCTGCTAGAAAAAGAACTCATCTGTATCACTGGCGGTCTTTCTTTTCCTTCCAGGTTTTCATGGTTTGTGTCCCCAACAACTCATCCCTGTCCTCCCATCTTGCAGACTGCCTGGTGTGACCACACCGACAGACTGATTCCTGCAGCCGGCTCTGGTCCTCCCTACCCCGGGGGTCACAGTGCTTCCTTCCCTTCGCTCCCTTTTAATAAGATCTTAAGACTCTTAAAGTAAACGTATTAAGCAAGATCATCCTCATTTGATGTATAGAAAATTTAGGCTTACACACTTCAGCTCAACATTAGAAAGTTTACAATTAGGCCGGGCATGGTGGCTCACGCCTGTAATCCCAGCACTTTGGGAGGCCAAGGCAGGCCGATCACGAGGTCACGAGTTTGAGACCGTCCTGGCCAACATGGTGAAACCCCGTCTCTACTAAAAATACAAAAATTAGCTGGTCGTGGGGGCATGTGCCTATATCCCATCTACTTGAGAGGTTGAGGCAGGAGAATTACTTGAACCAGGGAGTTGTAGGTTGCAGTGAACCGAGATGGTGCCACTGCACTCCAGCCTGGCGACAGAATGAGACTCCGTCTAAAAAGAAAAAAGAAAAGAAACTTTAAAATTAAATCTGTAGAATGGACTGCCAGCAAAAGAAGTGAGTATCCCATCAACAGAAAGGACCAAAAAGAGGCTGGATCTTTGGAGGCAGGAACTGCCTAATCTAAGGTGTCATTGATTGTACGACACTATTATTTTAAATACTGGCTGGGCACAGTGGCACACACCTATAATCCCAGCACTTTGGGAGGCCGAGGTGGGCAGATCACTTGAGGTCAGGAGTTTGAGATCAGCCTGGCCAAATGGCAAAACCCAGTCTCTACTAAAACTACAAAAAAATTAGCCGAGCATGGTGGCGCACACCTGTAATTCCAGCTAGTTGGGAGGCTGAGGCAGGAGAACCACTTAAACCCGGGAGGCAGAGGTCGCAGTGAGCCAAGATCATGCCACTGCACTTTAGCCTGGGTGACAGAGCAAGATTCCATCTCAAAAACAAACAAACAAACAAACCTCTAAGAAACAACAACAAAATGCTATCACTTAAACAAAGTGTTTTCACTTAACCTCTCATATTTTGATTGTAAGACATTGCCTGATTTCACAGATGTTAAAGAGTGAAAAAAATGTGCACCTTAGACTTGAGACATAATAGTGGACTTTCACAGTCCTTTCCAGATCTAACCTTTTATTACTTCCTTGAGGCTATTCAGTGACATGTCAGACCCTCCTTTTGCTTGACCTTGAGCTGCCCTGTTGGAAAAAAAGTGAATCAAGTTCAACATTGCTTCTAAATTGCCCTGGGATAGCGATACTAGCTCCATTTCCAGTAAATAGCAACTCTGTTCTCTGTCCCTCTTGCCTGGAAACAGGTAGCTCTTCCTCATAAGTCAGGGCTTGGCAAACTTTCTCTATATAGGGTCAGATAGTAAATAGTTTAGGCTTTGCAAGCTACATAGCCTCTACCAGACTCTGCTCAATTCTGCTGCAGGAATCATAAAGCAGCCACAGATAATATGTAAACAAATAAATAGGGCTGTGTTCCAATAAAACATCATTCGTGGACACTGAAATTTGAATTTCACATCATTCTCACTTCATGAAATATTATTCTTCTTTTGACTTTTTTCCAACCATGCAAAAATGTAAAACACAAAACAATACTTAGCTTGAGGGCAGCATGAAAGTAGGCAGTGAACTGGATTTAGTCCTTGGACTGTAATTTGCTGACCTCAATCTTAGGCAGTCCGTGGCTACAATAGCAAGTTCTGTTAATTTCAGTATGCCTCAGCCTCCTCAACGGTAATATGGAGATTGTAATAGCACCCTCTCTTGAAGATTTGTCATGTTAATTAGATGAATTAATGCATATAAATCACTTAGGACAGTTCCTGGCACACAGTAGGCACCAATATGTGATAGCTATTGCTGCTGCTGTTGCTGCTGCTGCTATTAATTTCACAGTGCTCCCCCCGCCTCCATACCTAGTGTCCACCCTTTGGACTGGGCAGCCCAGCTTTCCCTGTAATGAGGAAGCATGTGCTGCCCTCTTCTGGCAGGCAGAGGAATCGTCGCCAGAGCCAGCTGATGTGATTTATTCAAGGCCTGTGGATTCGAAAGGGTCTTCCTATACAAAGATTCAGTTTTATCTAAGCCAAAGCTTAGACGGTTCAAACAAGGCTAGGTCTTCTTCAAGGCTCAAAGCCACCTTCCATTATCTGTCCCCCACACCAAGGGAAGGGCATGTCCACCAGGCCTGACGGATCTACCATAGGAGGTCCCTGGCTGCCCCTCCCAATGACAACTACCCCCAAATGCTTCTTTCTCCCTTTCCTCTTCTCCTTCTACAATCTCGAGTCTTTACATTTACGAACTTCCTTGACCTAAAATAAAAAAGTGCTTGAAAGGATTCAGAGCGGCCTGGGAGGGCTGTTAGCCTAGAACTAACAAGCCCCTTATTATCAAAGGCCCTGTGCTTTCCCCCAGGCGTCATGAAAGCCACTGCTGCTGGGGGGTAGGTGGGGAGGAGGGTGAGGGACAGTGAAGTGGGGCATTTTTTCCAGATTCCCAGGATGTGGTGAGCCACGTTTAAAAAAGAGTGTGTATATTTATTATTCCAAGCCACTTCAATCATAAGGCGCTTCATGCCTTCTCCCCTTCCTCCCTCCCAGCCCCCAGCCCCCGTGTCACAGTGGCCCTGTCTGGAGGGCCTGGCCATCCAGGGGATGGATGCGGCACCCCCCTTCTCATTCTGCCTTGTGCTCTGCCACAGGCCTGATGAGAAAGCTAAGGCCGTGTGTAAAAAGCAGCAGGAATGTGAAACCTAATTACCCTGTAGCATGCTCAGAAACAGAGTCACTTAGGTGGCCGTGGGGCTCCATGTCTACTCTGTTGGAAGCAGTTCTTTTGGAGGACAGTTGGGTCCCAGGAAGACCGCTGCAGAGGCCTGGGAGCCCCACGGTGGGCTGTTATCAGGCCATCTTGGTGAAGGCTCCTGGGTGGTCAGGCCGACCTCCACAGCAATGCGGATAACATGTGACCGTCTCACCACTTCCTCATAAAGCAGCCATTGCTGTCTCCTTTCAAAAACGCCTCTGGTCACAAAGGGACCCTTCAGGCTGCCTTCCTTGGCAACCCCTGTGTGCAAATAGCCAACTAGGGGTATTTTGTTTGTTGGTTTGTTGGGTTAAAGTTTTGCTTTGACTAGCATTCTTGTAAGGAAAAACAAATAACCTAGGCTCGGTGGGACCCACCTCGGAGGTCTGGTGGGCTCTGCACTTGCATGTCCTCGTCTCCTCCCTCATGGAGGGTCCTTGGGGCTGAGGGCAGGAGGGAGAGGAGTGGGCAAATGCTTCCTCTGGTCCCTCCCATGAGCTGCCTGAGGGATTCCTCCAGAGGGTCTTTGATTTGGTTCATTATTGAGGTGGATGCTTCCAATTTATAATTTAACAAATCTTGCTCCTGAAACGAATCCTTGGGCAGTTGTAAGGAAGGCGGTTGGTGGTGGCGTGGCCTGTTGAATGGGGCAGGCATGGGGAGAAGGGGGTGGGGAGAGCTGGGCCCTGCGTGGGTGGGCGCATTCATTAGTGGAATTTTGCTGTGTGGGCTCCTGGACTGGAGTAGAGCGGAGACCACCAACACCATTCCATGTGGTGGAATTTCCCGCTGTCTGACCAGAATGAGTTCTCCTGGCCTGGCCTGGATGCAGATCAAGACCTGGGGAATAAAGGAACGTTAAATAACTGATTTGCACATGAGTTAAATGTTCTTTCACCTCTTCCTACCGTTACCTCATCCTATGCAACCAACACCTCTTGTCTTTGTGCAGTCTACACATAGGAACCAAATACGTTTCTCAATCTCTCTCTCTCTACACACACACACACACACACACACACACTTATGCACTTCGTGTGTGTTCTGATGTTCTTATGTACTGGCAAAGGCCATCACATACCTCCTTAGACAGGCTCATTTCAATTAATCTAAAAGAAAGTGCTTACATGCAAAATTATATTCATGATGGGACACAATATATTCATGATGGGACACAATATCCCACTAAGCACAGGATATGCAGACCACAGAAGTACAATAGTGTGTCCATGGGTGTGTGTGTCTACATTTCATTGTGTGTGTGTAGGTTGAAAGTATCACAGTTGGTTTATACAATTACTACATTCATAACCCCTTGTCTGTGGTTAGGACGTAGCTTTGAGGAAACTTTTTCCAAGTTTCTGCTGACCTTTAGGGGAGAATATCTCTGGATAAGTTAACCTGTAGAACAGATTCCCTCATTTTTGGTAGAGCTGGGGCTGAAAATGACAAGATGTGAAATCCAGGTGGTGCACTGAACCTTCTAGCAAAAGCTTCAGCATTTCTCAGCTTTTAAACATCTTTTGCTACCAACTAGTGTTGCAAAGACATAAGAACTAAAACCAGGGATTAAATCTAGTCTGGTATTCTGACTTTATCAGCAGTTTAGAGAGGGTAATTTGTTGGGAAAAAGTTGCTACATGGAACTTTGGCTTTAAAACCCCAGGCTTTCTTTCAAATCCTGCTCCAGCGCCGTCTTGCAGGAAGGCACTCCACCCCATCTCAAGCTTGTTTCCAGGCTGAGCCGGAGTAGCCTCATGAGTTAAGACAGGCACAGACTTAAGGCTTAAGCATAAAGCAGCACTTCTTTTCATTCCTCTTGTTAGCCAGACCATTTTCTACCTTGCGAATACATTTGAATCCCGTGGGGGTTTTAGAGGAAGAATAACCCCCATAGGTTCTTAGTTGGAAGGGACCCCTGTAACAAAAGACAGATTAACAAGAGAAAAACAAGCAGAAGTTTATTAACATGTATATTTTCTATAATGAGGAGTTCTCAAAGAGATGGCTTTGAATTCTAGTTTCACAGCATCCTCATCAAAGGACAGTAAACTTTTAGAGATGTGACAAGGGAAAAAACACTTTGAGTCTCTAGGGGCAGCAACTTCGGGGGATAGCAAATGAATGGCAGATAAAGGCCAGTTAGCAAAGCTTGTTCAATGTAGATTCCTGCAGGGCCATCTCCAGGAGCATAAGCGTCTTAAGTTGTTTTCAGTGGTTCTCCCTGGTAGAAGGGGGGAGGCAAGATACGTTTTGTCTTTGTAAATCTACGTCCTGCTTTTAGACAAATAGAGGGAGGGCAGAGAGCTTTACTGCCTCTGTTTCTTCTGAATTGTCTTCATCTCAACAATCCTTCCTATTTTGGGGGTGGCATATCCTGGTTTCCCACAGGGTCTTGTTACGAAGCAGATATTGAGGTAGTGGATCTGGGGCAAGGCCTGAGAGCTCCCAGGCGATTCGGACACTGTTGGTCCAGGGCTGTGCTGTGAGAAACAGGGTTCTGAGCAGCTGTCTCTGTGAGGAAGCATGCTGGGTGTGCCTCCTTCATCATTGTCACCCCAGACCCCAGCTCAGCATCTGACCCAGGGCAGATGGTCCATCAATATTTGTTAAATGAGAGAAAAAAAAGTATACAAACACTTCAACACACCTCTACCTTGTCTATGCCTTTGCTTGGGAGATGATGACGGGGCCTCATCAGAGCCACGGGCACGTCCTCCAGCCACTTCCTGTCCCCGCTGTGGAACCTCACCTTTTAAATCTGTCCCCATGTTGCAGACTCCCCTATGCTCTGACTGTATTTATTTAAAACTTCCCAGTCCCCATTTAAATCCTATGATGTTCTGTGACTAGCATTGTCTTTGACGTGAGAACATACAATGCTTTTGTAGCCTCTGTTATATGATATCAAGCTTCATGGTGAATAATCTCACTTAGAACCAATCAATAAAAGAATGCAAGAACCTGAGCAGCTCTCCTCACTAGGATGGCCAGTGTGCTGGCGGGCTTCGCTGAAGTGGGATTTTTCTTTTCACCATTATTTTTATAACCACATTCAAGGGAAATTCTATTTGGTGTTAAAAGTGATACTTCACCAAGAGTCAAAAGAGAAAACACAGAAGGCTAAATTCTAGACTTTTTTCAGCTAGCAGCCAGAGGTCAAATTATTTTTCTAAGACCCCTGGTGGACAAAGCATTTAATGATCTGGATCAAGGTAAATAAAATACGTTTCTCTGGCCGGGCGCGGTGGCTCATGCCTATAATCCCAGCACTTTGGGAAGCCGAGGGGGGCGGATCACAAGGTCAGGAGTTCAAGACCAGCCTGGCCAATATGGTGAAACCCCATCTCTACTAAAAATACAAAAAAAAAAAAAATTTAGCCGGGTGTGGTGGCGGGTGCCTGTAGTCCCAGCTACTCGGGAGGCTGAGGCAGGAGAATGCCATGAACCCAGGAGGTGGAGCTTGCAGTGAGCCGAGATCACACCACTGCACTCCAGCCTGGGTGACAGAGCGAGACTCCATTTCAAAAAAAATAAAAAAAATAAAATATATATATATATATGTATATGTATGTATATATGTGTGTGTGTGTGTGTATGTGTGTGTGTGTATATATGTTTCTCTGTGCTAGTGTCTAGAACCTCTTCCCTTCCAGAACATTCTGGGGAGGGGAGGGTTGAGCCACGTGATTTCTCAGACCTCCTGCACTCAGCTCTAACTCTGATGGTCTCATGCCCACTGATGTTTGCAATGATAGTTATCCATGTTCTGTTTCCATTGTGGGGACCCTAAGATGAGTTTTACTCAACATTTTGCCCAGGTCTGAAACTGCCTCAGTCCTACCTGAGTCGTTTGGCAGAGAGGTTGATGCTAACCTATGCTTCTCTCTTGGCTCTGATAACAAAGTGGCTGGGACTCTGTGGGAGGGTATCTCAGGCCAAACTAATTGAATCCCTTCATCTATCCTCAAAAGACCAAGGGCTACTATTATACAAAGAAAGGGAACTGTTGTTCCTCTACAGAGTTAAAGCTTATTACATAAGTATATAAATAGAGTCACATGATTTTAGGGTCCTTCATCTTTCCTCAAACCCCACTGAACGGCTTATTCTTTCAACAAATACTTATTCAGTACCATACGCTGTGCAAGGTGCTAGAATAAAAGTGAAATAATGAGGCTGAGCGCGACGGCTCATGCCTGTAATCTCAGCACTTTGGGAGGCCAGGGCAGGCGGATCACGAGGTCAGGAGTTCAAGACCAGCCTGGCCAATATGGTGAAACCCAGTCTCTACTAAAAATACAAAAATTAGCCAGGCGTGGTGGCACGCGCCTGTAGTCCCAGCTACTTGGGAGGCTGAGGCAGAAGAATTGCTTGAGCCAGGGAGATGGAGTTTGCAGTGAGCTGAGATCGCACCATTGCATTCCAGCCTGGGTGACAGAGCGAGACTCTATCTCAAAAAAAAAAAAAAAAAGCGGAATAATGACATGTTGGCATGTTGGCAATACCTATGTATATTGGCAAATGTTGTGTTTGGCTGTTTGTAATAGAAGCCTGACTACAGTGGCTAAAGCAAACATGTATTTTATTAGCAAAACCTATATAGCATTTTACTATGAACCATGCCCTGTTCTAAGCACTCTTGATAAATGTTTACTTCTTAAGAGGAATTTGCTTTTCTCACATGACAAGAAGTCCAGAGAGTAGAGAGTTCCAGGCAAATGTAGTTGCTGAAAGAAGTCGAGAATTGAGCTGCTGCTTAGAGCTCCTAATTCTCCATCTTTCGTGTGTGACTTTCATTCTTGTTTCACAGGATGGTTGCTCCACCCCCAAACATCACATCCGCATTCCAGACAATGCCAGCCGCATCTATCTTATCTTTCCCAGAAGCCCATTGATTAATTTCTACCGATATCTCTTTAGCCAGAACTTGGTTATTTGGCCTTCTGTAGCTGAAATTCTGGGAATCTAGGAAGATGAGTATTTTTGATAGGGCACATTGCTACCCTGAAAATATATATATATATGGGCTCTGTCTTCTACTAGTAACAAATAAAAGGAGACTGAATTCTTGTATATTCAATTCTTATATATTCACTTTCAAGTTAAGGTGATATTTTTTCTCTCTCTGGTGAAAATACCTGTCCTAGCCATTGCCAAAAAGGACACACTATTTTAAATTCTCCTTTGGTGCTGGAAAAATCTGAGTCATTTACCCCCTACTAGATTTCAGGAAACAGAAGTATAAAATTGCACATTTAATTTGCTACACACTTCAAACTTTAGGAGATGCAAGACTCATGTAGTAAAAGCTGTGCAACTCAAACATCCAATGGGTAGCTTCTCCCCACAAACTGTAATTTTTGCTGGGGCACATTAGGGTATCCAGGGAACTGCTCTGAGCAAGGGGGAGGGAGGTCCAGGTGTACTTGTAGCATATCTGGGGAATTCTGTGTAAGTATCAGTCACCCCCAACCTTTAAGGTTGCCCCATTTCACATCTGTTATGATGAAGGCTTTCGGCTGGGGGACTGTGGTTCTGGCTGTAGAGTCAGAATGAAAGGAACAGCTGAATATCCCTGTTCATGTCAGCATTTCAGGGCAGAGGATGAGTCAAGCACGATGTTTACTGAGCAGAGCCAGAGGCAAGAGCCACTTTTTTCTTGCAGCTCTAAGAATTTTTTGTTGCTTTTTTTGTATGCTTTGTTTCTCATACATCAGCATCATCATGCGTTGCACATACACATTGTACATAACAACTGCTTACAGCATGCCGGGCACTGTACTAAGCCCTCTGCAGGTGATGACTCAATTATTGCTCCCAGCAACCCTCTAAGGTATGCCATGTTATGATCTCCACTTTGCAGAGAAGGAAACAAGCACCGGTTAAGCAACCTGCCCAAGCTAGTATGTGTCAGGGTCAGGACCCCAGCCCAGGCAGCTGGTCCCATGATCTGTGCTCTTGACTTGCGTATATTAACATTTAATATAATCCACTATTTAATATGTATGTAGTGCTGAATTAAACAAGAGTGTGTCATTTAGGAAATGGTGATCAAATCAGTTCACGATCCGATGAATACTCAATGAATGACTACCATGTGTATTTCCTTAAATATACTCAACACTTCCCACCTTCCCCATCAGGGTCCTCACCCAGCAATCCATGTGGGGAAAGGGGCACAAAGTTGGCCCACAGTGGGCACCGAATAGATGCCTGTTTAACAAATAAAAGAATGGGCAACTGGAAGAGAATTTGTAGGATATTCACAGAATCACCAAATCCAGTAATTATTTCAGTCTAGCATTGCAGTGGCACAGAGGCAGTTTTTAAGTTTGTGAATGGCTCTTATGTAAAAGATGTGGCTATTTGAGGATGAAACAAGACAAAATGTGGTGAATGTACTTCAGCCTAAGTGTTTTGGGGGAGGGAGAATTGAGAAAAATCTCTAGGTCTAAACGCTGGAACGGATGACTGATAAAGTTAGAATCTCTCTTAACCAGCTCATTCTAAGTGTGTGAGCATCCGCATTAAACCTAATCTATGGCCTGATACTTAAAAATAACCTGTTATAAAGTAACCATAAAAAAACTCACAGATTTCAGCCTGATTCATTTGGCCACATAAACTACAATCAGCATTAATAGCTTCCGTCAGCATTTATGCCGTACTTTCTATTAGCACGATGGGTTCTACAATCATTTATGAGTTTCTGGAAAGTCTAATAGAAAACACACGTACATGTTCTCTGTGGAAAATACACAATAGGTTTTTGGGGAGTTTTTTGTTTGTTTGTTTGTTTGCTCAGGGATAAGCCAGAAGGTGTCGCCACTGCCCCATGGCTAAAGTCTGGGCCGGGTTCCCTAACCAGAACTTCTCCCCTGATCACTCCTGAGCTCGCTAGCTCTGCAGCTTCCTCCCACATTCAGTCAGTCTCTCTCTCTCTCTCTCTCTCTATCTCTCTCTCTTTCTCTCTCTCTCTCTTCCTCCCTTCTCCTGTTGATAAATAAACATTCAGGCAGCTTACATGCTACAGATGAGTACACAAAAGGAAACTTAATTCGAAGACCTAAGTGATAATCTTTCTCTTCAAATCTACTGTGGCTTTTAAGAGGTTTAGAAAATTATTTGGATCTGGAGTCCCTACCTCCCTTCATACTTTAAGAAAATATTATACTAAAGGCATGCTAAAGTTGTCCTAAATGTTTACCATGCTGGTGTTTTAAACATAGCCAAATACTGGCCAAAGTCTCTTGCCTTTAAAAAAAATATGCATTTTGTTGTTGTACTAATACTTCTGAACATACGCCAAATATAAGGGTGATTTGTGGAGCTGTATTAAATAAAAAGATGCTTCTTTATAAGAATCCCCTATAGAGCTTGGGGAAGCAGCTATGTGGAGAATCTGTGTCTTCCTTAAGAAAGTTTCTGAATTCCTTGGAAATACATCAGAAAACACCCCATTCTCCCCACCACAGAGGAGGGTGGGCAACCAACAGTGTCCTATATCCCAACCCACCATAATTGTAAGACTTAAACGCTATCTTTCAAATAAAGAATCATTTACTGGCTTCTTACTGGAAAGAACTATAGGAGCTTGTCATTTAATTCATCCTCCCCTCTGAGGCTGAAATTCTTTCTAGAACAAACAAATAATACCCATGGCACCACGTGCTGCACACTCTCTGTAGCCCAGCTGACGCCACACGAGGGAACAGTGGGGAATCTGTTGAAGTTGCCATTGCATTTTGCTTTCTCATAAACCGCTGTTTGTCTTTCTGCCTTTCCTGTTTTTAGCAGTGCCTAGAAACGGAGGCCTGGGAATTGCCTCCCCCATGTGAGCCCCTGGGTTGTTCACACCCAGGGCCAATTTGACAACATCCTCCTCTCTGGCTATGAGGCCAAGTCCAGTGTTCTTGGTTCAGTGCCAAAGGTGGACATGAACTCTCTAAACTGTCAAACTAAGAAAATGTGACACACCCATGTGGCCTGGAGAGAGCAAAGCCAAACCCAAAGAGATGCTTCCAGGCAACTTTAGATCCCTAACATGTTAGGAAAGTCAAGAGCAAGCTTCATCCTGCAAGCTCTCCAGGATTCTCCTTGGACCTGGAACATGCTAGGATGTTCAGATAAACTTCACTTCAGACACTGAATTTCTGCCTTGAGCTATCTCTTCTCTCATCTTTCTCTCGGTGTCTTCTTCCCCTTCATCCTCTCATAAACCCAAGTTCTATAGCTGTAATAATAATAATAGCAGTTAACTTTAATCAAGTCTCACTCTGCACCAGACACTAGATGATGTGAACCTGTGAACAAGCATAACTGAGGATTCAAACCCAAATCTCTTATGGCAGAGTGAATGTGCTGCTCTGCTACTGTGTTTGTTATCAGAAGCCATGGCTCCCCGACATACTCGACCCAGATTCTCTGTTTCTTCCTTGATGAAACCAGTGACATGCAAACATAGCCAGAGGGCCCAGGCACAGCAGAGAGCGTCCCATCAGACCTGATAGAAAGTCCCCTTCCCATCTTCTAAAACCTTGCTGCCATTTCTGACTTCATGTGGTCTAAGAATCTGGTGTAGACATTATTTAAAAGACAAAGGGACCTGAAAATCAGCCCCCCCTTACCTGCCATGAGTCCTAGAAAGGTCACTGCGGATGAGAAAACCCCAGTTTCCACCTGCTTTATAATTTTGCCTTTGTGTGGTCATTCATACTCATATAACCTAACTGTAACTGGGCTACTGTTCTCTTTCTTTAAGGACTTTGGCAACTGAGAAAAAAGCTACATGACTCATTTCTAAAACCTGAAAGATGAATGCAGATCTTTATGTAAAGTTTTCTGGTGGGGGAGGGGATTGGTTACACTGCCCATCACAGAGCTGAACATCCTCAAAATCCCCTTAGAATATCTTTGCCTCTCCTCAAAATTGAGCTCGTTATAGCAGCATCTACATTTCTGCCTGCTTGGCCTGCACCTGCCCTTTTCCTCACCCTCCCAATCCTCCTGGGCCCTGCTGGGGCTCCTACATCCCGCTTGCTCCTGGATCTTTGGCCTAGTCCATCTGATCTCTCTCAGTGTCTCTTCCTCTTGTCCTAGCTGCCTGTGGAAAGAAAGGCTTCTTCTTCCAACAGATGAGTAAGTGGTGATATTCTTCTTATTATTATTTTTTGTTTCCATCACGTTACCATTCACGTTTTAAACTATCAAATGTCAACAAGTGTGGCCATCTTTGTATTTTCTCTTCAAAAATATGTGATGGCCAGAGACATCTCCGTCTGCCATGGTCTTTCTCAAACCACCACTGTACTTTTTTTGCACCCTTTGGTTATATCAACATGATCTCAAATGAGAAGATGAAAAGTAAAAACTTCATTCAGTGCTCCAGGTATTTCTCAATATCTAGATATTTCTTTCCTCCTAGGAAAAATCCAAATGGATTTCTCACTTTTTGACCAGATGTTTCATTGTCACACAGCCCGTGTGACAGCACTGGCCCCTAGTACAGGCAGAGTTGAAAAGTGATGTGATGGGTCATGGTTGCCCCTCTACTCAGAGAAAACTCCTTCTTGACCTCATCACGGTCGCTGAAAGTACTAAGAATTATATCTGAAATCAAGCACTGGTAGCAGAACACAAATATGTTACCAAATTAGTTGGAAGGTAAGGCATGGGGGAGTCATGAGGGGAACCCCATCCTCTTTTGTCAGGGGAATGAGAACATTTTGCAGCACCTGTCAGGCCACGTGAATACCCAAGGAGTGATGGGACAGTCCTTGCACCCAGAAGTGGCCTTGCAGAGTAGAAGGAGTTTATGTTTTAGAATCTAATAGCCCTGCGCTTAAATCCTGGGCTTTGCACCTAAATTATAATAGAGCTAATCGATTGAACATTTTTTTCTCTCTGTCACTCTGAGTACGTGATTCTAATCTGCCCTAGGCATTCATTGACCTCAGAGAGATTAGGATTTCTGTAAAAGGAACTCTAAGACAGAAAAAAGAATTCAATATTCAGCTTTTGATCTTCAAAATAGCATTTTCAACAAGACAGTAGACTTTTACCCAACCTATTGTCTAAGATGTTCTAAACTCTTTTATTTCTCAATTTTTACCCATCAAAAACCCTGCCTGGAGGCCTCGACTCACAGAGTAGAAACAGTTGTACTGGCTATGCAGCAAGGCCGCGAGGCTTTCTGCTCAATGATTGGTGGGCCATTTGACCTGGGAAAACTAAAAGAAAAGCCCACCCTTCCTAGCACAGGGGAGTTGGGGATGAAGAAGAAAGGAGAGGTGGTGGGGGGGAGGGTCAGGGAACTAGAGCATGTTAAGAGCTCCGTGTGGTGCTTTGCTTGGGTATCCTTCCAGATTGTGGAGGGAGGCAAGCAGCCCACCTGTAACCCCCACCCAGCATCCCCATGGTTACTCTGGAAGGAAGCAAACAGAAGAAATGCAGAACCTGTATTCGCTTTCCAAAGCCTTCCACCCATAGATTCCAGAAACCCCATCTCCCCAGTGCTGTGAGGTCACAGGGGCCTAGTCCCCAATTCCCAGTGCCACTGACTCAGGAAGGAGAGCAAGGAGGGGCAGGTTCTCTGGGAAACTGAGCATATCAATGCAAAGAGACAGAATTCTCTAGGGGGACTATTTAGATGATTACATCAGACTAGGTTATAATCCAAAATGGACGAAATTAAAGTTGTTGTTGTTTTTCCACCACCCAGAGGTTAGGAGCTTGTAAGGAAGACCATAGCAGTTGAAAACAAAGCAAGGCACATTTCCATTGTACGTCCCAGGAGTAGTTTGAATGGTTTAAGGACCAGCTATGTGTGTGCTTGCATAAGCGTATGTGCCCTGGGTAAGTCTAAGACTCAGTTTCTTCATCTGTTGAATGACGATGAATAATATTTTCCATCTCAATAGCCTCATTGTGTGTTTAAATGGTAGTTGCATAAACATCCCTAGCTCACTGCGGGAATTCAGTGAGTGTATTTCCTTGCTGGTGCTAAGGTATGGGACTAGGGCAATAAAAGGAACAAGATAGGGCAGAGGGTACTCGGCCCAGGCCAGTGCCCAATAACCACAACCTCCTTCTCCATGGAGAGTTGAACAGACACCCATCCAATCTACAGACAACGGTCACAGGTGGGTTCCTGGTTTTTATTTTGCTGCAACACACATACAAGAGAAAAACCATATATGAGAAGTTGAGCGTGCAGCCACCTGGGCCCACAGAGCTGTTCTCATTCTTTCAAAGACCACCTTTGATATCTGCTCCTCTCCATGTGAATTTTGAGCCCCAGGAGTCTGCTTTGCCTTATGCTCATCAGGACCTGTGCTGCACTGAGTTTGCCAGCAAACCAGGGCTGAGCTGTTCTTGCAAGAACTTGTTGGAGGCTGGGTTAGAGTCTTGGCTCCCCAGTCCCCATTCAGCCTCCATGCCCTGGTAAGAATATATTATTTTCTTAGCTCAAATTGCTGTTTCCAAGTCATTATTTCTCTACGACGAGAAAACAATATTGGGTCTTATGTAATATCAACCTCAATGAATCTGGAAGTGATCATGGAATGGGTGGATTTTTTTTCCTCCTTAAAAAAGAGAAAAATAAATCTAAGATTGTTTGCATATGGCTCAGAATATTTATGAACTATTCCCCTTGTTTCCTCATCACATATTTTACCCAGTGCATTTGTGTGTGGTACAGAATAAATCTGTATGGGGAGCAGAGGCGGAGAGGGGAAGAAAGCAGTTAAAACACTGGGTATCTATCAAGTCCCTGGGATGTTAGTGATCCTGCGTCTTGGGTGCCCCAACCCTAGGCTCACTTGCTGTAGTTGGAGGGATACCCCCATCTAACTACTCAGAGTAATTATGTGGAGTGAGGATATCAAATATTTACGAGGAATTAAACACAAAGAATTAACATCTTTTTGTTGCTCTAGTTTCTTTCACATCCCCCTTGTTCCTACCAGAGCAGAAAGTTCAAATAGTTTCATGACCTGTGTACCATCAGTCAAAAGAGATCATTAAATTCTATGGATGGCAGATTGAGCCAGGGTCAGAGGAATGAGTTGGCAGGTGGGAGGAAAAGAATTGGCAGAGCGTATAGTGGGTACTGCCATTTGCTATCCGATAATATGGTAGTGTTTCAGCACACAGGCATGTTGTGTCTATTTTGCTATGGGTGTGCCTTTCAACACAGCTTATCACCAAGGAGCATCCCAAGGGAGTATAAGGAACAGGGCTTTGGCTGTATACTAAATAAGTAAGGGAAGCAAATCTCCAGGCTATTGATTTTCCTCTCCAGGGAGTTGGCCACAAATTTGGAGCTTCTTAAAATCACCCATTCTCCACTGCACCTTGGGATATTCAGGAATATATTGACCAAGAGTATGGGGCAAGGAACAGAGAACAGGAGGACCCCACGTTTGGTAAGGCAATAGCAACAACTACCATTAATTGATGTCCTCGTATTGGCCAGGCACTGTATTAGGTGCTTTCCCTGCATTATCTGAGTTAACCCCAGCAGTGGTCTTAACAGGGTGAAGGATCCTTAGTCCCGTTATTGAGATGAGAAAGCAGAAACTCAGTGAAGTAGAGGAACTTGTCCAAGGTCACATGTAAGTGCCAGGATCAACGACATTTGTGGGATTTATGAAGCCTTAAGGCAATACAATAAGTACCAATACAGAATTCTTGAAATCAGATCCAAGCGCTTGGAAGGGACCCAGGAAAGCAAGACACCTTGAAGCTTAAGGCTCAGCAGCTTCCCAGTGAATTCACCCTGGGCGGCCTTGAGATTTAAACACAGTTTAGTCCCAGGCCTTGCAGTCCTTTCCCTGTTGCCTTGTCTCCTCTTCCTCTACCACGGCTGTTACCAACTGCAGCCCTCACATTCCTGGTCAAAAATACACAAACCCAAGTGAGGAGACTGATACACAGAGGGTGCCTTCCAGAATGTGCTGACTTGGAAAGCTCCATGGAATGTCACAGTTGCAACATGAATCAACAATGATTCCTGTCACCAGACTTGATGCCTTCCATCTCGAGGAATTACCGGAGGGATATAAAGAACTATCTTCCCAAGGAACTTCAATCACTGCTCTAGGCTTTTCACCAAATTTCATGATATTTCCCAGACCTGGTGACATGGGCACAGACTTGTGCAACAGCCCACTCAGGTCTCCAGGGCCATTTGAGATTAGAACCTGCAATGTCTCATCTCCTATCGTATGACTCTTTCCCTCAGATGATATTAGTTGGTCAAATTTTGACAGGCCCAGTATTTGATTCTTCCTTTCTTCATTATAATCAAGATTTTGCTGTAATCTCCAGGAATGAAAGGGGTAGAGGGATTGAGCAAGCAAACAAATAAATCACAAGTGCTTCAGGGAGAAAAGCATAATAAGCATTGTTTAGTACCCACCCTCTGCCATTGCCTTTGAATAGCCTTGCAATCCCATCACAGTCTAGACAATTATTAAGGAATATACTGCATTTTCCCAGCCCTGCTTACTCTGTTCTCCCAAACTGGAAACACAAAGCAGATGATGAAGTAGTTCAAATGCCACACCAGGGAGAAGAAAGTATTGAGAAACTATGCCCAACCTCCAGGCAGTTTTCAAACATTCCAGTAAGTGTTCAATTGATTTATCTTGGGCTGGTGTCTTTCCATTGTCTCAAACAAAAGGCCTTCTATGAAAAGACAAAAAGTGGGTTATGAGAGGAGTGGCTAACAAGGCACACTTGGGAAAATCTGAACAAGAGTACAGCCCTCTTGGCTTTGCCTCCAGAAGGCAGTGTCCGCCTTGTATCTACTGGAATGAACAGCAGGATCGACTTCCATTATCTCAGTGTCAGGCTCTAAACCAGAGTCTGGGGATGGGGCTGATGACACAGGTGCAGTGACTGATGCCCTGGTCAGCCATCTCCTCCATGTTTGTCCTTTGAGCTCAAGTAGAAAGTTTCTATGGTAGTGTTCTCTGATTAGAAAGGACTACGAGATTCTGGGCAAAACGATTTTCAGTGATGATGGCTTCCCACAGTTGTTCTTTTGGGTATTTTGTCTGCTTTTGTGTCTAAATAAATTATGTGACAGATAATTATTTGACCAAGACTGTAAAAGCCTTCTCCCATGTTATGTTCCTTTGGGTGTTCATTCCTTGAGTCATAATCATGACAGCTTTCTGTGCAGCTGGGGGTTGCACATTTGTGGTGGAGCCCTTCCATTTGAGACAGCAGTGATTTTTAGAACAAGCTTCCCTAGAGTAACCCAAGTGTTCTTCCCTGGTACCCATCACTTCTCTGGGGGTGACATCAAAAAGGGCTGTTCTATTCCCCCTGTCAAGTCCCCCTGAAGGCCTTGTCCCCAACTCTTCTTGGGTTGGGTTAGCTATAGTTAATACTTCCACAATATCTGATGCATATCTTTGTCTTGGAACTTCTATATAGTTTATATTTACCCATTTAATAGCCTTTTCTTCCTAAAAATGTAATATGTAGGTTGATGTGGAATATTAGCAAATTATAGATAACCAAAACTTTTTAAAAAAATGGCTAGTATTGGCCAGGCATGGTGGCTCTCACCTGTAATCCCAGCACTTTGGGAGGCCAAGGCGGGCCGATCATGAGGTCAGGAGATCGAGACCATATTGGCCAATATGGTGAAACTCCGTCTCTACTAAAAATACAAAAATTAGCTGGGTGTGGTGGCTTGTGCCTGTAATCCCAGCTACTCGAGAGGCTGAGGCAGGAAAATCGTTTGAACCAGGGAGTCGGAGGTTGCAGTGAGCCCAGATCACGCCACTGCACTCCAGCTTAGTGACAGAGTGAGACTCTGTCTCAAAAATAAATAAACAAACAAATAAATAAATAAATTGGCTAGTATTATTTCACTTACTGCAACCTCTGCCTCCTGGGTTCAAGCGATTCTCTTGCCTCAGCCTCCCGAGTAGCTGGGACTACAGGCGCGTGCCACCATGCCCAGCTAATTTTTGTAGTTTTAGTAGAGACGGAGTTTCACCATATTGGCTAGGGTGGTTTCGATCTCTTAACGTCATGATCTGCCCGCCTCGGCCTCCCAAAGTGCTGGGGTTACAGGTGTGAGCCACCACACCCAGACTGTGTTTCTATATTTATGTATTTTTTTCAAAGCAAAAGATTAGCTAGTGTTTATTGTTTGGTTAGAGTTTGCCTTTTCAGCCTATTTAGTACACTTCTACTGCATTGTGTTAATGGTTTCCAGGTATTCTGCAGTGTGTGGGGAGCTGGCAGTGTGATGAAGGGGACAGGATTCTAGATGAGCTACTCCACTCTGAAGACCCTATGACTGTATCCACTGGCAAGAAGTTTGAATAAAGGCCCTTTTACTCTTTCATGCCAGCTCTTGAAAGAGGCCTAACCAAGGCTCTAAAGAAATTGGATGACTACCTGAACACCCCTCTACCAGAGGAGATTGACGCCAACACTTGTGGGGAAGACAAGGGGTCCCGGCGCAAGTTCCTGGATGGGGATGAGCTGACCCTGGCTGACTGCAATCTGTTGCCCAAGCTCCATGTGGTCAAGGTAAGAGAGCTCTACCCACAGGGGCCTGCAAGATCCAGCTCCATCTTAGGCCCAGGTCACCTGTGTGGATGAGTCAAGGACAGTACCACCTGTTGGTCAAGAACCTGGACCCTGAAGTCAGGTAATAAGGACCCAAGGTCACCCTCTGCTGCTTGTTGGCTGTGTGGCCTCCTTGAGCTTCAGTTTTCATTTATAAAATAGGCATATATTGCTTACTTCAAGTGTTGGTGGAAGAGTAAATACAGCGTGAAAGTGCTTGGCATATTGTGGGGGCTTAATATGTGTAATAGTCGCAATTATCGTTGTTGTATACAGTCATATCACTCCAAAGGCCTCTTCCTCATAGGATTTCCCTGGCTACACCCCTACAGCTCTATTAAATGTGCCCTCATATGCATTTTTTCTTTGTGCACAGACCCACCTTCTCACTTCCTCCAGCAACTTCCTAAGGTGAGCCCACATTATTTTCCTCATCTATCAAATGAAGAGGTGGAGGTTGCAAGAAGTGATGTCACTTTCTTGCTATCATTGCACTTACTAACCATTTGCAGCATGTAGTGTCATCCTCTCCTATATAACAAACCCTGGGAATCTGAGAGTTGGAAAGGACATTTAGAGGTCATCCAAAACAATCTCCCACTTCAACCTGGACCACTTTCTGCTGTTTCTGTGACAGGCTTCTGTGAAGCTGTGACTGCAGCCTCTGAGAACGAGGAGCCCTCTGCTTAATGAGCCAGCCCTACCATGTTAGATAGCTCTGATTATTAAATCATTGTTCTTTACAATGAGCCCAAGCATGCCTCCCTGCTATCCATTTTTTCTCTAGAGTAACAGAGAACAGCTTTGCTTGCCTTCACCTCATTTGAAGACAGTAGTTGTATCCCCCTAAGCTCTGTCAATGAGCACTTCTTCCCCCATTCTTTCCTGACCCTCGTCAGCCTAGTATCAGATAGCCATACTGTGCTCTATTTTACGCATGCTTATATCTTACTGTCTCAGCCAGACAGCAAACTCTGTGAGGAAAGGAACTTTTTAAAGTGTGATGGTGGGCACACAGTGGCCATTCAATAAATACTCATTGATTGATCATTTGATCACCTGGTGTAAGTCTTTACGATATCCAGTTTATTTCTATGCTTCACTGAGAAGACTCAGATTCAATCATCTGTCAGCTGAGTATATGCCTATTATTTTTCAGCTCAAGTCCCGAGTCAAAAATGCTATCTCCTCTCCAACCAGAGCATGTACCAGCTTGAGCTGAAGTCACTCAGTTGTGTGTACACTGGTGTTTCCGTATGCCTTAGAGCTGAAGACTGAGAGGGAATCATGCATAAAAATGGAGTGGGCAAATACAACCTATTTAGAAAAGAACATTTTGGATTTGGGGCCAAGCCAATAGTCACTTGTAGGTCCAGCCAATCTATGTCTCTTTGAAGTTATTAACTACTGCATGCCCCACCCATCATCCTTTATTCTTCTTCTCCTTAGGAACAAGTACCACTGAAAGGGATGATATAATTCCAGCTCAGTCACACTGTGTCAGAGTGATACAATGCAAAGATCAGGAGACCCGAGTTCCGGTCCTGTATTTGCTGCCAACTAGCAGCATGAGCTGAGGCACATCATTTAATCTTTTTGGAATTCATTTTTCTCATGCCTAGAAGAACAGAAGTGGATTGTATTCCTTCTTGCCTTCTTTTCCTTTCTTCTTTCCCTCCTTCTTTCCTTTTCTCTTGCTCAAACATGTATTCACTACCACTCAAAAACCATTTGTTGAACAAAGCAAACAAATGAATCTCCCAAGCCTTGGGCTTCATCCTGTGATTTCCTCAATTCCCACCTGCCTTAAATTACTCAGTGAAGCCCTGTCCTTGGAGAAAATTCAGTGGGTGGTTAACCCAGAGAAGCTGGAGATCAAAAAGAAGATGGCCAATGAAAGAACAAAGGCCAGCCCTTGGCCCCTATCTCTTTGGATTTCTGCTGATCCAGCTTATCAGATCCCAGAAACCTGGCAAACCTCTAAAGTTCACAAAGAGCGAAGGGGAAGCCAAGTCAGGCCTCCAGTTTGGCTTCGGATGCCAAAACTTAATCTGGGCTGTGGGAGCTAACTGTTTTCATATGAAAGAGCAAATTCAGAACATGAGCATGGAAGTCCCTGCGAACGTCAGATCTCCGTGTGCATCCTTACCCCCTTGCTGCTTTCATGCTCACTCTCCTCTTGCGTGGCTCGCTTTCAGGTTTATCTCCATCCCTGGAAGCAGAGTTGCTCTGGCCCAGGCTCTCCATGAGAGTTTGGCTTGAACATTCATTGTCTGGCCCCCTCCTAGTTCTCATCTCCCAAAGTCAAGCCAATGTGTGAAGAAATGACCAGCTCAGCAGCCAAGGCCCAGGGTGCACAGGTCTTCGTTGGGAGAGGCATCTGCAGGCCTTTCCTTGCTCACTGGGATCCTTGCCTAGCATAGTGACGATGTTCAGCCCTGGAGACAAACAAGAAGGGGAACACCAACATCAATAGAAGTATATATTTACAAATTGCATTTCTGCTGTATTGAAACTAACATTCTGCCCTTTAAAATCCTGAAAATAAAATTTCAGTATGAAATGACTTGAGGCTACTCTATGAATCAGTGTGTCACTGTGAAAAATACTTTTGGATCCCTTTATCTTATTGGAGACCCTTTTCATCCACTCTGATAAATTCCAGCCAGTTCTCTTGGTCAGGCCACCACTCCTGCATGAATTTGCTCTTAGCCAAGACAGCCTCTTCTCAAAGGAACTTGGCCCAACCCAAGGGATCATCATCTTTCAGTGAACAGAAAGGGACTGGGGAGATATCGTGGTGGCATCTCTCATTGTGAGAGCTTTATCAAAGGACTCGGACTTCATCACCCTTGCTTGTAGTTACCTAAGCCAGACAGAACAGTGTGGGGGTGGCTTCTTTGGTGCCCACACCAAACCAGTTATTTTAACAGAGAGAATTTAAGGAAGTACTATGTAGTAAAGAACTGGAAAGGCAAAATATACTAGGAGGTTCTACCTTCAAGAGGCAGCTACTACTCCTAGGGCAGGAGGAACAAAGGGAAGAGGTTGGAATTATTAAAACTTACAAACTTAGGGGCTCTGTAGATGAGGGACCCTGCAGAGCTGAATGTCGGTGAAAGTGATGCTCAGCTGGTGCCAGGGTCCAAGCTCAGGTTGGCTGGGATCCAGCCTCTAAAGCAGAGTTCCTGCTATGTGCTGGCCTCTCTGCGTGGGTATGATGAAGTGGTCCTGTGAGTATTGACAAAATAGCAAACTGGATTCAGCTGCTGCTCCCAGAAATAAATGGAGACTCTGACAGAAAGAGGAAGCTGAAAAGCATGGGCTTCTCCCTCCCTTCTCCTCCTCCAACCTTGCTGGCTCTCTCCAGTAACTCCTCTTGGCAGAACCTAACAGGATTCACTGGCAAAGAAGAGATGTGATCTGCTCAGTCCTAGCCCCAGCATCACAAAAAATAGTAAATAGAAGAGTAGGTTTGGAGACAAGCAACAGTAAATTAATGGCTGGAACATGAGGGATTCTGAGTAGACCGACCCATTGCTTTATCAGCTATGTAGGGCTGAGTAGTAAAGTAGAAAGAACTGTGGATTATAAAGCAAGGACTGTAATAAATATTAATGGTAACTCAATAGATATTGGTTAAATTAATTAATTTATCATGTAACATTAAGTCACATAATCTCTTGTAGCTTCAGTTTGCTCATTGCTAGGGATCTTCAGTCTTTAAAATTATTTTATTACACTTGACACTAGAGAACCTTGTCTGATGTACAGATAAGATTGTAAACTTTGAATCCCAACCTATTTAATCTCCCTTTGTCTTGCTTTTCTCATCTGTAAATGGGAATATAATAGATTCTTCCTTATAGGATTATTTAGAGATTTAAGTACCTTGCAAAGTACTTAAAGCAGTCCCTGGAACAGAGCACACAGTGAATAAATGTTTGTTATTATCATTCCTCTGATCAACATCATTATTGAGATTATCAAGGAGTACAGAAGTGAAGAACCTGTGATTGCTATCCTTACACTGCCCACAAGTTAGAAAAAAAAAGGGTACTGAAACAGTAATCATGATTCAGAATAGATTATAGCTCAGTGTTATAACAGAAGTTCAACACTGGCCTAGGAGCATAGAGGGGAAAAAATGTTCCCAGATGTCTGTGAACATGTCTGCAACAGTGAGTTTTTCATCCATCAAGTCATCATCATCCTTCACTTCAGCATAACTTTCTGGGAAACTCTGCATATTACCAGCACCAAAATGGAGACAAAAGCCCAGAGTGACTGATCTGGGGCTTCTCTGAATGGGAGGATCCCAGGGTCAATGGTCTAGGGCCCTCTCTGAAAATGAAAGCAAGGTAGAAGGTGGATATACAGATACAAGAAATCCAGAGAACACCTGTGAGATACCATACAAAATGAACTTCACCAAGGTATATAGTCACCAAACTGTCCAAGGTCAATGCCAAAGAAAAAAGTCTTAAAGGCAGCTAGAGAAAAAGGTCAGAACACATACAAATGGAACCCCATCAGGCTAACAGCAGACTTCTCAGCAGAAATATTGCAAGCCAGAAGAGATTGAGGGCCTATTTTCAGCATTCTTAAAGAAAGAAATTCCAACCAAGAGCTTCATATCCCACCAAACTAAGCTTTGTAAACAAAGGAGAAATAAAATCTTTTCCAGACAAGCAAGTGCTAAGGGAATTTATTACCATTAGACCATACTTACAAGAGATCCTTAAGGGACTCTAAACATGGAAACAAAAGAATGATACCTGCTACCACAAAAACACACTTGTAAATAGCCAACAGACCCTATAAAGCAAGCACACAATAGAAACTACAAAGTAACCAGCTAACAGCTTCACGAAAAGATCAAAACCTCACATATCAATATTAACCTTGAATGTAAATGATCTAAGTGCCCCACTTGAAAGACATAGAGTGGCAATTTGGATAAAAAATAAGAGCCACTCATCTGCTGTCTTCAAGAGACCCCTCTCATATGTAACAACACCCATAGGCTCAAAGTAAAGGGCTGAAGAAAGATCTATTACACAAATGGAACATAAAAAAGAGCAGGGGTCACTATTCTCATATCAGGTAAAACATACCACAAACCAACAATAGTGAAAAAAAAAAAAAGAACAAAGAAGGGCATTACATAATAGTAAAGGGGTGACTACAACAAGAAGACTTAACCATTCTAAATATATACACACCCAACACTGGAGCACCCAGGTTCACAAAACAAGTACTTCTAGACCTATGAAAAGACTTAGCAACAACACACAATAATAATGGGGGACTTCAACAACTCACTAACAACGTTAGACAGATCTTCGAGGCAGAAAACTAACAAAGATATTCTGGACTCAAATTCAACACTTGACAATTGGACATAACAGACATCTACTGAATACTCCACCCATTGACCATAGAATATACATTCCTTTCATCTGCACACAGAACATACTCCAAGATCAACCACATGCTCAGTCATAAAGCAAATCTCAATAAATTAAAAAAAATAGAAATTATATCAATCATACTCTTGGACCACAGTGGAACAAAAATAGAAATCAACACCAAGAAGATGTCTCAAAATCACACAATTACATGAAATTAAACAACTCACTCCTGAATTACTTTTGGGTAAACAACAAAATTACGGCAAAAGTAAAAACATTCTTTGAAATAAATGAAAACAAAGACACAACATACCAAAATCTCTAGGATGTAGCAAAAGCAATATTACAAGGAAAGTTTATAGCACGAAATGCCTACCTCAAAAAGTTAGAAAGATCTCAAATTGACAAAGTAACATCACACCTAGAGGAACTAGAAAAACAGGAACAAACTAACCTCAAAGCTAGTATAGTAAAAGAAATAACTAAAATCAGAGCAGAACTGAATGAAATTGAGACCCAAAAATTCATACAAAGAATCAATGAAACCAAAAGTTGGTTTTTTGAAAGGATAAAGAAGATCCATAAACCATTAGCTAGATTAACAACAACAACAACAAAAAAGAAAATCCAAATAAGCACAATCAGAAATGACAAAGAAGACATTACAATTGAGCTCACAGAAATACAGAAGATCCTTAAAGACTATTATGAACATCCCTATGCACACAAACTAGAAAATCTAGAGGAAATGGATAAATTCCTAGAAATACACTTTTCAATTGCCTTGAAAACTGTAACAAGACAAGGATGCCCACTCACCGCTCCTATTCAACATCATAGTGGAAGTCCAGAGCAATTGGGCAAGAGAAAGAAATAAAAGGCCTACAAGTAGGAAAAGAAGAAGTTAAATTCTCTCTTTACTGATTATGATTCTATTTCTTGAAAACCCTACAGACTTCACCAAAAGGCTCCTGGAACTGATCAACAACTTCAGTAAAGGTTCAGTATACAAAGTCAATATTCCAAGATTGAATTGGGAAGAAATTGAAACCCTGAACATACTAATTGAGTTATGAAATTGAATCAGTAATTTAAAAAAACCTACCAACCAGTAAAAGCCCCAGACTAGGTGGATTCACAGCTGAATTTTACCTGACATAAAAAGAAGAACCAGTACCAATCGTACTTAAACTATTCCAAAATATCAAGGAAGGACTCCTTCCTAACTCATTCTATGAAGCTAGCACCACCCTGATACCAAAACCTGACAAAGACACAATGAAAAAAGAAAACTTCAAGCCAATATCCCTGATGAACATAGACACAAAAAATTCACAACAAAATACTAGCAAACCAAATCCAGCAGCACATCAAATAGTTAATTCACATTGATCAAATAGGCTTCTTCTTAGGATGCATGGTTGGTTCAACATACACAAATCAATAAATGTTATTCGCCACATAAACAGAATTAAAAACAAAAATGAAATGATCATCTCAATAGACACAGAAAACCTTTGGATAAAATTCAACATCCCTTCATGACAAAAACCTTCAATAAATTAGGCATTAAAGGAACACCCCTCAAAATAATAAGAGCCATCTATCTATGACAAATCTGCAGCCAACATCTTACTGAATGGGCAAAAACTGGGATAATTCCCCTTGAAAACTGCAACAAGACAAGGATGCCCACTCTCACCACTCCTATTCAATGTAGTAGTGGAAGTCCTTGCCAGAGCAATCAGGCAAGATAAAGAAATAAAAGGCATACAAATAGGAAAAGAAGAAGTCACATTCTCTCTCTTTACTGGTGATGTGATTCTATTCCTCAAAAACCCTAAAGACTTCACCAGAAGGCTTCTGGAACTGATAAACAACTTCAGTAAAGTCTCAGTATAAAAAGTCAATGTGGCCGGGCACAGTGGCTCATGCCTGTAATCCCAGCACTTTGGGAGGCTGAGGCAGGCGGATCGACTGAGGTCGGGAGTTCGAGACCAGCCTGACCAACATGGAGAAACTCTGTCTCTACTAAAAACACAAAATTAGCTGGGCATGGTGGCGCATGCCTGTAATCCCAGCTACTCAGGAGGTTGAGGCAGGAGAATCGCTTGAATCCAGGAAGCAGAGGTTGCAGTGAGCAGAGATTGCACCATTGCACTCCAGCCTGGGCAACAAGAGCGAAACTCCATCTCAAAAAAAAAAAAAAAGTCAATGTACAAAAATCAGTAGCATTTCTGTATGCTAACAATATTAAAGTTGAGAGCCAAATCAAGAACATACTCCAATTTATAATAGCTGCAAAAATAAAATAAAATAAAATATCTAGGACTACATCTAACCAGGGAGTTAAAATCTCTACAAGGGGAGCTATAAAACACTACTTAAGGAAATTGCAGCTGACACAAACAAATGGAAAAACATTCCATGCTCATAAATTGGAAGAAATAATATTGATAAAATGGCCATACTGTCCAAAGCAATATGCAGATTCAATGCCATTCCTATCAATCTACCAATGTCATTTTTCACATAACTAGAAAAAACTATTCTAAAAATTCGTGTGGAACCAAAAATGAGCCGGAATAGCCAAAGCCACCCTACGCAAAAAGAACAAAGCTGGAGGTGTCACATTACCTGACTTCAAACTGCACTATAAGGCTACAGTAACCAAAACAACATGGTACTTGTACAAAAACAGACACATAGATGAATGGAACAGAAAAGAGAACCCAGAAATAAAGCCACACACCTACGGTCATCTGATCTTCCACAAAATTGACAAAAATAAGCAATGGGGAAATGACTTCCTATTCAATAAATGGTTTTGGAATAGCTGACTATCCCTATGCAGAAGAATGAAATTGGACCCCTACCTTTCATCATATACAAAAAGTAACTCAATATGGATTAAAGATTTACCTCAACTTGTAAGAATCTTAGAAGAAAACCAGGAAACATTCTGTACATCAGTTTTGGGAAGTAATTTATGATGAAGTTACAAAAGCAATTGCAACAAAAATAAAAATTGACAAGTGGGACTTAATTATACTAAAGAGCTTCTGCACATAGAAACTATCAACAGAGTGAACAGTTAGCCCACAGAATGGGAGGAAGTATTTGCAAACTATGCATCTGACAAAGGTCTAATATCCAGAATCTATAAGGAACTTAAACAATTGAATAAGAAAAAAACAAATAATACCATTAAAAAGTGGGCAAAAGACATGAACAGACACTTCTCAAAAAAAGACATAATAAGTGGCCAACAAACATTAAAAAAAAAAAAAAAAAGCTCAGTATCACCAGTCACCAGAGAAACGCAAATTAAAAGCACAAGGAGACACCTCCCTCACACCAGTCAGGATGGCTATTGTGAAAAAGTCAAAAAGCAACAGATGTTGGTTAGTCTGTGGAGAAAAGGGAACACTTATACAGTGTTAATGGGAATGTAAATTAGTTCAGTCACTCTGGAGATTTCTCAAAGAACTAAAAGCAGAACTATCATTTGACCAAGCAATCCCATTACTGGTTATATATCCAAAGGAAAATAAACTGTTTTACCAAAAAAATTTCATATGCATTCATATATTTATGACAGCTCTCTTCACAATAGCAAAGACATGAAATCAACCTGGGTGCCCATCAACAGTGTACTGAATAAACAAAACATGGTACATATACATCATGGAATACTACATAGCCATGTAAAGAAACAAAGTCATGTCCTTTTTAGCAACATGGATGCAGCTGGAGGCCATTATCCTAAGCAAACTAATGCAAGAACAGAAAACATGAAACTACATGTTCTCACTTATAAGTAGGAGCTAAGCAATAGGTACTCACGGACATAAAGATGGCAACAATAGACACTGGGGACTACTTGGCAGAGGGATGGAGGGGGCAAGTGTAGAAAAACTATGCTCATTATTTAGGTGACAGGACCAATCATACCCCAAACCTCAGCATCATGCGTTATACCCAGGTAACAAGCCTGCACATGTACCCCCTTGTATCCCCCCAAAAAAAAGAGGGAAGGAAGGAAGAGAAGGAGAGAGAGAGTGAGAGAAAGAGAGAGGAAGGATGGAAGGAAGGAAGGAAGGAAGGGAGTAGGGAGGGAAGGAAAGGGACAGAAAAGAGGGAGGGAGGGGAGTCAGAAGTGATACTACTCTCCTGTTACCCCTACCCTAGCCTAGCCTGGAAGGGCTAGAGGAGGACCAGCTAATGTGCAGGCCCTAGTGCACAGTGAAAACAGGGGGGCCCTGTTTAAAAATTATTAAGAATTTCCACACATTGACCCCAGAGCATTAAATCAACAGCAGGGCTCTTCTGAGTGCAAGGTGAGACTGCACAGGTCACAGGTCCATGAAGCTGCCGCAGCTAGAGAGACCTCATTAAAGAAACCATCCTGCTGTCCCCATTAAGAAAATGCATGCAAATGGGTACAAGCTAGGTCTCAATGAATTATAATAATACTTGATGTTTATTGAGTATTTACTATTTGCCAGGCACTCCTCTAAGCATTTGATGTGTATTAACTAATTTATTACTCCAAAGTAGGTTTTATTATTATATCCATTTTAGAGATAAAGAAATTGGAGCTCAGAAAGGTTAAGTAACCTGCCCAATGTCACACAGCTGCTAAGTGGAGCCATGATTGCAAATCCAGTCAGTTGGTATCCAGAGCCCATGCTTTTAATCACTTTGCTCTTGTTTCTCTCAACATAAATACCACTTCTCCAGAACTCTCCAGTCCACATCCCCCCTGACTGTGGCAAACCAGGGCGAGAACAGAAATCAGTATTTGCTTACTTTTATGTCATAGTCTAAACCTACATATACATTCCAATATCTAACTTGCTTTTCATGGTTTTTTTTCCCTTCTATAAATAAAGAAGGGAAAAACTGGCCTGTGTAAAACAAAGTGAATAAGAGAAAGAAGAAAAGAAAAATTGTTGGTAATTCTATCAATCAGACATAACCACTGGTAATATATAGGTATATAGACATCTAGCCATCATACATGTTTCTCCAAATGCATTATACTTGAACTTTAAATGTAATAGTCTATCTTGGAGAGTTTTCCAGATCACTAGATTTTCTTAGCAGCATCATTTTTAATGTCCCTCCACTATGACATTTTATTTGTGTAAGATAATGTATGTATTCATATATTGTTGGACTTTGGCGCTGTGCACCATTTTTGTTATTCAAAATAGCTCTGGGATCATAATTGTGTAGGTAAATCTTTATATCCATCCATGATTATTTCCTGAGAAAAAATTCCTAGAATTTGACACACTAGGTCAAAGGGCAAATTATGTTTACTTAAGAAATTAAATTAAAACAAAACAAAAAGAAGACAGCACTGCCACCTTGCATTTCAAACATATCACTGATGGCCCGTGGTGATGCACGGAGGTTTCCTGCAGTGCACACACACTGGGACGGCCACTAACACTTTCTAATGATTTGTTTCATGCCTTCACACCACCTCTGTCCTGCCATCTCTGTTTTAGATTGTGGCCAAGAAATACCGCAACTATGATATCCCGGCTGAGATGACAGGCCTGTGGCGGTACCTCAAGAACGCCTATGCCCGTGATGAGTTCACCAACACCTGTGCAGCTGACAGTGAGATCGAGTTGGCCTACGCTGATGTCGCCAAACGCCTCAGCCGATCCTGAGCACAGCCATTTTGCCCCATCCCCGCTGCAGAAGGACTCAACCACTCCCCTAAGACTCCAGCTTCATAGACTCCTCTGTATCACTGCCTTGAGGCGCACTTTTTATAATCAAGCCTCATCTTGCTGGTATCATGGGAACTCCAGCCTGCTATCTTTCATGAAGGTCAGCACCATCCCTGGCCTCCTCACATAGGAATCTAGCAGAAATGATAGACACAGTCCACCTTTCGGCCGGCCAGCCTGATCTGGGCTCAGCATGTTTGGGGTCAGTCAGTGTTGGAGAGCCCACATATGGGATTGCCACTAGCTTCTTCTGCCAATATCAAAATACCTTCTCAGATGCTTTAGAAACATGCAACACCAACTCCTTTTCTACCCTCCTCTCCGTCCATACCTACAAGGCCAAGGACAAACGCCATCTTCATCCTTCTTAGAAAGAGATCTATTACCCCATTAGGGGAGACAGAGAGAGTGAATGGAGGAGTACCGAGCTGGCTATGGACTTGGGTGTCTGGCAAACACAGCTTCAGTCTCACTACTTCTGACACTCTGGTTATTGGGCACTAAGGGCCAGACTGGAAAGTCACTTGAGACACATTCTCAGTTTGTTGCAGTGCCAGGAATGCTGCGCTGCTGCTGCTGCGCACCTGGCCCATGCTGTCCCTGGCTTCCATGCCGTCCAGGCCCTGCCAGAAAAGGAAATTGGCATGCAATTCTAAACTGCAGTGACTGGGATGGGAGGGGAGGGGAGCAGTGTTGATGCCAAAATACCCACGGGGTCTACCAGCCATGGGGTTTGCTTGCTTAGGAGTAGTTGTTTCAGAGGTGATTACAGGCCTGGGTTTGACTGTGCTTACCAATGAGTGGTTTTTGAGCTATGAGAAAGTGGATGGGAGTGGGAGGAGGAGAGATGGGTGAAGACAAAAGAGTTCTTTATGAGCCTCGATGTTCCCTGGTAAACTTTTAAAAAGGCCTTCTCTCATGATCTAAGTCTTGGACTGGTGGCATCATGTAACTGCTAACCTTACAGTAAAAACCCAAGAATGGGTCAAAAATGTCTTCCCAGTTTCTCCAAGCTGCTTCTGGAATGCAGGTCTGTCGGCTGGGTGCTCTCCAGCAGCTGCTCCTGCCTGATTCAACTGTAGCCTGTAATGGGTAAAAGCCACATTTAGGAGGTGGTCTGATCATAGAACACCTTAGGAAGAAAGTCCATGAGACTTTCTGACTAGGAAACCATGTGGTTTGAACTTGAAGAAAAATGTAGACCCATCTGGGTTAATTTTCCTACAATCTGACTCAACTGCCAGGTGAAAAAAAAAAGGAAAAATTTTTAAGCTAATATTTCACTCTTTTGTCATTCTCCTTAAGTTTCATCTCCTAAAAAGCTTACCCAGCCTGAGCTTGGGGACCTGTGCAGAGGAAACTAAGAAAAATGCACTCATCAACTCCTTCTCCCAGTGAACGCCCGGTGAGAAAATCCATTTGCCACAGGCCCTTACCTTCAACAATCCCCCTTCTATAGTGTTCGCTGGTAAAGGGTGAGGCTCCCAAGTGCTGGAAAGCCCCTGGACTTGGCTCATTTCTCAGCAAGGGCAGGATAGCACGGGTCCTTTCCATAGAAATATCAACAAATTCTAACCCAAGCAATCCCTGGACCTACCTGCCTCCAGGGATCTCTGAAGAAAAAAAGTAACCCATTGATCAAATCAGAGGAGAGGAAGCAGGAGGTCTCCTAGAGCCCATTGAGGAAGAGGAACTTTCTCAGTAGGACACTTTATAAGCCTGAGAAAGCTTTGAAAAGGCGGAATGAGTTGATTCATTTCCACCTCAAAAGGAACCTTTCCAGGTCCCCCTGGAAATTGTGCCCTGGAGATGTTTAACAAGGAGAACTGGTGAGGAAAGAGTCCTTTTTTACTGTAGGGAAAAGCCCCAAACTGGCCTCCTGGGGGATGAGGGCTGAAATGATCCCGAAGGCCTTTTAATTAGTGTGAAATCCTGCTGTACTCAGAAATCCTTCCCCGAATTTACAGCACAGGCAGGATGACCTAAGAGGCAGTTTACTTCCCTGAGACCCACAGTTGGGCTGTTCTGGAAACACATCTGTGAATCATAGCCAATTGCCACAGAGAAAACAGAACCAAGCCTCCGGTGAGGCCACTCCACCCCAGAGAAGTCTGCAGAATTCCAAGGACTCGGATTGGATGTTCAGAATTCAGCAACTGGAAAGTCCTTAAAAACAAACAGGCCAAACCAAATCAATATTGCTGTTTCTAGATGTCCCTTCTGTGGTTGAGCTAGTTTTACAGAGATAAATATATTAAGACAAGGAGGTGGGGGTGTTATATGATCAATGATAGCCATTTGAAAGAGAGGGAGGAGTACAGAAGGAAGGCACTTCTGGGTACTTAATTCAGAAATTTCTTTATATTTCAGCACTGGATTATCATATAATGCAAGTGACTATGGACTAAGAGTTAGTTATGGTGTCTTATGACTAGATTTATTATGGTATATTAAAGTAACAATAATATTAATATTACCTTCCTTTTTTTTTTTGTTTCAAAAGAGATCTTTCTCCAGATGCTTCAGCCTGTCTGGCCTTCTTATCATATGTGCAGCACATCATGTCTCAGCAACAGTGTGGTGAGGTCCTTAGGTGTCCCAAGAACAACTCAGGGAGCACGGGAGGGTCTGCAGTTGGGACCCCACAACTATACAGCTATAGGGTAGGAGGCTTCCTTTTCATTGGTCCTGAATGAATACAAATCGCTCAGAAAGCATTTTGGTGGCACAGAAAGGGGATGTATTTGTGTTGAGATCTTATTTTATTTTGTATTTATTTATCTTCTTTGACTTGCACAGCACTATTGGGGGTGGGGGAAGCAGGGTAGTGGGAGACGAAGGCAGAAGCAAGAGTCAAACTCAGAATGACTGAGTTGAATTCACTGTCTAGTCAGCAATGCCTGCTTCTGAGTTTGGCCCAGAGAGAAGGTATTGAGTAAGATTTTAATAACTGTAAAAAGTAAGCTGGATAAGTAAAATCATGATGGATCCAAAGCACAGTTTCTTCATCTCCTGATAAAGAAAGTCAAATGCTTGATAAATTCAGAGTCACAGATGTGAGCATAGCTATATTCTTTTAAACGAGAGGTAGAGTGACCTAGCACTAAGCAAATGAGCTGAAATGTCGGAAACAGAGTCCATCAGCTTATTTGGCCACACGATCCCAAACTAGTTTTATCTTGGGAAATGGCCCTGTCCTCAGCATTCCCTTCTTGTGCTGGTGGGGCCAGTGAAGTCTTGATCTTATCAGAAAAAGGCCACACCAAGTGCGAGTTTTCCCAGGCTGACTTTCCAGGCCCTTATCAAATGAAACAACAGAAGCTCTTCACAGTTCTGTGCCCCATGGCCACTCCACAGACAGACAATACCAAGCATCTTAGAACTGTCATAAGATAGGTCATGCCTGAAATAGATCTTGACCATATGAGAGTCCCAGAAATCAGCAAGGCCTGGACAAATAGAACTAAGAGAGAGGCAGAGGCAGGAAGCTGCGGGTCTATCTTGTAAAGAGTTTAGCATCACTGTGAGAGTGTGTGTCTAAAATTAAATTAAACTAGAAGCAGCAGGTGAGTATTTGGTAAGTACTTCTGTGACTCGCCTCAATTCCCACTGGCCAGGGGCCATCTCAACTGCACGGTGAATCAAGATGCTGGTGTCATCCTCCTTGGAAAAAGGAAATGTTAACTCATGGTTAAAACTAAGTACAATGATTCCCAAGGGATCACTTTCTTATTTTTTTAAATGACATTAAGGAGAATCTTAAGAAAGCATCAGAGAAAGACATGTGCATGTGAAGCACCCTGATTCTGATGTTAGGAAAACTTAAGCGAACAGGACCTGCTGCACACAGCCCCATTGTCTTCTATCCATTTCTCTTTATCATTCAAATCAAGCAACATGTGCCCTCCTCATCAACACACATTCTTCCCCTTTGTCAGTATGCATCTCCCAGCTTAGTGTCAGGATACTTTCGATTCATAATTATGTATGATCCAAAGTGTGCATAATTTCATTTAACGTTAAAGAAATAGATCCAATTCCTTTCTTGCAACCAAAAATAAATAAAATACGTTGCCTCAATATAAGGTTTGGGCTATTCTGTGTTTCTATAGAAGCAATCTGTTTTTGGTAAAATGTACTTTTAAGGATCCAGTCATCTGAAGTATTTTATGTAGAGTTAGAGATTTCACAATATTGACTATACATATATTTAAAATATAAATTATCCAGCTGATGTTTGAATTTGTCTTACTTTCCTGGCCACCTCGTTGTCCTATTTTATAAGCTGGGGAGTTAACTAGCTTAACAAAAGATGCTTAGCTTTTGTAAAAGAACAAGTGTTTCATTTTACAAAGACACTCCAAATGATAGTTACTTGATTTTCTCGAGACCTTTAACTATGGTGATGAATAACAGGACTTGCTTTCAAGCCTTAATAAATGTAAAATGCCTTTTAATGAAGATACAGCTGAGTGTTTTCCTCATGAATCTGAACCAATTACCAATTTGTGTTCCAGTCTTGATTGGTATTGACTGATTCAAATAAAGTTGGTTTATTTTCAAATATTACAAAAGTGGTCATCTAACTTCTTATTTGAGGTGGGGATTTCCTGTGCTGTTTTAGATGACAAGTATGAAGTACCTTTTTTTTTTCCACATAAAGGTTAATTTATTTTCCCATTATAAAGGAAAATGTTCATTCTTTTTAAAAATCAAAGCATGCCTGGATAATTTTTGTATTTTAGTAGAGATGGGGGTGTCACCATGTTGGCCAGGCTGGCCTCGAACTCCTGACCTCAAGTGATTCGACTGTAATCCCAGCTACTTTGGAGGCTGAGGCAGGAGAATTGCTTGAACCTGGGAGGTGGAGGCTGCAGTGAGCTGAGATTGCACCACTGCACTCCAGCCTGAGTGACACCGACAGAGCGAGACTCCCTCTCAAACAAAGCAAAACAAAACAAAAAAATCAAAAGCAAATGGAAAAGAGGAAGAAGAAAACGAAAAGCACAAAGTTTGTGAACCAGCCATCCTAAAACCAATTTTTTTTTTTTTGCAAGACTAAATAAACATTCTTTCATAATACCTGGGCTAGGTAAAAAATTATACTGATGCTCTTTCAGTGTCTCATATTTCCCATCTGCATTGTCATCCATGGAGGTAGATCAACAGTGACAGTCCAGGTATGATTTAAAGAATTCCTTAAAATATCATTCTTCTTGTGCCCAGAGCTCTCTGTTGGCTCTCAGTGGCTTGCGTTCCTAGGCTGAAATCCCTACTCTCAACACCACATCACTGACTCTGGGTTCAGGTTCCCAGAGTCCTTAGTAAGCTTTACCTGAAGCCAATGTGACGTCTGATGAAGACTTCTATGAGCATTCACATTGCTAAAGGGTAGTCATAACAGCACTTCATTACCTTGGAAGAAATGAAACAGCAGACCCAGGGGTGGATCTTGATGGGAGGGGCAGCTAGGGTCTCAGGACAGGTGCAGTAGATGCAGCTGGTGGTCACCCCACCATCCCGACTCCCATCTTCCACAGGCAGAGCTCTGATTGGGTCAGGAGTCCACCACCTCCCTCCTCCCTACTCCCCCACCCTACACACACACTCCCACCCTCAGATGACTGGAGCGAGGGTGATTTCATCCCCAGTTCCAAGAGTAAAGCACAAATGGTCTGGGCCATCCTGCTGGCTGTGGTTGGTTTCAAAGTGGGCTCCTGACCAAGTTCCGCCCAGTATTGTGAAGGCAGATTTACTCAGGAACTTCTGAGAAATATCCCCTTGTTGTTAAGAAAGTGACTCCTTAGGTCACTGCTTCTGATTGTGGGTATGAGGCCTGGAAGTGCTGCCGTCCTCTGGGGACCCTGAGAGGGTAGCAGCCTCAGGGCAAAGGCAACATGCTGCAAAACGCAGCAAGAGACAGAGACAGAACCTGGGTCCTTGATGTGACCACAGAGTTGCTAAATCAACAAACCCTGAAACTGGTCCTAACTCTGGATTTCCTGTTCTGTAATTCATCCCAGATTGTTTGATGGTGATTTTCTTTTACCCCACGAGTGGCCCAAGGCATTCTAAGTGGTATATTAGCCAAGTTGGTTGTGGTGGTTGTTTTTTTAATAGCCAGTTAGATCATTAGACTGCTCACCCAGGAGGCGTCCCAGGCTTCCACTGTGTGAATGTAGGGCATCTGCTCTCCAGGCTGACCAAGAGCTGGGAGCATGGGAGACATCATCTCTCTGTGTCTTGGTTTCCTTAACGGTTCTGTGAAGAAACCAAGGGGCACAGGATGGCAGTGACTGTGCCTAGTATTGAGGAAGACTAAGTCCTGTTCCAGAGAAGCTTCCAGAGAAGTGACATTGTAAATGAGAGTATCTCATTACACTCAAAGTTGTTGTGACCTATGCTGCTTTTATTTATTTCTTTTGTTTTTATGTCTAGTAGCTAACCTACCCAGAGCCCCCAGTAAGTTTTACCTTGTGGGAAAAGGCATGGAGTATTAGACTGGAGAGGTAGGAAGTCAGGACTGAAAACAAAGAAACGAGAATTTGACTCTTAGGTCCATCATTAAATTACCATGTGCCCTTGAGCAAGGCTCCTTTCTGGGCCTCAGTTTCCCGAAGGGAGTTATGAAGGCTCCTTGTCTATGAGATTATACAATCTCTGATGAAGAGTACTTTTTGGCAATAAAGGGTTATTTTAAGTGGAATGACATTTCAACCAATTGGAACATTCAATCTATTGGAAGGTCTCTCTGTGCTCTTCTTTAATGGAAAGAAGCCAATAACCAGAAAATACATGGCCATCAGGTATTCGTCTATGTGAATTTTTTCTTTTAAAGTAAATTTCAGAGTATGACTTGGAGTCGATTTACATTATATAGGTCTCCTATCCTTCTACTTAGATTCACTGAAATCTACATCCACGTGCAATAAACATGACCCTGAGGCCCTGCAATTGGGTTCATTCAGCTGCATTTATTTATGCAAAGAGTAAAGCATACTCAAAATTTGGGAAGATTTTTAATTTAAAAATGTGGAAATGAGAAAAACAAGTTTCAATGTAATCCTCCTTTAAGTAGAATATCTCAATGCCCCAAACACTCTTATTTCCAAATCCATATAGGCCTTGGAGTCTAGACCGCTGAGATGCATAATACAAATGCCATAATAGAGACCAGTTAAAACCCAGTACTATTCCGTCTGTGGAGCAGTGCTTGGTTTCACACCATTTTCAGTCTGTCTAGAATTGTTTCCTGTGTGTTAGTCACTGTTACCACCCTGTCCCCAATTACAAACTAAGCTCCTTTAAGAGATAGAGCGTAGGTTATTCAATTTTTGTGCCGTGCCTCACCTTGTCTAGGACGCAGCAAATATTAGATGCTCAAAAGTATTTATTAGTGGTTGACTGGAGAGATCATGAGACACTATTGCAGACTTCTGGGTTCACCTTGGATCTCACTCTTCATTTCCTTCTAGTCCCTGACACCCACTGTACCATAATTCTGAAAATAGAGTGAAAACAGAGAGCTAAGGAGAGAAATAGGTGTCTGTGTTAGTTAAATATGCTTCCAAGGTGCTTCTGAAGAACGAATCCTTCTAAAACAGTGTGTACAGCATTTATCTGTCTGGCTGAAAAAATGAAAAGCTACCTAAGCTCATTTTATCACATGGTTTTGATGAGTTAATAATTTAGTCAGTTGTCCAAATTAGCCACAAACTTGTGCCTAGATTAGGTGTTATATTTAGAAACAGGTTAGAAGCTTTGAGGGGAGGGTGATTCTGGGTGCTATAATCCTAGAATTATCTGACTAAATAAGGTTTAAACGAATGCATCTTTTTTCCGCATATAGGTTCATTAGGGAAAATTTTGAAAATACAGATAAGAAATAAAAAATAAATTATACTGGTAATCCTTCTGCCCACAGATAACCACCTTTAATTAGTAAATAATTATTTTCCCAGACTTTTTCTAGTGAGATAGGAATATAAATATGAATACTTTTTTTTTAACAAAAAGAGAACTGAACCTAACGTACCTTCCTGTCCCCATGATAAACAATTCTGGGGCCAAATATATTTTTCTGTTTCTATGCCAAACAATACTAGGACCAGACAAAAACAACTTGCTACTTTCTCCAGAAAATATTTGCTTACTTATCAAGACCTACAGCTTGCTCGACAATAATTGTCCAAGACCTCACCTTACAGTGCGCATGGATTCAAAGCTTTTACATTATAAACTTTGCCCAATCCCAGCCCGTTTTCTGCCTTTCAAGACCCACCTTATAATCATTTGGCCCTAAATGGCCCTAAGACCCTGTAAATATCCTTCCCTTCTGATGTGCTACTAAGACTCTGTCAAGAAGATGTTCTTCTTTGTTGAAATAAATCTGATAAACTTAGCTTTTCTTGGTCAATAAGTTTTTCTAGCTGTCTTTTTTGAGAATTATCATTAGCCAACACTCTATACAGTTTGTTAATGGGATTTTTTTCATGCATACATCATGAATATCTTTCCATGCCCTTTTTCATCTATAACTTTATTCTTGTGTATTACAATACATTTAACCAGTTTTCTTTATTCAGCCCTTAAGGTCACTCTAATTTTTTACTCAATTGATGCTATAATGAAGTACCAATAAGCTAGCTTCTTCATTATGTCTATTTTTCCCTTAGAATAGATTTCTGGAAGTGGAATTTCTAAGTCAAAAGGCGCACCTATTGTAAGGCTCTTGAGATAGATTGCTAAATTTACCTCCAGATTGTTCCAACTTACTCTCTCACCAGCAGACTATGAGTGCTAATTTTCTCACATCATCACCAGTATTGAGATGCATTATTTTTCAATTCTACTCAAATTGATAAGTGAAATATACCTCATGGTTGTCTCTTTATTTAACCATGTGTTGAAGATCTTTCCCAAGGATACAATTCCACTTTCTTTACTATCTTTAGTTTCTCTCTCTCTTAGACACAAGTGTGCTAGTTTCATCCCCTGTAACTTAGCTACGTGTCCACGAGACTGCCACACCATGGGATGAGTTGAGTATGAACTGGTTCTTGTGGCAGTTGTTGCTCCCTTTTGGCATATTTTGAAGTAGATGGCAAAACATAGGTTCTTTCTTTAATTAAAACAAGAAAACTAGAAAAAGAAAAATTTCTTTTTTTAGTCCACATAAGGATTACCATTTTAGGTCAAACCCAGTGTATACCACCCCCAATATAGTCTCAAGGGTACTAGGAACATATTATGGAAAGGGATGTATATGTGTTGTGGGGTAGGGAGTTCTCTCTGACTTACAGTTTTGGAAACATTAGTATTGGACCTGTGAAGAGCTATTTTCTACCAAGAAATTCCACCAGAAATTCTCACAATTCATTGAGCTCTTGGCCTTCAGCATAAGATCAATCAGGCTGCCATTAGGGACGACGAGTGTGGATGAGAGAAGAGAAACCTAGAGAGCTGGCAGGCCCTGCTCTGGGATTTGTGGAAGTGTGATATAGGAAAGTGAAGCAAGAGAACCTGAAATCAGAGTCTATATTTCTAGAAAAATGGTCTGCAAAGTACTGTGGCCTCAAAAATAAGACTCAAGAGACAGGCAGATCTTCAGTCTTAAATCATAGATTAATTAATGGTGGAAGAAGACTTTACATTCACCTGGAACCATGGGACTTTTGGAAAATGTTGGTCTTCAGTCTTTCTTCTTGCACCCACATTCTTATGTATCACACGATTCTGCCTCTTATCACATTGACAGTGATTCTCAAAGGAATTCTTAAAACAAAAAAAAAAAACCAGGGTGGCACTAAATATTTGGCCCTTAATTTATCAAGTTGCCATACAACATGAAAACAAAAACTAGGAGAAAGGTGATGAATGTGAAAAAGCATGAGACTCTCGCTGAACCACAACATAATAAAGACAACAACAGGGCCAAGTTCAACATCCGAAAAAGACATGGAGCCCAAAAGCTATCGTGTGGTTATTTAATTCTAGAAAAGGGAACTGTATAAGGGTGTTGAGGAAGATAATGAAAGGAGCAGTTAAAATGTAAACTGCCCACTGGAGACTATTTTAAAATGCTTTTTTGGAGTACCTTGCAAGGAGCTCCAAAGTCAATAATAAAAGCTCCTATAAATGCATCAAGGCAGAAAGCCAACTTGATAATCAGTAAGACCACTTGACCTAGAGCTGCACTGAGAGCTCTGAGTAGCTCTAAAATGGAAAGAATATGGAAAGGCAACTATTTTTCCTTTACCTCGTAAAGATGAAGAAAGACAACATGGACATTTTAATTCACTATTTTGAAAGACATTGTTCATAAATATGGATTCAAACATATGCCTAATGCACTGAAGGCAACAATTGACAACAGGAGGCATCCTGAGAGTAAAGCCACCAGATAAAACACATGGTTGCATCATGGAAATAAGCTCCCCTAAGAGGGGCAGTGAAATGCCTCCACACAGGCAAGAACAAAGCCCGCACTGCACCCACAGGATCATGAATTCTGAACTATCACTTGTGGCTCATTCTTTGAGATACTGGTCTGAGACTACTGAGCCCAAAAAGCCAGTCAAATGCTGGGCTTCCTCTAGAACATTCTTGGCCATGACACAAAAAACTTCACCTCTCCCGGTGCAAAACCAAGGTGTGGTCACTCCTTTCTGCAGTTCTAACTGCCATATCACAAGTAGTGTTAATGGCAGTCCTCATATGGTAAGTAGTACATGCTTACATTATCTCACATTCTTATAACATTCCTGTACCATATCTATTTTCTTATTTACAGATATAGTATGAGGCCCACAACAGTTGCTTATGTTCATAAGCAATAAGAGCTAGGATTTCAACCCAAAGACTGCCATCAAGTCTCACAGGTGAGGAAAACAGACTGCAACAAACAATAGTCTTCCTCGGTCAGGAAGGCAGAGATGTGATATGATCAAACATAAAGTCATGAAAAATGTTGTGAGTTGATCTCCAGATAGAATGTAAAGCAGGTAGCACACAGTATGGGAAACCCTGTAGTAGCTAAAATTAAAAATAAAAATTGCTTCACAATGTATCTTGGAGACACTTCTGTATAAGTACATATAGTTTTCTCAGTTGTTTGTTTTACACGTGTATAATCTTCATCGTACAGTTGTACATTTATTTATTTATATTTTTTAATTCAAAAAGGAAAACACATACACAGTAAAAGAAAAGTCATGCAATTCAAAAGTCATTGCAATAAAAAGAAGGCAACTCTCCTACCCTAAACATTCTCATCCCCTTCCCAGAGCTCACCACTGTTAACAATTTATTTGCTCCCAGAAATTTTCCATGCACATATACACACTTACACATGCATCATATGGCACATACACATTCTTTTTTTTTTTTTTTGAAATGAAATCTTGCTCTGTCACCAGGCTGGAGTGCAGTGGCATGATCTCGCCTCACTGAACCTCTGCCTCCCGGGTTCAAACGATTCCCCTGCCTCAGCCTCCCAAGTAGCAGGGACTACAGGCATGTGCCACCATGCCCGGCTAATTTTTGTATTTTTAGTAGAGACAGGGTTTCACCATGTTGGCCTGGATGGTCTTGATCTCTTGACCTCATGATCCACCCACCTTGGCCTCCCAAAGTGTTGGAATTACCGGGGTGAGCCACTGCGCCCGGTCCACACATTCTTTTAAAATAAGAATACAGGGTATGTTGGTGGGAGTATATGCATACATCTTATTTATTTTATAAAAAATAGAAGCAGAATGTGTTTTGTATGTTCTTTTTGGTAATTTCTTTTTTTGTCTTATTTTATTTTTAATTGACAAATAGTAATTATATGTATTTATGGAATGCAATGTTATGTTTTGATACATGTGTAAATTGTGGAATGATCAAATCAGGCTAACTTGCATATCCATCACCTCAAATATTAATCATTGATTTGTGGTGAAAATGCTTAAAATCCTCTTTTTTCAGCTATTTTGAAATATACATTATTATTAACTATAATCGTTGTGCTGTGCAATAGATTGCCAACACTTATTCCTTCTATTTATCTGTAACCGTGAACCTGTTGATCAATGTCTCCCCCTTCCCTGTCCACCCATTCCTCATTCCCCCAGCCTCTGGTAACCACCATTCTACTCTATACTTCTGAGTTGTTAAGATTCCACATAAAAGTGAGACCTAAGTGGTATTTGTCCCTCTGTGCCTGGCTTATTTCACTTAACATAATGTCCTCTAGGCTAATCCATGTTGTCACAAATGACACCATTTCCTGTTTTGTTTTGTTTTTTTAAGGCTGAATGGCATTCCATTGTGATTATATACTACATCTTTTAAATCCATTCGTTTGTCGATTCGGGTCACTTAGGTTGTTTCCATATCTTGGCTATTGTGAATGCTGCAATGAACATGGGAGTGCAGACATCTCTTCAGCACACTGATTACAATTCCTTTGGGTATATACACAGTAGTGGGATTACTGGATCATATAGTCATTCTATTTTTAGTTTTTGGAGGAACCACTATACTGTTTCCAAAAATGGCTGTGCTCATTTACAATACCACCAACAGTGTATAAGAGTTCCCTTTGCTCCACATTCTCATCTTTGTTATCTTTCATCTTTTTGTTAATAGCCAATCTAATAGGTCTGATGTGATATCTCATTGTGATTTGAATTTTCATTTTTTTCTGATAATTATAGATGTTGAGCATTTTTTTCATATATCTGTTGGCCATTGGTATGTCTTCTTTTGAGAAATGAAAGCGAAAATAGACAAATGGAGTTGCAACAAAATAAAAAGCTTCTGCACAGCAAATGAAACAATAAAATGAAGACACAAACCACAGATTAGGAGAAAATATTTGCAAATTATACATTGGATAAAGGACTAATATCCAAAATACACAAAGGAACTCAAACTACTCAGTAACAAGAAACTACTCTTATTAAAAATGGGCAAAGAACTTGAATGGACATTTCTCAAAAAAGCACAATGTTTTTTGCATTTTTTCACTTTAATGTGTCTTGGAGAGCTTTCCATATTAATATATGTTTCACATTCTTTGTAACATCTATATAGTGTTTCATTCTATGAATGCAACCTAACTCACTTAACTGGTCTACTTTTAATAGATATTTAAGTCATTTCTAGTCTTTTGCTGTTGAAATAATGCTGCAGCAAACATCCTTGCAGATGTCTTTGAACATGTGTAAGAAAATATTTTTAGGCTAGGTTCCTGGAGGTGTGATTATCAGATCCCAGGGATGTACATTTAATTAACTATTATTTTTATTTTTTATTTTAAATAGGAAATGTATTTGCATGACTCAAAAGATGCTAGAACACAGTAAACATTGGAAATTGTCACACTCTTCCTTGTCCCTGATCATCATACTTCCTTCACCCTATCTAAATTAAGACTTTATTTGTTTCTTGTACTTTTTCCAGATTGTTCTGTATTCAGATGCAAGAAAATGCAAATATATACCCTTACTGCCCCACCTTCTTACCCGAAAGCACATAGTGTATACATTGTTCTATATCTTACATTTTCCACTTAATGTATTCTGGAGATCTGGCTATGGACTGAATGTGTTCCCCCCAAAATTTATATGCTGAAACCTAATCCCCAGTGTGGTGGTATTAGGAGGTGGTGCCTTTAGAAGACGATTCAGTCATGAGGGTAGAGCTCTCAGGAATAGGATTAATGCCCTTATAAAAAAAGACATGAAAGAAGTATTCTCTCTGCCCTCCACCATGTGAGGATACAAGGAGATAACAGCTGTCTGCAACCAGAAATAATTTCCCTCTGCCCCTAGACATCAAATCTGCTAGCACCTTCACCTTGGACTTTCCTACCTCCAGAACTGTGAAAAATAAATTTCTGTTGTTCATAAGCCTCCCAGCTGATGACATTTTGTTATAGCAGCCCTAACAGACTGACGGATCTTTCATTATAGGTATATAGGGATCACCTCCCATTCCTTTTTACAACTGCATACTACTCCATAGTGTAGATATTCCTCAACTTGATTAGTCTCCCTCTGATGGACACTAAAGCCATTTTCAAATTTTTGCTACTACAAAAAATGCTGCAATGAATAAATATGTACATACCTCATTTTATACTCATATAAATAGATGTCATGCTACCACTTATAAAAAATTAAGGGAACACAGAATTATATATCTGTGTTGGCTAGCAAATATATAATAATTCATCAGAAGTAAAAACAAAGACCTAATAATAACATTCCTTGCTGGGAAGGATGGGAACTTACAGAAAGGGAACAAAGTGGGAAGTTCTCTGTATACCTTTTTACATGTTTTTATTATTTGAGTCATGTAAATATGCTACAGTACTACATAACTACTTTGAAAATTATGTAATATGTATCAAAATATGTTTATGATAGACTTAGATAAATTCACGAGGGATCATTTTCAAAAACAGGCTGTTTAAGGCATCTTTAGGCTTTTGAAGCAAAATTATAACTGGCCATGTGCTTCTCTTCCAAACTCATCCCATAGTTCCTTACCTAGCTTATAGCATAACTGTAAGCATAAATTTTCATGAATTTTTTCCCCAGGTGGTTAATTGACCATTGCTAGCATTATCTCTCTTTCCCTGAAACTCTAGGAACACTAGAAATAATAGTTACCAGATTCTTTTTACAGAAGTAAATTAAGAAATGTAATTAATAGAAAATGCCCCACATCCCACATAGATCCAACATTAGGTAAAAAGATGACCTATGGCTATGGAGAATTCCTGGGCAGCCTTGGTTTATAGTACCCCACTCATTTGGCTCATGTGTGAAATTTAAATACACACTGCTTTGTGCTTCAAGCCTCACAGGAAATCCCCCCCACCCCAGGGAAGGGGCAGGCTGTGAAGCTGCTCTCACTTCAGTCGTCTTCTGTGGACTGCTGCTTCTGTTAACACCCAACATTCTCCCATTACTTGGACCTTCCAGAAATTTTAGGGTCATACACTATATTCTGAAGCTGCTTTGTTCATTTTTCTTTTAACTATTCTGTCTCTTCAACAAGCCATCCTAGAATTGCCAGATGTTTGAAAATTTAGTCCATTAACATTCATTGATTTTTCTTCCTCCTTTTTTTCTCTCTCTCTTCTAAGAGCCCTTCTTGTGACAATTAGGTACCCAGAGGCTTCCCTGTCCTTAGGCTTACAGCCCTCTTCTATAGTTGCGTTATGATTTTATTACATGTGAGTGTATTACGCGTTATGTTACATCATACCAGATTATCTCTTTTTAGAATTAGAGCAAAAAATTAAAAAGCCATTGTCTGTTTTAGAGGGTGAACCCTAAGCTGAGATGACAATAGATCAAAACTTCCATCACCTTCCAAGTATTCATGTGACAAATCAGGGATGGTGACTCTGTTTTTTCATATATCCACCTTATAGGTTGAATTGTGTCCCCCCAAAAACTATGCTTGAGATATAAAGCTCAGAACCTGTATATGGAAACAGGGTTTTTGCAGATGTCATTAGGTTAAAATGAGGTCTCATATGGGCTTAGGGCTCACCTTAATCCAGTATGACTGGTGTCTTTACAAGAGGATAAAAATTTGGATGTAGACACAGAGGGAAGACAGCCGTGTGAAGACAGAGGTAGAAATTGAAGTGCTGCCACAAGCCAAGGAAAACCTGGGGCTAGCAGAAGGGGGAAGAGACAAGGATTCTCCCCTAGAGGCACTAGAAAAGTGTAACCCCACCAACACCTTGATTTTGGACTTCTAGCCTATAAAACTGCAAGAGAATAAATGGAATAAATTGGTTTTCCCAAGCCACTCAGATTGTGGTACTTGTTACAGTAGCCACAGGAAACTGATATACCATGCATTTGTTCATTTCTAAAAATGTCTAGCATGTGCCCCTTCCCTGACCTGTTGCCACATATTCCCAGACAAAATGGAATGTCATCCAAGTATCATCAGAGAGACTGTCTGCTGCGTCAAAGGTGGGATTTTAGCATTCTGTGCCCTGCAGCCTGAGACCAGGTGACTGGTCCATGCCCCCTCTCTGGCATCATCTAGAAACATTCCAGATCCTATGCACTGAGTGGACACAGGTAGCATCCCAGGAATGATCAGGAGATCAGAAGCCTAGCTCCCTATCATTGTTTTGCACACAATCCTCCACATTCCCAGCACTTCCCAATCCTGTGTTGCCCTGGCTACAGGCATTTGGAAAACGTTTTCCTTTGCTCCTTGGGCTCATCACACAAGGAGGCAAACACATCAGCTTTGTCCACCCCAGAAGCCTTTGAGCTCTCCAGAGACTAAAGGCAGAAGATACCCATTTTCAAAACCATTTGTCTGAAGACCACCTGGAGGACTTACTTATTTGGCAGTTTCTTCCTTCAGATTTCCTTTCAGGTGATCACGGATTTGGCATTGGGGCACTTGGCTAATCCTCAAAAAGCATAAATCAAACGCCCCATTCTCCTGCCCCATAATTACATTACCCACTTACTCCCCGTGAGCTGGTGATAAAAGGAAATTTACCAAATGGGTGCTCAACAGGTGGCCTTAAAATGTTTAAATTGCCACTTGAAGGAGGGCTGATGAAAGGGGTATGCACAGGTGTGACTTAGGCGGATGAGACCTGCCGCACTTGTGCAGGGTGGGGCTGCTCAGGGTGAGCACACCCGACGGTGGAGGATTAGGCAGGCTTCTTCCTCTGTGCTTCACCTTTGGCTACCGATCCAGATGCTGAGGCAAAGCCTGGGCCAGTGTCAGGACTGGGGCTGCACCCTGGGGAGTTTTTCAAGATTTCTGCTCCTTCGCACCACGTGGTATCTTCTACCACCTGCCCTGGGACCACCGACCAACCCATTTCATGACGTATTCTGAAGTGACCCAAATAAGCCTCCTTCTTATTGGTAGAAGCCTCCTCCTTCTGGTAACCTTAGAATGAGGAAAGGTTGAGCTCATTTGGGGTTTCATCTTTCAGTTACTGCTCTAGCCAATTGGTCCCACCCTTTAGTATCCATTTTCAGTTACTTTCTGCTTTCATCCATGGAAATTTGCTACAGAAGTTCCTGTGCAGTATCAGTTTCTCTGGATGGGGAGCTCATATTTTGATTCGGCTCTCAGGACTTGGAGGGTCTCCCATCCTTCTTAGGCCATCTCCACATTTGAAGCTTCCTGCTGTGGAATCACATTTACTGTTTCTCTGAACTTCTTGAATATATATGTTCCTAAAGTCTACTGCAGACATCCTAAAAAGCCCAGTGTTCCCTTAGCATTTGGGAGCTCCAGAATGAGAGGGCCACTTTCTCCCAAGGTCTCTACGACTTTGTTTCATCAATCAGCCTTTCCTTTTCACCGAAATGAGATTCAGAAGATGTCCGGAGAATTGACGTTCCTCATCTTTCCATCTTTTCTCTGTCAGATTTGTATCCGCAATGGGAAAGCATTGTCCACACATTTTCACTATTCAGGGGAGGTGGCTGATAACCGCCCACTCTTTCAATTTGACCTATTTTTTAAAAATATTTTTAATAACGATCTTCTGTTGACATTATGGGCATAACATGACTAAAATATTTAGGGGAGGTATTTAGTATGGGCTGCTATAATAAGGTACCATCGACTGGGCAGCTTATAAACAATAGAAATTTATTTCTCACAGTTCTGGAAGCTGGAAGTTCAAGATGAGGGTGCCAGTATGGCTGGGTTCCGGTGATAACCTCTTCCAGGTAGTGGAAGGCTGACTTCTCATTGTATCCACACATGGTAGAAACAGGGCGAGAGAGCTCTGTGAGATCGCTTTTGAAAGGGTCCTAATCTCATTCAGGAGAGCTCCTCCTCTCAAAGGCCCCACTTCCTAATACCATCACATTGGACTTTGGATTTCAACATATGAGTTTGGGGCACATAAACATTCAGTCAATTGCAGGAGGGTAATTTTTGGATTAGGTAGTGGGCGGTGGTAGGGTGGGGAGTCTCTCAATTAGATCTCTCAACTGAATTGTCTTTTTTTTTTTGGCCCTTGATGAAAAAGTTGTGATTTTTTAAAAAACCTATTTCCTGAAGCATACAGCAAGTGTTATGTACTCTTGACAGTTTACCACATTTTGTTCAGTTACAAATCATTATTAACCTCCGGACAGATGAAGGAGTTGGGGGTACCAGACCCCCAATATCCCCTCTCTCCCCAAAATTTTGTTGTCATTGTTTAGCCTTTAATCCAGTTCCCCACATGGGAGGCCACATGGTCTTCCTCAGTTATTGGGCATCGGTATCCACACGTAATAGAAAAAGTAGTCTACCTGCCATGACCAGTAACTGCCCAATCTCAGTGCTTCACCAAATAGATTAATTTCTCACTCAGGACACAGCCCAGCTTCCATGACTGAATTCTGAGGGTCTCATGGCTACTGCTGCATTCTCCTTTGCCACAGACTCCATTTCGCAGCCTTCCTTGCACTAGGGTGGCCATGTGACCCAGTTCCAGCCAATGAGAGAGGTGAGGCTGCGGGGGCTGCCCAGGAGAATTGTCTTTCCTGATCAGCGGAAAGTACATATTCCGCTGCCCCCTTCTTCCAAGTCCTGCTAGGGATGCTGGTGTCAGCATGCAGTACTTTTTCCCTAGACAATTTCAATAACTCCAAACTGTCTCCTGCATCTGGTTTCTCCTCTCCCACTCTTGTGTCTACATTCCTGCCAATCATCTTATAAAAACACCTGTAAACAAGGCTGGTTTCTCCTACCTGTGGGACACTTTTAGATGCCTATGCTTAAGGATAAGGCATACCATCCATGAGAAGTATGCCCAGTTCTATGGCTGCCTTCTCAGTGTGAGGCAGCAAACAGAGGATGGGAAGCCAACATGTTGAAGAGTAGCCAAGTAGAGGGATGGAAGGAGCCCAGGCCCCTGGAGGCATCACTGAGCTTCTGAACCAGTCCCAGACCCTCTCATTATGTACCTCCAGACTCCTTATTATGGAAGATAATTAAATCTCTTATTATTGTTGTTACTTGCTGAAATAAACCCTTCATGGTCTGGTCCCAACCTGACTCGTCAGCCTCAGTTTCCTCTCTTCATCACAATATATCTTGCCTGCCAGCCACTACAAGCTACTTCAACAGTCTCATGCTTCTTTATCTTTATTCATGCTCCTCTCACTGCCTAGAATGCTCTCCTTCTGCTTCTGTTTCAGGCACATATATATTTATACCCCTGCTTCAAAGTTCTGATGGTTCTTCCTACAAGAAGCCTCCATGGATTTCCTCCAGGCATGTTTAGTCCCCTTGTGGCACTGTGTTTCTACCTGTGTGACAGGCCAGGTACACACTTTACTGTGGCTATTTGTTTACACCCTGGTCTTCTCCATAATTAGAAGCCACTTGAGGTCAGGGGCAGTGTTTTGCTTTTTTCTGAGGGCCCAGCAACCAGCACAGTACACTATAGGTTCTTAGTAAATGTGCCTTGATTGAACAATAGATAAAGCCTTTCTCCTCAGTGATGACACTGCCTCCCCATGCCAGGAGCCCATCACTCTGTGAGCACAGCTCAAGCCCTTCTCTTAGCCTTTCATCCTCCCATGCTCTACTTCCACCTTGTCTAACGAATTCCTAGAATGTTAGAGTTGGAAAAGACTTTAGAGTTTTCCTAAGGTTTATTATCGGAATGGCTAGTGAGTAAAATGAAGGATTCCAGGAATAAATATATTTGGGAAACACTAAATTAAATAAAATTTAAACAAGCCCTTCACCTCAGAACCCATTGTATGCTAACAAGTGGTGGGAATCTCTGATAAAAGGCAAATGGCAGGTAATGTTTCTCAATGCTCCACCCCACCCCCACTGTGGAACTCGTTCCTGTGGAATATGTTGTAAGACACTGATCTGAAACAAGCCCTTTGTTCTACAGGTAAGAATTTACTTTCTTGAATCCCAGAGCCAAGCTGGTAATGGGGCCGCCTGCCCACCAGCTCGGAATCTCCATCCCACTCTGTGGCTCCATCTTGATCTGCTCCACCACTTTCTGGCCACACCACTAATTTAGCACTTTGCATGGTTGGTCATGTATGCACTTATGTCTAGAGCTAAATTATAACTTTCTAAAAGGGAGGGGTCTTTTCAATACTCTTCTAGTCTTCTCACTGTGCATAGTCAGGCATGTGGTCAATGATATACTCTGACTGAAGAATGAACAGTACATGAATGAATGAGGGAGTTAAACATTTACCACATTATTTTGGAAAGTAATCACATCTCTTCAGAGACTAGAACAGATATACCATTAATTTTTGTATCACTAAAGAGGAAAATGTTTTCCATCACCTCACCACAGTATTTCTTATCATCAATTATAAGGAGCATTCTAATTTTAAGGGTGATAAAACAAAAACACATGCGTATCTTACTATTAATGAGTTACAGTAAAGAAATGTACTCAAAGCAAAACTCAGTTCCACAGATCTTCTCATTCCACTGGGAACTCATTTCAAAATTGTCCAAAGCCTCAGAGTGGGAAAAGAGTGGGAAGGAGGAAAGGCTTGGAGTCACAGGGTTAAAGAAGAACAGCTAAGGAAGTTCTGCCAAGGGCCACAGTTGTGAGTGCCTTGAGGTTTTCAAGGGTGGTGGCCATTGCCATTGGGCAGCCTCCAGCTGAAACCCAACAGGCAGGGCACACAAATGACATCAATTAATCTGAGATTGGTAATGACATGTTTGTTTTGGATTGAAGGAATGCTATTGTGGCTTCTATGCAGTGATTGGGTTGCTGTGGATGAAGGGTGGGGAGATGTGTATCCTGGACACAGTCATTCCATGGCCCTTGGGAGCCATCCAAGATGGTTCCAGGGTGTTTTTGGTAATTGGGAGTCTCTGGTAAAAGCATTTTCTCCAGGAACTTCAAAGAAAAGTCGCAAGTGTGCATTTTGATCCTGTGAGGCTAACACTCACCTGTGGATGGCCATGGGGCATTTCCAATGAGCCCTGCCTGGCTTGTTGGAAGGAACTATAATGCTCTAGAGTTGATTCACATCACTTTTTTTTTTTTTTAAAGGAAGTCTTCTTTCTCTGACTATGTAAACACTGGGGCTAAGGGGAAGTCATTTCCCCATTTCCAGAATACAGTCCAAGTTCACGAGTTCGACATTTCAAACCAGACCCATGCCCTTGGTGGTCAGGTTGGTTTTCCTTTGGCCAAACACAACCTTCTGCACTTGAAGAGGGCAGCCTGGGGTGGAAGGACACTTACAGGGCTTATTTAAAAGGGCACCAAAGTCTTCTGGGAGAGAAAATAGCTCTTTCCAGAGAGATTTTCATGATTAAGTGCAAATGAATCTGAAACACATGGATCAAATTTCCCTAAAATTACACACAGTTTTAAAAATTAAAGGGGTAAAGGGAAAGGTATTTCTGGTAACCCCAAAACATATGAAGAGACACACTTAATGCAAACAAAAATAAACCAAACAATGGTGTCTGGAGCCTTCTATTGGTACAGAACCCAGCTGAGCTTTGTCCTTTCTTGGCTAGTAAGGCTGAGGCCCTCCCCACTCATCACCTAACGGGGAGAATCTGCCGCCGGAAGGCCTTCTTCAGCTGAGATGCACTGCAATTTTTAAGAAGGAGGCAGGGCAGCCAGGGAGAAAAGCCCATTTTCTGTCAGTTAAGCCTCTCCATTAGTTACCTTTACCTTTATGAATGCTGTTAAGATTTGGGCTTTAACATACATAACTTGAAATCAGTAATATCCTTCATGCTTGCATGATTTGTTGGCTCCATATGTAACCTCTTGGCCCATTAAATTGGCTCCAACTCAAATCCTGTTGTTTCTTTACTTTCAGCTTTCTTTTTGTTGAAAAAAAGGGGGCATGGAGTAGAGGAAGAAGCAAGCAGAAGAAATGGGGAGAAGCTAGAGAAAGAAGAAAAAAATGGGATTCTTTCTACTGAAATTTCTAAATGTGGAACTCATTGTCTGTACTGGCTTTGAGGCAGAAAAAAAAACCTAAGAGTTTAAATATTTGTTGAAGTCTGGATTTCTCCCTGCACCCGTCCCCCCATTCCCTCTAGTAAAATTAAAGCTGAAGCTAGCAGTTCATGTCTAGCTCTTGAAATGTCACCGGCAACACTGCTATTATTCTGATTTTCTGGGCAACGCCCGTCGGTTCCCTGCTGCAGTTCAATTAAACTAACTCTGCCTCTCTCAGATCTGGCCTGACAGCTGCATTGAATTTGGGTTCATTGGGTGATTTATCGGGCTGGGTGATGTACAGCCACATGATTTAGGAGTGCAAAAAAACTCTGGAATGCACCAAAAAAGCAATATATGCATTATTATTAATAATAATAATAAAGATAAATGTCAGCCCCAAGTGACTCTGGTGGCCCTCGCCACTCCATTTAACATTTTAACGGTGGCATATGGCCCCTGCATGGCACTTGGTTCTGTCTGGTGCCTTCAAGGAGGCTAAGAAAAGGTTATTTGTCAAATGCTGGGTCAGAGTAAAGGGGGGATATTTTCAAAGCTCTGGGTCAGACCAGCCCAGCTGCATTCCTGTCCCTGTCATTGAACAAGCTGAACTTTGTCACATTATTAAGCTGTCAGCAACGCCAGGGCGTTGTTTAGATTTCTGGTGGGAACTCCTCACACATGCTCTGGGGCTCCATGGGGATTTTATCAACACCATTGTAAAACATGCACAAATGAGCTGTGCTGCAATTTCCCTGGGAAGACCAGCTCATTCGGCCTCATCAGGCAGGAATGGAAATACCAGAGCCAGGCTCTTTCTTGTGCCACCCACAGGCAGCCTCCCTGGTGCCCTCTGCAAACACCCACCACACAGCAGGTCCCTTGCTCTTCACGCGACTTCTCCCTGGGTGTTGATGGCTGAGAGCTCTGCCTTGGCCCTAGCCAGATTGGAAGCTGAGCGTCTTGGAGTTCAGATTCATGTGGAGCTGATGTGGCCCAATGAGACTGTGGTTGAAGTCCAACTTTAGCCCCTCAGCTTCTCTGTTTATCCCTCTTTCCCCCCTCAGTTCAGTTTGTCCCTCACCCCTGAGATCCAAATGTTCTCATATTGTTAGTCTTCCAGTCTGGGAGCTGGGAAAGCTTCAGATACAAATTAGAAAAGTTGAATCCTCAAGAATTTTCGGGTGCACCTTCTCCGTAAGGAAGGTCTGCAATCAAAGGAAACTGAAAGCGAAAGCCATGCTTCAAATTTTAGCTATCAACAAGACTCCAGGGAAGGGACTCAAGACTGGGGGCCATCCAGCAGCTTTCAAATCATGCCACTGCTGTCAGTACACACTTTACCTTTGCATGGAACTTCCTGAGTGTGGGGAAAAGGGCATGGGCAAAACATGAGTTCTGATGGTAACAGGGATGCCTGCCATATAGCTCCAGGACCTTCAGGTCTAGCACAGCAGCATTCCCACCATGGACAGCCCGTACCTGAAGGGAAGAAGCAGGCTTCAGGACAGCCTGGGAACACTTGGAATCTGTTCAAACATCAGGCTAGCTCTGAGCACCATGAGGGAAAAACCAACTCTGTCCCCTACTGGCTGTGTGACTTTGGGCCACAAACATCTGTGCAATGGATATATAACAGTAGCATGTGGTTTGTAGGCTGAAATGAAGACCAATCAAGATAATGCGAATAATAATGCTATGTATACTCCTAAACCTAGTAAGCAGTCAATAAATTGTAACTATTGTTAGTCCCATCACAAATCAGCTCATCCAGCTGATCTTCTTTTCTCCAACATCACATACGTGAATATGGCAAGGCAGGAAACAACCCCCTCAGACTGGACCACACAGACAATCACTTTCCAAATAAGGACCTATCCTAATCTTGAGACATCTTGGAGGGATACCAGTCATACAAGCATCCTTAGAAACTACTTTTAGGGTCCCCTTCACCCATTAAAAACTTATTAGCGTTAAGAAAACAAATAGATAGATAGATGGATGAATAAATATATGAAATATATGTGTGAATGAATAGGGTGATAGTATGTGTGAAGTACCTGTATTTATATTCTAAATATAATCTATGCATATATGTGTATACATATGGACATATGCACATAGATGACGAATGGCTGAAATATATAGCATGTATTGCGTGTATCTTAATGTGTATATGTTTATCTGTTTACATGTATGAAAACATTTGTATAAAGAGAAATGTCAGATGAATGGAAAATGGACGGATGGATAGAGAGAGGGAGAGAGACCTATCCCAGATGATTGTTGTCATTTGGAGTGTTACAACTCTGACCCTCTCTTTTCTAAAGAAATCAGAATCCAGGCCTGGGCACTCTTTGGCACCCCTAGCTCTTTCTACTTTGGTGTGCTTCTGCTCCAGGTTCTGGTTCTGGCTCTGCCACCAAACCAGCTGTGTGAATTTGAGAAACTCACTCGACCCTCTGGACACAAAGGAAGGTCCATTAATGACTCGGTCCTTCTCTAACTTACATGATTCTTTTTCAACTTGCAAGATCAAAAACAGACCAAAGGAGTCAGAGCCACCATTCAGAATCCACAGGCCACATGGGCTGAAACAACGTAGGCAGTGACACTTACACAAATGAGCAACCCACACCTAAATAGAAACACATGGCCGCTTCCCCTCCCCATTCCAGTGCACACAAACATGTGGGTGGTCTCCACAGGGAAGTTGAAAGGAACACGTACCTGCTCAAAGGATTTTTTTCCACATAAGAAGAGCCCCACATCTTTCTTCAGACCTCCCACTGCCAACAATTTGGTCCATCACCCTGCAAAGAACTCCTCAGTGAGGGGAAACTTCGCCTAACAAGGCCTCTTGTTACCACCCCTGGGGAGCTGGCTAACAACCTAATTAAATTGGGTCCATCATGACCTTTGGACAGATGCTCTGGGCACATCAGGTAGAAGCCACAAATCTCTCCTGGGACATGCAAAGCATTAAATTTCCCCTCCTTTAGTATATTTGGTGATAGATATTGTTAGTAACTATCACAGATGCTACCATGTTTATTAACAAGCAAAGCCAGTGAAAACCAAATGGTCACCCTTGATACTGAGCCACCAAGATTCTGAGACAAGTCACCAACATGTCATGGCTCTGAATTGGGATTTAGATTGAGGCGACCCCAGCTACACCCTGGTTCTGCCATCAGAACCACTTCCACTCACTGCACCACCTTCTCAATTACAGAATGAGACTTGCTATCATTGCACTGCCCTGCCTCCTCCTCAAAGGGGCTCTGGTGATTAAGAACAGTAAATTCAAATGAAGTTTTTAATAATACCCATTTCCAAGAGGATTAAATAAAACAATATGCATAAAGTCCTTGATACAGAGGCTGGTGTTCAGTAATAACTCATAATCATTTGCTATTATTATCATTGTCAATGTATCTTATCTTCTAGACGTAGTTAGTGCTGGATGCTGAGCTGGACGCCATAAAATATTATTTCACTGGTTCTCACAACTTGAAGGGGGAGATATTATTTTGCATTTTACAGATGAAGAAACTAAGGTGCAAGAGGATGATTTCTTCCAGATCAGGGCTGGGACTCACACCCATGCTCTCTAACCCCAAAGCTGGTGCTTTTTCATTTCTAACTAGATGAAATAATATGTGTGGAAGTACAATCCTGTTGATAACTCTTATTATTACTATTTCACTAAAGATCCTGGCTTCCTAAGATACTCTCTATTAGTTAGGATGTGTGTGGCTGCATGCAACAGAATGCTCAACTGCCAGTGGCCCAGGTGATAAAGGCATTACATTATTTTACATAAAAACAAGAACAGGCTGAGCTCGGTGGCCCACACCTGTAATCTCAGCACTTTGGGAGGCCAAGGTGGGCGGATCACAAGGTCAAGAGATCTAGACCATCCTAGCCAATATGGTGAAACCCCATCTCTACCAAAAATACAAAAATTAGCCAGGTGTGGTGGCACACACCTGTAGTCCTAGCTACTAAGGAGGCTGAGGCAGGAGAATCTCTTGAACTCAGGAGGCAGAGGTTGCAGTGAGCCAAGATCATGCCACTACACTCCAGCCTGGGCAACACAGCGAGATCCCATCTCAAAACAAACAAACAAACAACAAAACAAAACAAACAAACAAAAACAAGAATAGAAGGAGGTGGTTCTAGGATTGGATAAGTAGCTCTATGAATTCAGGTATTTGAGTTAGCATTTCCATGATTCTCTGACCTTCCCCTCATGGCTACAAAATGGCTGTCAAAGGCCTACACATCATGTCTTCACACCACAGCATCCCAAGAAGGAAGGCAGGGGTCAGAAGTGCTTTACCTCAGGCATCTCTGTCTTAGTCCATTTTTGTTGCTATAACAGAATACCTGTGAATGGGTGCTTTACAATGAGTAGAAATTAATTTCTTATAATTCTGTAAACTGGCAAGTCCAAGATCAAGGGGCCAACATCTTGCAGGGCCTTCTTGATGCATTATCTCACAGCGAAAGGCAAGAGGGTGAGAGAGAGAGAAAAAAAGGAGGGGGCTAAACTTGCCTTTTATAACAAACCAAATCTCACCCATGAGGATGGAGACATCATGGCCTAATCACCTTTTACAGGTCCTACCTCTTAATACTGTTATAATGGCAATTAAATTTCAACATGAGTTTTGGAGTCAAACATTCAAGACATGACAATTTCTCTTTTTTTATTATGGACAAAAATCTGTTTTGGAGGCCTCTAGCAGGGCTCTACTTATATCTCACTGGCTGAATTGAGTCACATACTCATCCCTAGGCCAATCACTGGCAAAAGGGAAGAGAGTGCCTCTAATTGAACTTGAACAACCATGAGACAAGAAGAATATTGGAGTTCTTCTTAGCAAGGAGGAAGGGGAAAAGGCTATTGGATAGTCAACAATTCCTCTACATGGCATTCAAGCCCCCACTCCTCTGCCACCTCATAGCCCACTCCCCTCTGCAGCCCCACCCTCCACTGCTCACCAGATGGACCACACTCTGGCCAGCCAGTCTCCTCATCACTTGACCCATGTGTCACACTCAGGCTCCCTTCCATGTCCTCCTTTTGGTATTCCCTCTGTTTATAGTATCTTTCTCTTTATGCCTTTTGCCAATGACAATTCTACTCCACAATAAAGCTCAATCACAACTCGTCTTCCCAGATAAGTGCAGTCCACACTGATACCACTTTTTATAAACTCAGGAACACTCATAGTTTGAAGTAGAGATGGTCTAGCACTGTAGCTAAAAGCATGGACTCTAGAGCCACCCTGCTGGTATTTGAGTCCTGTGTATATTACTACATGTGTGACCTTGAAAAAGTCACTTGGTCTTTCGGGGCCTCTGTTTCCTCATTTGTAAAGCAGAATTAACTATGGCACCCACCTCATAGGATTGTTGTAAGGGCCAAAGGGGTTAATATAAAATAACTTTTGAGTGGTGTCTGACGACTGTCTGTGAATTCTCTTTTTACTGGTAAACTATCCCTTTCCCTATTTAGCTTCCAGGACTAAAAGAGAATATCAAGATTACTCAATTTTTATGGCACTTATACAATTGAGGTCTACAGAGGTTAATTTTTCTGACTTTTCCAATGTCATAAGCATGCAATGACATCCTGTTTGCGGATCATTGAAATATAGACACTTGGTGCTCTTGGGAAAACCTCTGGACCAGGGTGTGTGAAAGCCTGGGACTTCACTACCACCATCAGCAACCCCTGGCAACTTATTAAAAATGATCTTTCATGGTCCTTATTTTAGATCCTCTGAATTAAGTGGTAAGGCTCAAATCTGATATTTGAACAAACTTCTCAGATGATTGGTGAAGCAAAGATCGGTACCCACTGCTGGAGCTGGTGGTGGGGTACCCACTGTTGCCATTTCCTTCAGACATAAGGCTCATGTAGAGAATCCCTAGGACAGGGAGAAGGACATCTCTAAGGACCAAAGCAGACCTCTGTGGAGACATGAAAGTAGGCTTAGACAGGGGGCACAGGGTAAAGGGTTCTCTTGGCAGTAGCTCAGTCACCATCAGAGTTCTTTAGGATTCTAGAGACTGGGCAGTTTGGCCAATGCTATGAATTTCCTTGAAGGATCATGTTGAGGAATGAGACAAGATGGAAATGTGCCACTCTCTCAAGACCCAGCCTATCATTCGACTCAATTTTGGTCATTTTCCCCAGAGCTAATTCTATTTAAAATGTCATTTGGGAAGCCTGGGCAACTTGGATGACAAATGAGATAAGAGATCTTGTTATTAGTCTTCTATTGTGTAATAAATCACCACAAACTTAGCAGCTTCAAACAATACAATTATCTCACAGCTTCAATGGCGAGGACTCTGTGGGAAGTTCAGCTGGATCCTCTGCTCCAAGATCTCATAAGGCTGTGCTCTTGCTAGGGGTGAGGGCTTATCTAAAGGTTTGACCAGGAAAGTATCTGCTTCCAAGCTCACAAGGTTGTTAGCAGCATTCCATTTTTTATAAGTGGTCAGATTGAAGACCTTAGTTCCTTGTTGGCTGTTAGCTGAAAACTGCTCTCCAATCCTTGCCATATGGACCCTTCTAACATGGCAATTTGCCTCATCAAAGCCAGCACAGAAGTGAATTAGCAGGAAGGAAGTGACAATCTGTTGTAACCTAATCAATACTGCTGTGTTTTATTGATTAGAAGCAAATTACTCAAGGAAAAGGGATTACCCAAAGTCATGAATATCAGGACATGGGTATCATTGAGAACCTTCTTAGAGACTGCTACTATAACCCCCATATTGAAAAAACCCCCATACTGAACTTCCCACAGAGTCCTCGCCATTGAAAAATTTCTCTCTCAACCGAAGGGATTGAAGCCATTGAAAAGAACTGTCAAAGATGCAAATGTGTCACATGGGCAGGGTTATATTAATTCATGTATATCATCTCTCAAATTATTTTATTACATTAGCTAGTCATCTCAATATTTATTCATGAAATGTTATTAATAACTGACCAGAGTGAGTATTTCCAGGGATACAAGATAAGTAAAAAAGGGGACTGCCCCCAAGATGCTTTTAGTCCTAAAGGAGAGGTAAATTACTGTTGCTGTTAAATTTCTATGCCCAAAATCCTTACTGTGAACTACTTCTGGAAACTAAAGCACAGGATCTCCTAAAGGCTACTATTAAATGCAACTGTATTATCCCAGGAGAGAGAACTCAAATGATATATTACATTTTAGCAAGATTTGGCTGCTAGTCACAGAACAGGTATAAATGGAAGCACAAACTCAGTCATGGTGGCAGGCTGGTGGGGGCAATACTGTCCCGCCCTTGGAGAGCTACAGAAGGGACGCCCCCTGTGAGGAGGGAGGAGGCATGGTAGAGGATGCTGGGAGGGCATAGGAAAAAGGGACATTCTTCAACAACTGTCCTGTCTCAAGTTGGTGGACTCAAGTTTCAGCCAATAAAAAGTTGGCGAAGAAAGGTGTTTGATAAAACATGGAATCTTTTAACCAACATTCATCACCTCCAAACATTGTTAATGCAAAATGAAGTAACAAAAATAGGGTCATGAATTGCTTTTATATATCTAACAAATATTTCTTGACTGTCTACTCTGTGCAAAGTGTGTGGGCACTGTACTTACTCCTGCGCAACTTCTTGAGGGACCAAAAGCACGATAACTCCATGCCTGCCTTGTAATACACTGGGAGAATCATTCTACAGTTCACACATGAACCCTGCCAAGGAAGATAAAATATGGCCCTAATCCTCCTTTCATGGATCTCTCCATGAAGGAACAATGAGAGAAGCCAGCCTAACATTTATAAAGTGGGATCCTCAAGTGAAAACTGCTTCTTGGAAAGAGAGCAAGAAGGGAGGGGCCCAGAAGTTTGGAAACAGCACTTGATAACAAGGCTGAAGGGGCTGCTCCTTACGGGAATTCTAACATGTTCACTGAATTCATTGGTGTGGGAGAGACTGAGATTCAGAGATGAGCAGACCATCTACTTGAGAGAAGGCATGACGTTTGCCTCCCGGCGCCAGCCCTAGCCCAGGGACAGGACGCCAGGCTTCCCCTGGGCTAGGGAGATGGGAGGGAGTGTCTTTAGCTGAGGCTCCTAAGCATAGCCAACCGCTTTATCTTCTCCAAAAACACACGCTGGAAGAAGAGAGGAGAGAATGTTTGCACTGACCTACCTAATTGTTGCTATATTTGAAGCACCTACATTTCCTTATTAACACTACAGTTTTTTCGTTGCTCAAACATTCTAGTCAAAACCACACCCCCAGAAACAAATCTACCCTGTCACCCCCTTAGAAGAAAAAAGTACCCAGGACTCCATCTGATAAACAGTTTTCACATGATTAGTACACTCTTCTTCAAAGTGTCCATCATCAACACGGTATAAGTAGCTTTCATTCTTGTGCCTAGAATGCTTTATGCTAGCCACTTAAATTCATCATAAGAAACTTGGTGTTTTACCATTAAATGATAATAGAAAAACATGCAAAAGCAGCCATATCGATTATTCTGGGAACTAAAGGGGCAAAACTTTAGAATGAGAAGCCTCAGCTAACATGTGGGGCTGGGCCAGTTGAGTCTCTAGGAATGTATGGGCCAGAGGTAACCACTTCTCCTCCTTCCAGTCCCTCCAGGAATTGCAACTCCACTCAAAGACCCCCTGAAAATAGGCACCCCATCACCTGTCCCCTGTATTTTCCCTTATGGCTGTACCTGAGGGAGTTTGGTTCCATCAGATCAAAAGTGCTGATTTTGGCCAATAATCAACAAGAATTATTAGCCCAAGCTATGTGCCCAACACTGCACTAGAAAGGAAGACCTAGTCTTTACCTGTGTAGGGTAACTTTAACTTAGAGGTGGGTATAAGATTGTGCCCATGATTTTCCTTTATCTTTTAGTTTCTATCCCTGTTTTAGTATTTGTGATCTTTACACTGCCAGAGAACAAAGACATATGTAACACATGTCCCAATTCACTATGTTGAGTTTACATGTAATTATGGTTTGTGTTCTTTCACATTTTTTTCTGTTGTTTGTTTGTTTGTTTGTTTTCTGTCGCCTACGCTGGAGTGCAGTGGCGTGATCTCGGCTCACTGCAAGCTCTGCCTCCTGGGTTCGAGGCCATTCTCCTGCCTCAGCCTCCTGAGTAGCTGGGATTACAGGCGCTCACCACCATGCCCAGCTAATTTTTGTATTTTGGGAAGAGACGGGGTTTCACCATGTTGGTCAGGCTGGTCTCGAACTCCTGACTTCGTGATCCGCCCGCCTCAGCCTCCCAAAGTGGCATTCTTCACATTTCTAACATTTACCCCACCACCACCAAAAACAGTTTTTCTTTCAGAACATGAGGACACTACATTAAGAATTGCCAGGGTGGAATGTGATGATATATGAGTACTGGGAAGAGAGGGAAGGTTTGGACAGAGAAAGGGTACATACCTACTTCACGTCACCCCTGCCACCTTGAGGCTATACTTATAACCTGGACAAAGACTACCAGATTTGCAGAAAAGTTAGAAAAGGAGGAAATGCTGAATTTTAGAATAAGAAGCAACTTGGAGATCCTATGCTACATTTCATTCATCTCAAAAACCAAACGAGGGTACATAATTTGCCCAGCTCACAACCAAAAGGAATAAAGCTAGAACACAACACCAGGTATGTCTTGCTCCCAAGCCTGGATTCTTTCTCCATGCTGGGCTGTCCCTGGAAATCAGACATTCACATCATGGCAGGACTCAAACATCAAACATACTTGTTGTCAGGCCTTTTGCAATGATTATTTTATGCCTGAGTATATATAATCTGTCTTATCCTCCAGCAGGTTCTGTGTCCTGACCTCTGGGGTGTCTCTGGTGTCCCTTCATGTGCCCAGCCATCTCCTGGGCCCTAGTAAACAGACGCATGTCCAGTTGCATTGAACTTTAGTGGTAGTGTGCTCACTCATCTTTCTATTGTTTAACTTTCCCTACAGTAAACTTACAACAACTTCTTATAGACATACACACACACAGAGAGAGACAGAGAGGGAGAAACTAACAATAGTCAACAGTAAGAATCTGAATCTAAGGAACTGTGACTATTTTAAAAGCAGAGAATATATTTTAACTCATGAAGCAGAGCTGATCTGGAAATAATCTGGCTTCGATATGCCTCTAGTGTAACCCTTCAAATATAAGAACTCACTATCTCTAATTTCTTTTGTTGCAATTTTCCAATAAAATCTGGCAGTGGCCCAAGTTCTCAGAGGACTAATAGGGATAAGAATGTCCCTGATTTTCCTTCAAAATGAGAAATCATTTCAACGTGAGGAGTCCAGCCGCAACTGGCACAACCCCCAAGGGTCTCTGGATTTCAGGAGAGGGACCTGGGCCTCTCTCTGGCCATCCCAGCAGGCTCCCAGACTTATAATTGTTCAGTCAGCAGCCCAGAATTGTGGCCTACTTAGTTTTCTCTAAAAGCACTTAAGGACAGTTTAATGAAAGGAAAGCGCAGCAGAGAAAGGGGAAAAATGCTTTTTTTAGAAACTGAACAAAATATCATGTTTTCTTCTCTCTCTCTCTTTTTTTCCCTTTTTGCAATATTTCTCCTCAGAGAAAATTATAGTCTTTAGGGCCAGCAGTGTGCTCTGTATGTTTTGCTTATTACAGTGGTTAAAACGAGAACCATGGGTGATGGAGTATCATTATAGCATTCCTGATATCCCTGATATATTTGTGCAAACATAGTTGTGGGCAATGCATGGACAACGATGAGCCCGTGTTGTCTGGAGAAGTTTCTCCTCGTCTTTATTTGCACAGCCTCTTGCTTTACTCTGGAATCCTCCGTTTGTATTCCTTTTTATAGTTTCTGCCTCTTTAAACTACATTTTTCTTTAGTGTATCTCCTTTTCCACCTCCCTCAAGCAGCCTTGAAGTGTTTCCATGCCAAACAATTTGCAAAGGAAATGTTTCAAGTTAGAAATGGAGTAAAATGGCGGCTGTAATCACAACGGTGAATTTCTAGTCGTTACCACTTTACTCCCTTTGGTTTGTGTCCATGTCTTTCTCTATTTTCTGTTCCTGTCAGTAGGAGCCCAGGAAGAGACTCCCTTCTCCTACACAGGGGGCCAGAGAGCCAAAAAATAAAAAATAAAATCACAATACCATTGAATAGCAATGCTGAATAGCACTGAGCCAAATGCTTTGAGACATAAAGGAGCAGCACCCTCCATTCCATTCCATGCTCTAAAATTGCTTGAAATGTACTGAGAAGAAAGACATGAAATATTAATAAGGGCAGGCAGGTTAGGGGCCATGGAAGTTCAGAGAAAAGGGGTCTCTGAGGGCTGGAGAATTCTAGGAAAGCCCCATGGAGGATTGGGGCCCTGCAGGATGAATGGGGCCTTGGGAAAGCAGAGAGGAGGGAGAAACACTTTTTCAGGAAGAAGGAGCAGGGAGACTGTGATGATTGCTCAGCCAGGTCGCCAGGGTTCTCAACGACGTGCTCAACACCAGGAGGCTCACTGGACTCTCCATGAGAGAGCTTCTTAAATCGGCACGACTCCTACTCCACAGAGATTCATGTGCCCACTTTGCTGGCCTCTGGTGCTAACGATGCGTATTTTATCAGTTTGAGCCCTCTTCTTAAAATTTTATTTCTGCTTGAACTCTCATTAGATTCTGTTTGCAGATAACAAAAATTCTAGGATTCTAACAAAAGTTACAGATTCTCTCCCCAGAAAAATTAACATAAATGCAAAGTTATGCTTATAATTTTAGGAACCCTCCTGATGTTCCCTCATGAAGCCCAGGTTTAAATGCCTTGACTAAACTGTCCTTGAAGACAGAGACTGATTTTTATTCATCTTAGTAGCCCAATGCCCAAAACACAGTAATTGGTCAATAAAGATTGAGTGGATGATACAAGAATGAATTCTGTCTCTCTCACTTTTTGGCCCTCAGGGACTTCCCTCAATCTGCCTGCCTTAGGCCACAGGCTCCCATTACCTATGGATCCCAGGTGCCCATGTGGAAGACTCTCATGGGACCTGCTCATATCTGTGGTTTCTGCTCCTATCCTTGTGAATTCTGATAATTATTTTGCCTTGACATCTATTTCTGCCATTTCACTTTCTCGTACAAGAAACAGGTCTCGGTCACCTTGACAGTTTCCACTTCAACACAGCACCCAAATGGCTCAAGAACTCGGAGGCATCTCTCCCACCTGGCAGATGGAGCTCCCCATTTTCCCATCCTTCCTTTAAAGAGAGCATTTGGCCATTTGCCCTCTAATTTGAATGACCCACACCCTACTCCTTTATCTGTGATGCTAGTTGCAGAGCTTTCTTCTCTCTCCCTGCCTGACTCTTCACTTCTGCCTTGCATGACCCAAGGATGGAGCACTGCCCTCCAGATTCATTGCACCCTCCCTGTCCAGATCTGTAAGTGAAAGTCTTTGAACCTGTTTTCCATTGTGGTGGGGGACTGAATTTGCGCTTTCCACCTGGAGAACCAGGGACTGCCCCAGGCTAGAATTCCCCCCACCCACCATGGAATGCCTTGTGGAGAGGAACAAAAGAAGGGGCTCCTAGCACCAGAATGATGGTCAGGCAAGCATGAACTGGTCCCAGCTCAGACAAGAGCCACAAGGGCATCTGCCAGTATAAACAAGGTTCCCATGTGAGGGACCCTTTGATCTGGGGCAGGACAAATAGGCGTTGCGCTCTCCACTAAGTAAAAAAAACATCCCATCAAAGGCACACTATAAATACTATGTCCAGCTCTACCTCATTTCCTATTAGGGCAGGGCTGCTAGCCACCCTGTCACTCTGGTACTGGAATCCCAAATTAACTGGGGGCTCTCAAAACACCTAAAACTTGTCCTTTCTGTGAATCCAGGTTCTCATTGTTATTTAACCATCTTGCATCTCATCTCCAAGAGTTGAGCTGTCTGGCATCTATGATGGTAGCCAACCAGCTAAAGAAACCCATGTCAACATGTGGAAAGAAGAGAAACAGATAAGGCTTTCATTCCTCTCATTTCTTTTCTAGGTAAACCACGTGCATCTTCACGGGTGCTCTCTGAAAGCACTGCCTCGATCTTATTTTCTAACCACAAAGTATCTCCCGTGAGGAGTATTGATGCCTACTGGAATGAGATGCGTGTCCTGGGGAGGCGGGAGATGAAGATGCTCTGTGCCAGGAGGCGGCTTGTAAGCACCTCTTTGGTCATACTCCATGTTTTAAAAAGTTACCTGAAATGTGAAAAAAGCACATTTCCCTTTCAGAGTTATTCTAGAGCATTGTCTAACAAGCCTTCCAAGGAGTTGTTTGATTCTGTCCTGGAGAGATATATTTTTAACTTATTTAGTGTTGATCAAGAGCCCAGATTCTGTAAAGTCAGATGCTAATCTGTAGAAGGCTGATAGGTTGTATGACAATTTTATCTGGTAGCAATGCAATCAATTTCTGTCTGTTAGAAAAGGTAACCCCAAAGGTTACTGTTTTATTGTCTTGTAGCACATTAACTAGTTTTACAGTTAAAGTTTTTAATCTTATTTCAGTAATTTTTCTTTCATTGACTATCTACACTGCCATCTTTTGTATTCTCTTTTAAAATAGTTTTAGCATCCTGCAGAATCCCTGATTAATAAGTTCAACAAATGTTTGACTCGTGCTCACTCTATACTTGCAAAGGAATTTTTATTTTAATTTCTTGAAAACTATCAACTGCATTTCACCTATGGGCAGAGGCCAGTGTCAGAGGTCTTTTAACACCCAGGGTGCTGTAGACAAGCATCTCTCAGACTCTAATGTGTACATGAGTCACCTGGAATCTAGTTATAATGCAGATTCTGATTTGCTAGTTCTGGGGTGGGGCACTTCTCATAAGCCTCCAGGTAAAGCCAACTCTGCCATCAATGGACAACACTTTAGTGAGTCTGTAGGATGCAAACTGTCTTCACAAACTCTGCAGGAAGTTTCTGGTGGAGAGTTTCTGGGCACTTTGGGGGTGGTTTAAGTGTGTGTAGAGGGGTGTGGATAGGAAGGTGGGGCAACATAAAGGAAATGAAGTGATTCATGCTCAACTGCGATTGCCTGAGCATTAAATTCAATCAGCGGGAAACCCAATCTCCCCACTGCAAAGGGAAACGTCCAACTTGGAGTGTTGCTCTCCAAGCAACACAGCCTTCACCCTCTCCTGATGGGACCTACCCAGGCGGTTCACCAAGGACCCCTCCAGAGCTCTCAAGTGCATGGGTAGTTCTCAGACTTCATGTTTTCTATGGCTGTTGAGCTGTTTGCACCTCCTTTGGGAAGAGCAGAGGTAGGTCCCCTTTGTTTTTAGTGGGCACATTTCAACACTTTGGTGGCTGACTCTGCTCTGCTGTGTGCTTTCTTACTTCAGGGTGCACTAGTATTTTAAATCCTTTACATTTCTTGGAAACAGAGATCTCAGAGACTCCAAGAAACACACAATTTGTTTAGTTCACTCCTACACAGGAGCCTCTACCAAAATGGAGAGGCATGCATTCCCAGGGAGGACTGAGAGCTCTGGTCCTGGCTCTCAACAGCCAGTTCATGGAGTGGGCTGCAGTGAGAAGAAAGAGAGAGAGAGAAGAAAGAAAGAAAGAAAGAAAGAAAGAAAGAAAGAAAGAGAAAGAAAGAAAGGGAGAGAGAGAGAGGGAGGGAGGGAGGAAGGAAGGAAGGAAGGAAGGAAAAAAGAAAGAGTAAGAAAGAAAGAAAGAAGAAAAATAAAGAAGGAAAGAGAGAGGAGGGAGGAAGAGAGGGAGGGAGGAAAGGGAAACAGAGAAAGAAAGACAGAAAGAGAGAGAGAAAGAAAGAAAGAAAGGGAGGAAGGAAGGAAGAAGGAGAAGGAAGGAAGGAAAGAAAGAAGGAGGAAAAAGAGAAGAGAAGGAAGTCTGAGAAAGAAAGAAAGAAAGAAAGAAAGAAAAGAAAGAAAGGAGAAAGAGGTAAAAAGAAAGAGGGAGGGAAACAGAGAAAGAAACAGAAAAAGGAGAGAAGGGAAGGGAAGGGAAAGGAGAAAGGAAGTAAGAGAGAGAAGGAAGGAAGGAGGGCCAGAGAGAGGGAGAGAATTGTTGATAGATCATGAGAGTATGTTCTGCCTTCTGGGACATGGTGTTAAATGTCTTCACTGAAATGATATTGGCTGTACACAACAAGTGTCTGCTTTGTTTTCATTTTTGTTTTTATGTCCTATCCTCATTCAGTAAAATAAAAAGTTGGCAATCACATGTTCATCCTCCAATTTTAGGGAAAATGTTTCTAATCTGGAAAGCCACACACCCAAGAACCACTGACCCTGGGCTCTCAGGCTGCAGATGACAGCCCTGAGTAACTTAGTCCTCTCTTCCAGCTGTCTGGAAAGCCAGAACTTTATTCTGCAGTATAGAAGCAGGTAACTTCCTACCAATCACCTCCCTGGTCCTCTTCTCCCGCTCCTCTTCTCCTCCCATCACCATTCTGCCTAGAGGGAAGAAACCTTGATGAAACAGATAACAAAGCCTCTTCGGCAGTATTTTAGTGCAAAGTCTGAAGACTGGGAAGGAGCTGGAGTTTGAAGGCCTGGGATTGAGCCTTGGTTTTGCCAGTTGAAAACTGCATGCACTTTTATAAGTGGTGTAATATTTTTGAAGCTGAAAATCTTTCAGAGTTGCCAAGATAATAAAATCAGAAACATATATAAAAAGCTCTGTAAAACATAATGTAAAAGGGCTGTGAAAATATAATCTATTGTTACAAACCCCCTCCATCCCTCCACATGTCTAAATATACACATGAAACGCTGTTGAGTGGAGAGCTAAGATTTCTGGTTCACTTGTACCCACTGTTGGTGTGGGGACAGTCAAATGATCTTAGAGACAAGCAATCTGATTTTCAATTATTTATTAGATTTCATTCATCTGGGGTCTGTTGGATCATCAAGAGCCATGCAGGTAACTGGAATGTGGTCAGTAACCCCTGCTTTAAAGAAACTGAGATAGAGGGAAAAAAAGTATAGCTAACTCGGTAAGTTAACAGTTTATCGAATGTTCTGACATAATCTCATTTAAAGACAAAAGAAAAGTGAATGTTAATGTTCCCAATCACACATGATACACAAAGGTTCTAAAGATAAGTTACAGCCCAAAGTCACACCATCAGCAAGTGGCCAGGACAGGATGTGATCCCAGTTCAGGCTGATTCAGAGGCCCTGCTGTTTACCCTACACTATCCTCAGGCTATCTGAGAACCAACACTGAGCCCTTACTCACTTGTCATGGGGGAAATTCTTGGATAGGGTACTCAAGCCTCAAATTGCCCCCAATTCTACCATTTATCAGAAGTGTAATTCTAGACACAGCCTTTCTGATAGGTCCTGTACAATTCATAGAAGAAATATAAAATTTCTAATCATTTCCATGAAAGCAGTTAAAAGCCAACACACAAAATAAAAAAAAAACAGAATAAAAAATTCAAGGCCCAGTGTGGTGGCTCACCCCTGTAACCCCTGCCCTTTGGGAGCCCAAGGTGGGTGGATCAGCTGAGGTCAGGGATTCGAGGCCAGCCTGGCTAATATGGTGAAACCCCATCTCTATGAAAAACACAAAAATTAGCCTGTCATGGTGGCAGGCATCTGTAATTCCAGCTACTCGGGAGGCTGAGAAAGGAGAATCACTTGAAACCAGGAAGCGGAGGTTGCAGTGAGCCATTGCACTCCAGCCTAGGCAACAAGTGAAATTACGGCCCAAAAAAAAAACAAAACAAAACAAAACAAAAATTCAAAAAGCAAACACAAATAAGTTATAATCAGTAGGCTTCTCTACTGAACTCATCATTATCCATAACTTACTCTTTTTTGCTTTAAATTAAATGTCAATGATCATTTAATCATTTACCAGTCCTACTTTTCTTGGTAAGGCTGGTAAATGAAATTTCTTGTGCCTAAAGGGTTAAATAAAATATTTTTATACTATTTACACTGAACATTATCTAACTTCTTAGACTAATATTGGACATTATCTCATCAGTGTATGTTAGATGTAACATATGCATCTGTTACCGATGCTAAACATCTAACTGTGGGAGTGGAAATATAATATAATAAAGAGAATGTATACAGGAGGAAAATTGAACTCCAAAATGCTTTAAATTACAACATGATGCCTTCCACTTTATTTAATCAAGTCCTTTCTTATAACTCAGTTAAAATGAGAGAGAAGAGAAAAGAGAGAGGGAAAGTAATACTAAAATTTATTCCTGATTTTAATTCTGAAGTATACAATAATCATAGTGATTTGATGAAATAGTTTGAAGTTTCCAAAGCAAAAAAAACAATAGTTTTGGGTTTCTTCTGCAAGGCTTCTCTTCAAGAAGACAAATTCAGAAACTTTACCTTAATCATTTTAATATTCTGACCTAGGAAAATTAAGATGTTGGTAATGTGAACATGTATGCTGTAGAAATGGATGTGGACCACAGGTGGTGGGTATGAATGACAAGGTTCAGTACCAGAAGGTTCACTGGAGCTCTCAAAAACTTAAAGAACACATTAGATTAACTTAATATTAGTATTTCAGTCACATCTAGTGAAGTGACTCATGCTTGGACTCAAAAAGCCACATGTCTGCTCTATATCTTAGTCTATGATTGACTTAAAGATGGGAGAAAGAAACAAAATCTGTGCACTTAAAAATTCCTTGACCTTGTTCATCTCACAAGCCATCTCTCTTTTCTCCTTTAAAACCCTCCTGCTCCAAAGTCACCAAAAGATGGTGAGAGCCAGCAATGACTGCCTCAGATGGCAGCAATGGAAGCCACACACCCTCTCCATGATGACGTTCCCATCCTCAATACAGGGAACTTTCATCATAAGGGAGATCTACTAGAACAGGAGCCATCCAACTACCCCTGTTTTTCTAAGTAATGTTATATTGGAATATAGCTACACTACCTATTTACGTATTCTCTAGGGCTGCTTTTGCAATACAAAGGTAGAGGTGAGTGATTGCACTTGAGACCATGTGGCCACAAAGCATGAAATATTTGCTATCTGATCCTTTACAGAAAAGGATCCTTTGCTTGCTCCTGAACTAGAAAGAGCTCCAGCTTTGGAGCATTAAGATTGGCATTTTATAAACTCCAAAGCTCTGGTTCACAATCCTGCTGTCACCCTTGCACATCTGAGGGAAAAAAACATGTTTTCATCAGTAATTCTGTCTTACCCCTTAGTAGAAAGGCTCCCAGCATGCACATACATGACAAAGCTAGTGAAATCTAAGCTTCAGGGACACTCACATGCACAAGGCCTTGGGAAGGGCCCATATGAGGTGTTCATATAGTTATCTGTTTTTGAATCATTTGAAAAAATAAGATCCGGAGACTGTTGTCTCTTTCCATTCCAGTTTTTCCCCAATGAGTCTTTTCCATGTGTTGGGTAGTGCTAGGATGCCCTTGGGAATTTCGAGGAGCCAACTAAACAGAAGTTGAGATGGGAAATTGGGGATATTTGTAGCCTGGGTGTAGTGGGATCTGGAGAAATAGACAGAGAGAAAGACATTTCACAGTCTCTTCTTTGTATGGTTAAGTTACTGCTAGTACCTCCCAAGATAGGAATGACTTGTGGGAATATTTCCATTGACCACCATGCTGACCCTTAAGTGTTACGATGCAAAAGTTCAGGCTTAGTGGTCTTAGCGCTATGTGAACATGTTCTGGGATACCCATCGCTGAAAAATACATGGTAGTGGAGGAGAAACAGGTTTTGAAATGTGTAAATCCAGAAGCTAGTCTGTGGAAAATTCTTCCAAGCCCTCACATTCATGTATGAAGGAAACTTGATAGATTTTCCCAAATCTGACAACAGTCTTAAAATGTTGAATGACACTATTAATGCAAGTTGTGATACTGAAACTTTTCTACCAATGACTGTAAAAGTCTCAATCAATGATGCTAAGGTAAAGATCAAATTATCTTTCTATAGAAAACATTACAACATTGTTATTGTATGAAGATATGATCAAAGTATTCAGCCAACAAATGTAGGATAGCTAGTACCATAGAGTGTGTCAAACTGTTAATTAATAAAAATAGTATGCTGTTGTCTGGATTTTGTGGTCAGATTTTTAAAACTCCTGATTTTTTGTGATTTTATTTTCATTCTAAAAAAAGTACCATAATTATATATCCTTTTTCATAAATAGGGCCCTCTGAATCACGTAAGGTTTAGACCCACACAACCTGTACTACTTACATACTTGCACATGCTGGTTTCTTTCTTAGTTTTTTTTTTTTTTTTTTTTTAATGCTGGCCATCATAACCCACTATATGGAGGTTGTGGCCTAGTAATGGAGGGATTCACATTTGAAAAACTGCCTTAAAGATGTGTACTATGAATTAGTAATGTAAGTGAATCCATTACTAAATGGAGCCTGTCTCACTCCAAGCTACCTTGCTACCTGGTAGATGGAAAGAACACGCATCTCAGAACTAGGTTGACCTGGGTCTGAACTTGAGCATAGTATCTAAGTTTCCCAAGCCTGGGTTTCTGCAGCTGTAAAACAGGGAAAATTGAACCAACTTTATAGGGTTGTTGTGAGGGTGAAATGTGAGGACCTGGGACCTGTGTTCAAGGCAGAGTCCAGAACCTTCATACAGCAGGTCTCTGACACCAGCCATTCCCTTCTTCACCATGCACATCTCCCGGGAGCCACCAGCAGCTCAGGCACAGAGAACACAGCTGGCAAAGAGACATTCAGAGGAAAGCCTCTGTAATTAATGTCATATTCACTCAATTTCAAGTCTAGACAATATTTTTTTAAAACAATTGCTTCTGAGGGCCAATAATGAAAACAGAACAATGTCAGTCATCAGAACTCAGAAAGGGAAGGATAAATATTGCCTGACAGGTCCATTCTAACTTTGATCCGAAATTCTGCATTCTTCTGGGAGACTTGTAGTAAATGATTTCCACACTTCTCCTCGGCTGTTAGTCCTTGCTGTCCACCACCCTGTACTTTAGAAACAAAAGACAGGAGTACCAGGAGAAGACAGCCTTAAAACTCTTCTTTAAAGGATTCAGTAACTGGGGTAGCAGATGTCAATTGCCCTCCAGATATCACTGTCCTAGATATAGAGTGAGCTGAGTACTCTGAAAGCTATGGGCAGCCCCAAATCTTGGACCCAGAGTATATTCCCAGTCAGCATTCCAGGGGTCTGAATTTCCCATCCTTATGCTACTTGAGGTTGATCTTAAGGGTGGCCACCTGTTACCCTGGGGCAGCTGAGAAGAAATTGAAAGGGAATTGCAATTTTTCCTGGTATTGGGTCTGCGGAAGGGGGTCTCTACTCTTTCTCATCCCACCTCTACTCTCATCCCATCCTCATTCTTCCTCATTAGTTAAAGGCAGAGATTAGGGAAGGCACTGGCCACAGCCACCCAAGTATCATGACTTGGGCAGGGTAACATTTTGATGCAACTCTATGCAAATGGCACCCCTGGAAATGGGCACAGTTGTAGTCCAGGTGCTGTGGCGTCTGGCAAGTCTATGTCGTGCTGTTTGGGGGTGATGCTCCATCTCTGCCGCAGAATATGTAAAATGTTAAATCTCCTGTCCAGAGAAGTTTCTTCCCATCTGCCTCCATAGAGAGACTGTGACTGGAAACAGGGCAAAACACAGAGAGGCTGACAAGAGGAAAAAGAGAAAAAGAAAACCAGAGGGAGACAGAAAGAGGAAGCAGCAGCTTTTGCTACAGTCCCAGGGAATAAACCAACAGCTCTTTAGTAAACAGAATTCAGCAAAGAAGCTGGCAGATGTTCCCATGAGCACAGGGCACAGCACAGGGACAGACCACCCAGCACTCAGACAACATCAGATCCTGGCATTTTGTCACCCAAAGGAGCTTCCCTAGTCAACAGGGACCCTGGGAGTCATTTGTATCTGCCCCACTACCCCACTACCCCAGATTCCCATAGGGGAATGAGGAAAGTCCTCCTGGGATCCAACAGGAAAATCTGCATCCTCCCCTCCTTCCTAGTTCAGTAGCTAGTGATACTTACGAGACAGCGTGAAAGCGCAGCTCAACCCAAAGCAGCATGCCATCTCCTGTCACGCTCACTCACCAGGCACCCAGCAACCCATTTGAAAGTCCCCTTTCATCCTCCAAACATAAGTGCAATTTCCCCAACCCAGTCAAAAATCTCTTTCTCTGTTGACAGTATTCTCAGCCAGGTACAAAGGGAAATCTGATGTAACTAAGTCTCACTCAAGTGTGAGTGACTGATGATCTTTTTCAACTCTCCCAGGAGATTTACACTGTAAAACGCAACAAGATAAAAACAAGGAAAGCAAGAACCATGATGAATCTCCATTGGGTAGGGTTCCAGGTAAGGTGACAAAGGGAAGGAAAACCTTCAGGAAGGGTAGAAGAGTTTGGAAGGCTGAGCTGGCCTCCCAGAGCTCCTTAAATCCCATCATGAGGGCACCTGCTTACTCTATCTATTCATGTTTCTTCTGCTTCCAGGCAGTCACACCTCTCCATATAGAAGAAACCCGATTCAACTGTTTTCTGCCATAATATCTAATAAGAGTCAGGTGCTATAAGGCAGGGGTTCTCAAAGTGTGAGCCACAGACCAGCAGCATCAGCAACACCCCAAAATTTGCTACAGGTGCAAGTTTCCAGGCCCCTCCCTAGACCTACTGAATCAGAAACTCTGGGGATGGGACCCAGAAATCTGTTTCAACAAGCTCTCCAGGGTATGTTGATGGACGGTAAAGACTGAGAACTGCCTATATAGGACATGATGAACTGGGAGCCTTCCTCTTCCACTAGCTTGAGCAACTCAGTTCACCTCTGTGAACCTCAGTTTCCCCAAATATAAAATATGACTGAATTTAATCAGTGTTCTATGGAAAATGGGTTTCATCAGATGCTTCATGAAAAAATTATTTTATTATCAAGTAAATCCTGGGAAATCCCTTCTTAGACATCCATAATACATGTTAGCCTATTAAAGACTCCCCAAATCCAACCATAAATAAAGAAACTTGTTTAACTGTGTTTAGCCCTGTGCTTGCCAGACACTTTTGAGTATGAATTCTCTTTCTTAATCACATCCATTAACATCTGGAACAGAAGGGTTTAGGTGATTGCCAGGGTCTCTCCCTCTCCCAGCTGTAGCATCTGGCAGGTCTATGTCATGCTGTTCGAGGGTGATGCTCCATGTCTGCTGCATCGTATGTAAAATCAGCTCTCAGGAGCATCTCAGCTCACATAGAGCAGCCTGTGCCCTATACCGGAGTTTATCCACATGGTGATTTATGCACATTCTCTGATTTTGCTAGTGTTACATACAATCTTACCCTTCCCTGCCACCTAGAGAAAAACCACAGGATAGAGGAGAGCACTAAACAGCTCCAGGGCAAAAGGTGAGAGGAGTGAGGAATAGAAGGAGAGGTGAGGAAGTCATCCTGGGCGGGGGGGGTGGATTATCGGGACTGAATAGCCATGCCCAGCCCAGGGCAGAATTAAGCCTATGACAGCCTTCACCTATCTGCAGAACTGTTGATATCACTTCACAGTTTCTTGTTTCTTAATCCCTGCCTTTCTTAGAGGGCAGAGAAAATGAGTCACAGGCATGGAACACCCTGATCTCTGAAAGCAGATGATGCCAATAATCATAAAAATTATTAATAATCATTTTAATAGTCTGCAATTTACAGAGTGTTTCTTCATATAGTCTTTCTTAATCTTTGCAACAACAAGGCTGTGAAGCAGAAATTACTTTTATCCTTATTTTGCAAATAAGAAAACAGAGGCTCAGTTGGGATTTTTTTTCAATCCCACTGAACTGGGATTCTACTCCTGGCTTCTGCAGTCACTGGTTGCACAGCCACAGGTGAGAAATTCAGCCTTTGTGCCATAGCTTCTAATAGCCTGTAACCGAGGGTAACTGTATTGAATACCAAGTTTCTTCTACCACAAAGGCACATATCTACTGTTGTAAATCAATTTCCATCTGAAAGCACTCCTTGGTTTGTGCAATGTTGAATTAACTTCATGCCTGCCCATTGCATCCCTGACAACAGACAGTACACCCACTACGTAGTAATAGGAATATGGTTTCTAGACTTGATTAAACCAGATTGAACCCAATTCCTCACACTAGTTGTGTGATTTGGGGTTTTGTGAGATTAATTGTGTAAAGTGTTTAGCACAGTGCATAGTAAGTGCTCCCTAAGTGTCAGCTACACATCCATCATTGGAAGAAGGCAAATCTTAGCTGAGTTCAGGCGCCAGGAAAGATAGCAAGCACTAAAGTGATGAAAAGTCACTGACTATGCCAAGACCAGGAGACAGATAATTCAAAGAACGTTGAATATGAGACTGAAGACTTTGGTTGAAATCTTCACTTTGCTGCTTAATTCCAGGTGGCCTTGCACAAACAACTAAAATGTTTGCTTTTCTCTTCTGCTTCTTGGGGGTTGTAATGCCTGACTTGCCTTCTATACAAGATTATTTGAAGGTTAGACAGGCCAGGCATGACCACTTGTAACAGACACTGTTGATTGCCTACATAAAAGCCATTCACTCCAACTTCTTGATAAACAAACCTCAATTTTATTCAGGTATCTATCTCTTCCACATGGTCATGAACTCTAGGAGGTGTGTTCTGGTTGGTGTAAGCTCATAATGGTGGTTCCTTTTCCCTCTGCTAGTGGCTGGTGGAAAGAAGGGCCTGTAATGCAATTCTGACCACTGAGATGTGAGGGGAAGTCTTTGAGGGGTTGGACAAAAGGTTTCCTTGCTTTTACGAGGAGGCATAAAAAGAAGTGGTATCTTCTTCCCCTGGCCACAGCCATATCTAGATGACCATACTGGTCCTGTTACTGCAGACATTTTGCTACCGTGAGGGGACATGCTTGAGCATAATGCCACCTCTCTGAGGATGGCAGAGCAGAGAGATGGAAAGATCTTGGGTCTTCGATAATATTATTGATTCACTTAATTAACCATCCCTGAATGTGCTGTATCTCTGGAACTGCCGCATGAAATAGTAAATGTATTCTTTGCTAAAGGCAGTGAAGTCAGGATACTGTGTTGCTTGCCACTGAGAGCATCCTAATACATACACTACTGTGTGGTCTGCTGCTGTAAAGTGCCGACACATAATACATATATGACACACATATAGTTATATATAAGCTATTATTTGTATTGAATGCTCCAAACTCACTCCTTAAGTGGGAGGATATTAACAAATTACCAAGAAAAGTCAGAGAGAGTTGTGGCACTCGGGTAACAAGACATAGATCAGTGATGGGGATAGAATCAAGGTATAACATGAAGAAGCCTAACTGAGCTTCACAGTTTATTTTCCTTTAATGATATTTAGAACTATACTTCCCTCATTTTTTGTGTGTTTAACAAATGATGAATGTACCAAAGAAATTAAATACATATAATAGATATGTTATATATGTATATATGTTATATATGTTAATATACACATATGTATATTATATATGTTATAGATGCATGTCATGTTATATCTACATACATGTGTGTATACATATACAACATAATATGTGTTATATATGCTATATATAGCATATATATGTGTTGTATATGTGTGTTATTTGTGTGTGTACATGCATATGTATATATACACACATACACGTAAGGAACATATAAGGAGAAAATTCTGCCACTCTACCAAATCACGTGTATTCTCCTTTGCCCTCAGGATTTCCAAAGCTCACTCACATCTATTGTGCATCAGAACATGGGCAAACCAACTGCATGAAATAATTTGGAAGTCACAAGTCCACTGCGTCTATTTTTTTTTAAGTGAAATGGAGAGATGCTGGCTGAACAAAGTGTTCCATTTTCTAAATAGAATGCTTTATTTGGCCAGGCCAGATATGACCTAATGATGAAGATTCAATTGCATCTGAAAGGAAGATAAATTAAAATATAAGTTGTAAAAGTGCATATTCTTACTAAACTGAACATGGGACAGGGTTTTCTCTTCTAACAGCTGTCCACTCTTACTTCTTCTCTCTGATTTGACAGAAAATGGTAAATGTCTTGGAAATTATTTAAAATGTTGTGGGATTGTGTTTGTTCTAAATTTTGGATTGGGAAAGCAGACAACTGTTCCTGGTAGGGAATCAGGATAATGTCACAGGAACATCTTGACTGGACTTGTGACTCCCAGTAATGGGAGAGCACATGCTTGCTCCTGACATATAGTAAGTGCCCAACAAGTAAGTTTTAAAGAACTGAAGCCCAATATTCTGTTTATCCTAGGCAAAAGGCCCTGAGCATCACTAAAGTGGCAATTTCATATTATATGGAGAAATTTGAGAGTAAATTGTAATAAATTAGTAGAATAATGTTGTATTCATTGGCAAAACCTATGCTTTTTCAAAAATATATGACAATGATAATTGATGTCCATGATGAGCTCCTAGATTCACGACTTCTAAGTACCTTAACTAGAAGCATTATTATAAAAAGCATGGGACAGGGAGTCCACTGAACTGGGATTCTACCCCTGGCTTCTCCACTCACTAGTTTCATGGCCACAGGCAAGAAATTCAACCTTTATGCCATGCCATAGCTTGTTTATTGGCCAAGTGAATGATGACGATAGTACCTACCTTATAATGCGGTTGTGAGGAGTAATGGGCATAATGCATGGAAAATACTTATCAAGTTCCCTGGTATATTAGTTCTTGTTAAAATCACCTAAAATGTCATAAATAAATAAATAATGTGGGCCACAGCTTTTGAATCTAGTCTATGATACTATTTAACCTAGTTCTGTATGACCAGTTCATGGATGATATACACATGGGAACTCAACTAACCAGATTCTTTGATAACCAGAGTACCTGTCTATTATTGTGCTTATCTTATTGTATCATCATTATCAGTCTGCAGATTTCTCTATAGCTAGAAAGTGAAGATCACAGTGGTATGAACGCTATGCATCATTTTTCTCTTCAATACACAGCTCAGCATTTGGCACATAGTAAGCACTTAATAAACATTGTACGCGTAAAACGAGTCAGTGAGTGAGTGAGTGAATTTTGCCTTGGGCCAGACCTGTTTTTCTGTAAAATATTAAATGATTGACAGGGAATCCATTGGCAGTTACTAAGATAAATCAAGATGAAGCCACTACAGAGAACCCTCTCTGGAGGCTAAAAACTATAGGCTCCCATTGCTGGATCTGCTGCCAGATGAAAACCACATTGTGTGGCAATTTACATTGTGTTCTTACTAACATCGAGAGATTCAAGACAGCCTGGCTCCTGCCATCTTACGAACAATTCTGCCCCAGCACACTGGCTACTGTTCTCTCTATTGAATTGCAACTCTTTCTTTTGGATATCAATAAACAGCTGCAGAGTCAAATTAGTACTGTTTACTGTCAAATTATGATGGAAACTGATCCTTTCTTTTCGTTGTTTATAACGCCTGTACTGCTTGTCCCAAACCTCCAGAGTAACTAAATGCGAGTCGACGGCTCCTGACGGTGGATGCTATCCCAGATCAAACAGAAGGCAGATTTTGTTTGTCTTCTAAAATAAACTATCTTTTCAGGTTCATGGGCTCGGAATAACAACTATCACATTTCGCCAGCTGTTTTTTATTCCTTTGCTAATTTTACAGCTTGGTCTTTCAGAAGGAGGGCTCTGTCTTTGTTCCATTCCTATGGTGCTGGTTCAGTGCCAGGGGAACAGAATATTCATAGAAGTTTGGGAAGCCAAGAGAAAGAGGAGAGTATGTTTGTGATTTGGATGCATGGATAACAGTGTTCTGAAGACTCATCGTGAAATAAAGTGTTTATTGTCAAAACCTAAATACTGTAGCAATCTCTAAATAATAGAGTTTTTAAAATCCTGATTCTATTACCTAACATTTGTTTTCCTTCCAAGCTCTTCACCATTTGCATATTCAGTAGGCAGACCTTCGATTATTCCTCTAAGTTCTTTTTTTTAAAAGATTGAACAAGACAAAGATAAGTAGCCTGTCACTTAGAAATCATCTGCAGATTGACATGATTTCACTAATCATTACTTTGGGGATATGAATATGCAACTTGTTTTAAAACCAGTCAAATGCATTGCCCTTCTGCTTGTACTTTTCTATCTTGTTCATCAGCCTGTTGTGAAGAAGAATCTTGCAAATTGCCTCATTGGAATCCGGGCGCTCTACTTCGGTTACATTTTCTGGATGAGACAAACTACTCTCACAAAAAAGAGCGTAATATTGTGCTGTCACGAACAGTTTTCAGGGAACCCATGCTGGCTCTTGGTGATTACTGGAAATTTATTTCATGCTTGCAAACCAATTTTTCAACAGTTTGATCTAGAATCTCACCAAAGGGCCCTATCACATTGTTTGCTCTGCAGTTAGCAACTATCTTTTTACCCTTTTCAAAAATAGGATCAATAATTTGCAAAATTCATCTAATACTCATCCTGAAAAAGTGAATTTACATGCACCATATAATTTAATCTTCATGATGATTTTATAAGGCAAGTACCATATCTCCACTTTATAAAAAAAGAAACCAGAACTCAGAGGAGTTAAGCCCTACAGCAAGAGTTGGAAACCTGTTTGCCATCCCTAGTCTCAACTCTCCTGCCATTTCCCCTATCCTGGCTTCTAAGTCATCTCTGATGTGACCTCACTCTTGAATTTCACATTTCCACTCTTCTTCCATTTGAAGCTCCAGCCAAATTAGGATACTACTGAGCTTAAACATGTCTGGTACCATCCTGCTTCCATGCCCATGCCCTACCCTTTACCACATAGCTAGGTTTCAGCTAAAATATCACAACTTCCACACATCTTTCCCACACGAACACACATATATACACAAGCAGAGCCATTACTATGGCTGCCCAGTTGTTTGACCATGAATAGAAAGAGCCCCTTGCTGGGAGGGCCTTGGGCATTTTGGTCTTTAAAGCCAATGAGCTCAATCTGAGGAAAGTACTTGGAGGGCCCCAGGGGCTGGGGCAGAATATCTAGGAAGACCAGGCTCAGCAGACACAGAGCTTCAAATACCCTACATTGCCTTCCTTCTCTTATTGGTGCTATACCTGGAAGCACAGACTCTTCCACATTCCTGAGTGCAGTGGAGAAAATGCCAAATCTGCACAGCCCTTGGCATGGTGGGAGCAGCTAGAACACTCGCTGTTAACATGTGTATTTATAGTTTCCTCAATCAGTGAGAAGCTGGAGCTTCTTGTCCAATCCACCGTTCATTCCATCATTTCTTCAATAAGAAAATATTAACCACCTACCATTGAAAAACACGAAGGAGAGTAAAAAGATGGATAAAAAATGGTTCCTAAGCTGTAATTTATAACTTGGTGTGAAAGATAACCTCAAACATCACAAATCAAGGCAGTAGTACATAAACATACAAAAACAAAGCAAAACACTTTCAAAATTCAGAAGAAGGGAAGTTCTTTGTATGGTTTTGTTGTTGTTGTTGTTGTTTGATTTTTTGTTTGTTTGTTTGTTTGTTTTGAGACAGAGTCTCGCTCTGTCGCCCAGGCTGGAGTGCAGTGGCGTGATCTCAGCTCACTGCAAGCTCCACCTCCCAGGTTCACACCATTATCCTGCCTTAGCCTCCCAAGTAGCTGGGACTACAGGCGCCTGCCACCACGCCAGGCTAATTATTTGTATTTTTTAGTAGAGACAGGGTTTCACCGTGTTAGCCAGGATGGTCTCAATCTCCTGACCTCATGATCCGCCCACCTCGGCCTCCCAGAGTGCTGGGATTACAAGCATGAGCCACTGCACCTGGCCCTTTCTAATGGTTTTAGAGGCAAGCTAGAAATGGAAGCATGGGAAAGATTTTAGAAATAAAGATGGTTGCAGGGACAGATGCTTGAAGGTGGACGTTGCAAGAGGTGTTCAGGCAATGGCAAGTGGATCTTGGCTACAGCACAGGCTCCATGCAGACCACGGGGACTAGTAAAGGGAAGACCGAAGACAATTGCAAACACCAAGCAGATGAATTTGCATTCTTCTGCAGAGGTGATGGAGAGCCATTGAAGACTTGTGAGCAGGGGGGTGACATGATCAACACTATGTTTAGGAAAGCTAATCTGGTCATCACGTGAAATGGAATGATGTGGAAAGAGCTACATGTGTAGCTCATATGTCACATGCTTTGACTTCATTCTGTTTGCAAATCCTTCTGAAACATCCTCTGAATCTTCTCACCTCCCCTTGTTTACTTACATTCACCACAAAATATAAGAAAGCCAGCAGTGGGATTGCAACATCTTTTTTCTTTCTTTCTCTCTTTTTAAAGAACAATATATTTGTGCTTGTTCTAGTTATTTAAAAATGGCTATGGTTGAATCAGACAAGCTGTTAAAAGGTGGAAGGAACTTCAAGCTGAGGGTTTGGATCTGGTATAGCACAAAGTTCATTTTCATTATCATCATCACCACCTCTAGCAACTATTGAGGACTCACTCTCCACTAGATATTAACTGTAAACTCATTTGATCTTCATAATACTATAAGCTAGAGGGAGGTGGCTGACTTTTCCACTTGATCAACACAACATTTTGCTTCTAGATTCTTTCTGGTGTATGCATAGTCCAGGCCCAGAATAGAATTTCCAACTTGCATCCTGGAAACCTGCTCAGGGCTCAAGCTGGGTATAATCTGGTGTTCTGGTTTGGCTTTATCTTTGGGCCTGATGAGTATTGAGATCTGCATTTCTTTCTTTCATACATTAAATATTTCTCAAGCATCTGCTATGTGCCCAGCATTTTGGTGAACAAGACAGATACGTTTCTTGCTCTCATGGATGGTTTTTCTTGGAATTCCAGGAAGGAGAAACATTTACCCCCCAACTCATGATAACAAGAAAACCTGGGTACAAGACTTGATTCAAATGCTAATTATTCTGAAACCTTAGCCAAGCCTTTAAGCCTCCCAGAGCCTCAGTTTCCTTGTGGTTAGAAAGACAGAGGTCACCTGGAAGATACCAGCTCTCTGTAAGAGACTATGATTTTCAGAGTTTCAAAAAGTGAAGTCATGCTGTAGTCAGATGCCTTTCCCATCCCCCTGCCTCAGCCTTTCTGCTTTCCAGGGCTGGAAGGCTCAGGCTTCAGAGGAGCATACTTATCACACTGCAAGCCCTTCCCCACTGGTGCTAATAGGGGTCATTCTTATGTGGGCACGTCCGTGTCCCCAGAGGGCCGGATAGGTCCAGCCTGGCTGTTTGCTCAGTGTCACTCTGAATCAAAGACTGCTCCATTTAAACTTGACATTGTTTTTCTGTTTACTTTACCTAATAAGCGAATCATTTACTCCATAAAAAGCACATTTTGGAGATGGGGTGGGATTCAGGAAAGGGAGATGCTGGTCCTGCTTCCTAACCTGGTCTATGAGCTGAATTACTCAGTGAGAGGTGATGTAATTCCTTGAGACACACGCCAGAGACATGGAAATAAATAAAGCTGCTCTTCTCCTCTCATTGGAAGAGGTCATGCTGACGGAGTTATGCAGGATTCTTCGGAGAAGGGAACCCAGGAACTTGATATCAATCTCATTATATAAAGACACCACAGAATCTCTTTGAATGTAGGATTCTGTTGACGCACAGTGTGCCATTAAATTGGAAACAGGAATGAGTAAGGCAGTTGCAAATCACAAAGCATTTAAGCCACTTTCACCCCCCTCTGCTTGCTCCAATATGAGCATGTAACTTACTTTGTTCAATGACATTTGGCAGCCGCCAACCTCAAAGCCATTTTTATTTTTATTTTTCATCTCTGGTTTCAGGAATGCACCAGAAGCTTATCTTTTCCCCTTTTTCTGCAATTAAAAATTTTCATTAAAAAACAAGAAGTTGATAGGAAAATAACTTCTTACACTAGAAAGCAGAGGGGAAAATACGATGTATGCAAAGAAGTTACTTAACACCAGGAGCTGGTTTTTTGAAAGGATCAACAAAATTGATAGACCGCTAGCAAGACTAATAAAGAAAAAAAGAGAGGAGAATCAAATAGACGCAATAAAAAATGATAAAAGGGATATCACCACCGATCCCACAGAAATACAAACTACCATCAGAGAATACTACAAACACCTCTACGCAAATAAGCTAGAACATCTAGAAAAAATGGATAAATTCCTCGACACATACACCCTCCCAAGACTAAACCAGGAAGAAGTTGAATCTCTGAATAGACCAATAACAGGCTCTGAAATTGTGGCAATAATCAATAGCTTACCAACCAAAAAGAGTCCAGGACCAGATGGATTCACAGCCGAATTCTACCAGAGGTACAAGGAGGAACTGGTACCATTCCTTCTGAAACTTTTCCAATCAATAGAAAAAGAGGGAATCCTCCCTAACTCATTTTATGAGGCCAGCATCATCCTGATACCAAAGCCTGGCAGAGACACAACCAAAAGAGAATTTTAGACCAATATCCTTGATGAACATTGATGCAAAAATCCTCAATAAAATACTGGCAAACCGAATCCAGCAGCACATCAAAAAGCTTATCCACCATGATCAAGTGGGCTTCATCCCTGGGATGCAAGGCTGGTTCAATATACGCAAACCAATAAATGTAATCCAGCATATAAACAGAACCAAAGACAAAAACCACATGATTATCTCAATAGATGCAGAAAACGCCTTTGACAAAATTCAACAACACTTCATGCTAAAAACTCTCAATAAATTAGGTATTGATGGGACATATCTCAAAATAATAAGAGCTATCTATGACAAACCCACAGCCAATATCATACTGAATGGGCAAAAACTGGAAGCATTCCCTTTGAAAACTGGCACAAGACAAGGATAACCTCTCCCAACACTCCTATTCAACATAGTGTTGGAAGTTCTGGCCAGGGCAATTAGGCAGGAGAAGGAATTAAAGGGTATTCAATTAGGAAAAGAGGAAGTCAAATTGTCCCTGTTTGCAGATGACATGATTGTATATCTAGAAAACCCCATTTTCTCAGCCCAAAATCTCCTTAAGCTGATAAGCAACTTCAGCAAAGTCTCAGATACAAAATCAATGTACAAAAATCACAAGCATTCTTATACACCAATAACAGACAAACAGAGAGCCAAATCATGAGTGAACTCCCATTCACAATTGCTTCAAAGACAATAAAATACCTAGGAATCCAACTTACAAGGGACGCGAAGGACCTCTTCAAGGAGAAGTACAAACCATTGCTCAATGAAATAAAAGAAGATACAAACAAATGGAAGAACATTCCATGCTCATGGGTAGGAAGAATCAATATCGTGAAAATGGCCATACTGCCCAAGGTAATTTATAGATTCAATGCCATCCCCATCAAGCTACCAATGACTTTCTTCACAGAATTGGAAAAAACTACTTTAAAGTTCATATGGAACCAAAAAAGAGCCCACATCCCCACGTCAATCCTAAGCCAAAAGAACAAAGCTGGAGGCATCACACTACCTGACTTCAAACTAGACTACAAGGCTACAGTAACCAAAACAGCATGGTACTGGTACAAAAACAGAGATATAGATCAATGGAACAGAACAGAGCCCTCAGAAATAATGCCGCATATCTACAACTATCTGATCTTTGACAAACCTGAGAAAAACAAGCAATGGGGAAAGGATTCCCTGTTTAATAAATGGTGCTGGGAAAACTGGCTAGCCATATGTAGAAAGCTGAAACTGGATCCCTTCCTTACTCCTTATACAAAAATTAATTCAAGATGGATTAAAGACTTAAACATCAGACCTAAAACCATAAAAACCCTAGAAGAAAACCTAGGCATTACCATTCAGGACATAGGCATGGGCAAGGATTTCATGTCTAAAACACCAAAAGCAATGGCAACAAAAGCCAAAATTGACAAATGGGATCTCATTAAACTAAAGAGCTTCTGCACAGCAAAAGAAACTACCATCAGAGTGAACAGGCAACCTACAAAATGGGAGAAAATTTTTGCAACCTACTCATCTCACAAAGGGCTAATATCCAGAATCCACAATGAACTCAAACAAATTTACAAGAAAAAAACAAACAATCCCATCAAAAAGTGGGCGAAGGACATGAACAGACACTTCTCAAAAGAAGACATTTATGCAGCCAAAAAACACATGAAAAAATGCTCACCATCACTGGCCATCAGAGAAATGCAAATCAAAACCACAATGAGATACCATCTCATACCAGTTAGAATGGCGATCATTAAAAAGTCAGGAAACAACAGGTGCTGGAGAGGATGTGGAGAAATAGGAACACTTTTACACTGTTGGTGGGACTGTAAACTAGTTCAACCATTGTGGAAGTCAGTGTGGCGATTCCTCAGGGATCTAGAACTAGAAATACCATTTGACCCAGCCATCCCATTACTGGGTATATGCCCAAAGGACTATAAATCATGCTGCTATAAAGACGCATGCACACATATGTTTATTGCGGCACTATTCACAATAGCAAAGACTTGGAACCAACCCAAATGTCCAACAATGATAGACTGGATTAAGAAAATGTGGCACATATACACCATGGAATACTATGCAGCCATAAAAAATGATGAGTTCATGTCCTTTGTAGGGACATGGATGAAATTGGAAATCATCATTCTCAGTAAACTATTGCAAGGACAAAAAACCAAACACCACATGTTCCCACTCATAGGTGGGAATTGAACAATGAGAACACATGGACACAGGAAGGGGAACAACACACTCTGGGGACTGTTGTGGGGTGGGGGGAGGGGGGAGGGATAGTATTAGAACATATACCTAATGCTAAATGACGAGTTAATGGGTGCAGCACACCAGCATGGCACATGTATACATATGTAACTAACCTGCATATTGTGCACATGTACCCTAAAACTTAAAGTATAATAATAATAAAATATAATAGAAAAAAAAAGAAGTTACTTAACACCTTGAGCCAGTCATTATGTTCTCTAAGCCTCAGTCTCTCCATTTAGAGAATGGGAATGAAAGCTGAGAAGACTTGAACAAGATATCATGGATAAAACCATAATGCACTTCCCTTCACAGATTTATTCATTCATTCAGTCAGTGAGTGCCTACTCTGTTCATCACAGGAATAACTTTTAATTCCCTCAAAAATAGGAGAATGCATACCTAGCTACCAAACCTATTAAAATATACTTGAAAATTTGTTCCAGTAACTCAGTGTTTAATAATCATATCATTTGAGTAGCCATTTTTTCTTTATCTGTCTCCCTCACCCTCCACCCACTAGTACAAACTTCAGTGTGGAGAAAAATATCTTCTCTCAATGGCCCCACCTCAACCCCCTTCTCTACAAATCTTTTATTGAGTTCAGGGAATCAGATGGAGAAAAGATGTCTTGAGAAAAAACACACATGAAAAAGAATAGATGGCCTTTGATTGATTTATTTCCCAGTTAAAAACCCAAAGGACATCAGTTTATTCAATCCCACAAATGTCTAGCAAGGATCTATTAGACATTCTGCTATGCAATGTGGTAGCTCAGGAAGAGTTGGGTTCTAGTCCTCTTTCTACCACTAATTGGCTCCCTGACACTGGCCAACTCCACTGCCTCTCTAGGCCTCTTCCTCTATAAAGGGGGCCTGGAATGAGTGGCCACTAATGACCCTTCCAGCACTAACATTTTATGATGCTAATGAGTGCAGGGGGAAGAAACTGAAAACCAGCTCCTGCAAAAATGGAATTACTTTGCCATTTCTGTTCTTTATTTGATCACAATTACTGAAATTATGTAGAACATATTTCCATGTTGAGTCTAATCACAGAATTTTCTAGTTTTATTTTTGTTGTTCCCATTTGAATCCAGCTTGTTTTTGTTCATTTTCTTGGGTGGAAACTTTTTGCACCGAGTGCATTTTTATGAGTGTCTTTAAAAGGGAAATTTAGATGTAGTTCCTCTGCCTTGGTATGGAGTTCTCTGAAATTTACAGGAGAAAAAAAAATATCTAGTCACTTTGAATTTAGGTCAAACCAAATTTTAATATCCAAAGAATTTAATCAGAAGGCTGGAGTCTACATTACTGCTTTAAGATACCAGATTTGGCATGTGTTCAATTTTGTTATGAAGGACCTTACCCATCTCAAGGCTAATGCAGTACATATTAGTATTCAAGATCTCAGGAAATCTCATTTTGGTTTAAATTTAACTCTGTATATTCTAGCATTTGTTAAGTAGAGAACTCCCTGCTTCATATGTAGTCTCGTAGATTGCATCAGATTTATTTCCCTAGTTTAGGGTGATTCAGGAGTTACCAAATGGTTGAACACATTCCAAAGCAAATGTGATAACATCTCATGAACTCAGATCTCATTAATTTAGAATTTATGTATCTTGAGGGTGCATAGGCAAATCTAAGCAAATAGTAGTGTAAATGACTTTTAAGGAATGTTTAATGTTCTTCAGAAGACATTGTTTTAAGTGCATTAACAATATCTTTAGCATTAAAGAAGGTGCTAAATACAAATGATTCTAAATTAATCTCCAAAGTTGATAAAGTAGCCCCTCTTTGCACAATACATATTTAGACATTACTTGTGACACTATTTAAAATTATCTTTGAAACATTTTACAATTCTAGCTTTTTCCCTTTGGAGTGTATCGGTTCCTCAATTTAATAGAAATTCGTAATATTGTTGCTATATAGTATACCACATTGAAAAATGGAACGTTTGATCACATTTGATCATAGTGCAAAATTTGTTTTATATGATTCACCGAGGGTAATGATGAAAGCACTTGTGACAAGGATATTTGAGGTGAGTCTGGCTAAACACAGAAGGAAAACGCGTCATGAAAAGATCGATCCAGTTATCTTATTACCAGACAAGTAAGGCCCAGAAAGGCAAACTGATTTGTCTAAAGTTCTGCAGTTCAGCGTGAAGTGAAGCAAGAAAGAGAAAGCGTGGCTTTTGACTCTTACTTCAGCCTTTTCCACTACCCTGGTCTCTACTTCACAGAAGGGGCTGACTTCCATAAAGTAGAGACCAGGGTAGTGGAAAAGGGTCTCTCCAGGCCCATCTTGCACATCTATAAATGATCTTACGCTGACCCAGTGTCTTAACTTCACACACCCCCTGAATCAGTAGTTCAAGGTACACTGAGAGCCCGCCTACAAAATTGGTCAGCTTCCCCCAAAATCAGGTACTCAGCCGCTCCTAAGACTTGTTTTTGTTCCAAAGCATCTGACTCAGTGGGAGCCTCATCTAGACCCAATCACTGTAGGGGGTGGGGGATATATATATCCTGCCACATTACTTAGCCTGACCCTTCTGCCCGTTTCCACCTCCTGCTCGCTGGTAAACCAAGAGAAAGTGGGTATTTTAGGGAAAATGCACTGGGAGGTCACCAAAGCAACCTGGATTGTCTTCAAGTTGAGCTCAAGAGCCACAGGCCGCAGTAACCTGATTCTTGAAATATTCACCACTGATCCTGGAAGCTGTTTTCTTTCTGGTTTGTGATTTTCAATAGGATTCCAAACAACCAAAGAGGGTTGGATTGGGGGCGGGGGGCGGGGGGAAGAAGAACAAGCAAAGAGAGAAAAATTCCTAACCTTCCAAAACCAGACATTTATCACTGTCATTCACACAATGACCTCAAGGGAGGTCACTGCTACTTTACAGCTGGCGACAGTGCTGTGGTGAGCACCAAAAGGCATTTTTGGCCTAACAAGCTAATTAGCTGATGATCATATCCACTTCCTTGTTCCTTCCTAAATTTCTTAAACATGTGTTTCTTGGAATCCACCACTTTTGCCACATAAGCCCAAGTGACAAATCATCACCCCCGAAGAGCCAATGCTCCACAACAAACCACCAGCGTCTGTTGCAACTGCCAGAGGACAGGAGCCAGCGATAAGCCAGACTACCAAATTTGGTAAAAAGGAAAAAAAGAAAAAAGCTGTTTGTGCTGGCTAAGTAGTATATTCCAAAGTGCAATGATGGCACTGGCTTATTTGCAAAATGTTTTGAGATCTGTTACAGTTAGGAAGCTTGGTGAGAGAGAGGACTGTCATCAGGGACAGGCTGGCTGGCTCCCAGGGAACCAGTAGCTTGACGAAGTTACCGCAGTCCACATGCTGGTCCTCAGCTTGGCAGGTCCAGCAATTAGAGTTAGTCTGCACTTATCCAGAGAGGAAAGGTCAGTTTCTTGTGGCCTGGTATTTGATAGCCAAACACATAGTGGGTTGATGTATAAACCAGAGACTGGTCTATTAAGTAACAGTGGAGCTGACATCTTCAGGAGCCAGCATGTCCCCTCTCTCCTCCCATACCTATTTGAAATGCTCTTCCTCAGACACCTGGGGAACCATCCTAAGAATCTGAAGGTGGCTAGCCAGACAGCTTTGACTCAACAAAGGCAGAAAGATGGCCCTAAAAGACCTTTCACCCCAGCCAAAATGTCTCTTTCGTAAACAGGCCTAGATGACCCCCGCATATTTCTGTCTTTCTACAATTCCAAGCTGCCTGCATCCCTTGTGTTCTTAGTCTTTCGTAAAGACCCTGGAGCCAGTAAGTGGTAGAGCCTGTATTTGAAGCCATCTCTGTCTCTCTCAAAAGGCTGTGTACTCAGCCACTTCAAAGATGTCCTTGGTATTTTCAGATAGTCTGAATCTCCTCCGTTGCTTTGATTATTTATTTTCTAACGGAGAAAGTGAAGGGTGGGACTATTGTTAGCCATGGCAGAGAGAGGAGGGAAGAGACAGGACGGAATAAGGTCTGTGCACATTTAGAGACACGGCTCTGTTACTAAATAAGAATCTTGTTCAACACCTTTGTCTCCCTCAATTCTAGAAAGACAGGCCCAGAAACTTCACCTGGTTACCTAAGTCTACATGGCCATGGTTTACAAGAATGAGAGAAAAGTGTCTCTAATCCCTTTGAGTTGATGACATTTGAAACCTTTCTGCACATAACAAGATGCTGATGGATTAACTGCAATGCTGGAAAGGACAGAGAATCTCAAGCTCAGTTTTTTTTTTTCTGTTAAAATAACAAAAATAACAACAACAATGAAAAAAGTCTACCTTTTAGCAGTTAATCTTTCTAAAATGCTTTAATTGATTCTCTACCTCAGTAATTAAGGTCTAATAAGCATGACTGAGCCTTTCTTAGATTATTGAATATGTGAATGATGACTATAGAATATTATAGATGTAGCTAGAGTTGCTCTAAGATTGTTCCAGGCCGGGCGCAGTGGCTCACACCTGTAATCCCAGCACTTTGGGAGGCCGAGGCGGGTGGATCACAAGGTCAGGAGATCAAGACCATCCTGGCTAACACAGTGAAACCCCATCTCTACTAAAAATACAAAAAAATTAGCTGGGCGTGGTGGCGGGTGCCTGTATTCCCAGCTACTCGGGAGGCTGAGGCAGGAGAATGGTGTGAACCCAGGAGGCAGAGCTTGCGGTGAGCCAAGATCGCGTCACTGCACTCCAGCCAGAGCGACAGAGCGAGACTCCATCTCAAAAAAAAAAAAAAAAGATTGTTCCAAACCCTGGGTTTTTTCCCCCGTCCCCTTTCCCTAATGCAAACCTGTTTTCTTGTGACTTTTCCTTAAAGTTAAGGTGAGTTAAATTCTAGCTATGTGACAATTACGAGTAGTTAAGCTCTGTTTAATTAGAATTTTGCAAGCACAAGGTCATAGAAAATAATAATTTATAGCTTGGGGGACTGTAATGATCATATAATCCAAAAACCTCATTTCATAAATGAAAAAATGAACACGAACACCAAGACAGAAGTGATTTACTTAAGGCCACTCAATCAATTAGTAACAGAGTAAATATGTAAATCACATCTAACTACAGGTTGAATTTTTTTTTTTATCCAGTGGGAATGAAATTAACAAATGACCTGGAAAGTTGTCCTATTGGTGTGGAGGAAGGACATGGTCATGTCCTCATGGCCCTCTATGTCTGTATGAAGACTTCAAATGCTAAGAGGTTTCAAATACCACCAACTCAAAAGAGATTAGAGACACCTTTACCCACAAAAACCATGTCTTTCAGGCCTTAGGCAACAAGGTGAAGTTTTTGGGCCCCTCTTTCTAGAACTGAGGGAAATGAAGATGTTGAACAAGATCCTTGTTTAGTAACAGAGTCTTGTCTATTCTGAGCACAGCTCGAGACCCTCTGTAGAGAGAACGGGGAGTAATGGAGGAAAAGATTCAACCTCACTGGTGGTCAGAGCTCCAGGAGTGAGGCTGGGCACAGAGCAATGACTGAGGTAGAGGGAAACTGGTCTCAGGATCTCATCTGGGGCTGGGCTGTGAAGCAAGGTTTGAAGCATCACAGCTAAAATAACCAGTGAAGATTAAGAAGATCCGAGGAGAAAAAGCCCAAAAGATGTCCAGAGATGATGGGTTGCAGGAAGAGGAAGCCTTCCGAGGGCTGCCTGAGGATGAGCTCGTGGTGGATGCCAGGATGGCTGTCCTGCAGAGTCCGACAGGTGGAGGGGGAAGCCCTAGCTTGAGTTACCTCCTCTCATTCTTCCCACCCCACCCCTTCTTCCCCCACCCCGACCCCATCAGACTCAGCAGGATCTCCGTCCTTTGGGAAATAGTTTTAAATAGGCATGGGAAGAATTTTCCACAACACAGCTTCTGGCTCCACACATTTATTCTGTCTTCCTTCCCTTCCATTACTCTCATACTCCCCATGCCAGGTGCCCTAGGACATGGTGAAAATGATAGATGACCTTTGTCCTGCACCTTTGTACCACAATAGGGGACAAGTCCACCTAGCGGCTAGTAGGAGTATCCCTGCCATTACTGCCCCAGGACAGCAATCCCATTACAGGGTATATACCCAAAGGATTACAAATCATTCTACTATAAGGACACATGCACACGTATGTTTATTGCAGCACTATTCACAATAGCAAAAACTTGGAACCAACCCAAATGCCCATCAAAGAAAATGTAGCACATATACACCATGGAATACTATGTACCATAAAAAAGGATGAGTTCATGTCCTTTGCAGGGACATGGATGAAGCTGGAAGCCATCACTCTCAGCAAACTAACACAAGAACGGAAAACCAAACACTGCATGTTCTCACTCATAAGTGGGAGTTGAACTATGAGAATACATGGACACAGAGAGGGGAATATCACACACTGGGGCCTGTCGGGAGGTGGGGGGCTAGGGGAGAGATAGCATTAGGAGAAATACCTAATATAGATGATGGGTGGATGGGTGCAGAAACCACCATGCCGTGTGTATACCTATGGAACAAACCTGCACGTTTTGCACATGTATCCCAGAATTTAAAATATAATAAAAAATTTTTTAAAACCCATACATAAAAATGATGACAAACAACCCTAACATACTCCAAGAAACCTGAACTCATGTATGCCCAACTCTATTGACCTTTAGCCAGATCCCCAAAATGCCCAAGGCTGCTTCAAGGTCACCTAACTGGAAGGAAGGTGTGATGGAGGAAAGGTCGGGAGAAAAAGTGATCTTAACTGGTTGTGTTAAAATGGCTTACTTTTCCAAATTTAACAAAGACATATGAGCACTAAGTCCCCTCCTGTACAAGGGGTGAGGGCAGGGGGAGTGAGAGGGAGATTCGAAATCTTCAGTCTCATCAGCTTCACAGTAAATCCAGGCCTTAAATCTGGAAATGGCAGACCCATTGATAAAGCTGAATACGTGCTCCCCCATTCCTCAGCAGGCTGGGTCACCTGACATCTGCACCATGGAGCAGATCTTCTTAAGTTTGTAGCCAGGGGATGGCAGTGGGGGTGGTCCCAGATAATCCTTAAAATGAATCCATATGTGGCTGGATTTGTCTGATGAAGTGGAGGAGGGTGAGGAACCAAGACCAGCAAATGTCTATATCCAGGGGTTGATTAGCATCATTGGGGAGGAGAGGAAAGAGTCTCATGTCGGTGTGGGAAGCTGGGAGAGGAGGGAGGAAAGTGTGGTGTTGCATACACATGTTCACACACACACATAAACACACACACGTATACACATGCATACACACACACACCAACCAGTTCCAAACTCAGGTCTGGGCACTGTGGAGACGGGCTACAATGTGAAGCCGGAGCAGAGGATTTCTAAAGGACCTAGTAAGTCATGGGCACTCATGTCTTCACCCAGTCGAGCCCCAGTGGGCTAAGTGTGTGACAAAGTGGGGTAGTGGCCCCTCCATGTCTGAAGAGAATACAGCATGGCTCTGGCAGGGTGAAGTCTGGCAGCAGTCAGAGGACATGGCCCTGAACATAAACCATGGTATTTCTGCAGGAGGTGATGGAGCAGGGGCAGGGAGAGGCAGCCCAGGAGGTCGTGCAGGCAGAAGACATCATCGGCGGGGCAGGGGTGGGGGAGCAAGAGTGAGAGAGGACACCACACAGTGACCTCGACTGGCACAGGTGACACATCTTTCCAGGACTCCCAGAATGGCTGGTGGGGCTCTATGGAGGACCGAGGCCATGTGTGAACAGATGGGAAAACTTAGTGAAGAACCTATTGTTGCCATTGAGGCCAGAGAGATTCAAGGTCCATTTCATGGACATCAGCATCTCAGCCTGCTTTGTAAGAACCCCATCTGAGCCATATTATTGATCTGAGTTTGAAGGCTAAAGAAGGATATGATGACCCTCTCCAGGCCCAACATTTAGGGGTGAAAGGGTCAGATTAGAATGAGATTCTACTTATTCATTTATTCCTTCACTCATTAAATATTTATTGAGCTTCCACTATGTGCCAGTCACTGTTGTGGGTGAAATAGAGAGTTCCAGCTGTTAGACTGCCAAGGGAATCAGCAATCGCCCAGTAAGGAATTGGATTGCTCCATCTCACTTGCAGCTGGTGTGCAAGCTGTGTCAGGAGGCAGCACCACTTAATGGTAAAGATTCTACACTCTGGAGCCAAACTGACATAGATTTAAACTCACAGCGCCCCCTTACCAGCTGTGAGAACTTAGGGAATCCACTTAGTCTTGCTGAGCCTCTGGTGTTGTGGTCCTTACCTGTAAAATGGGAATAATAACAAGACATACTTCTTAGGTAAGCATGAGGATTAGAATGTAGAATCCACATAAGTGTTTAGCACCATTCCTGGTGCACACAAGGGCTTGGTAAGTGGGAGCTATTCATGTCCTATTCACATTATCATTCTCTCATGCTCCCCATTTGAAAGTTATGCTGCAGTGCAGAGCTGTGAGCCAGACCAGCACACATATGATTGAAGGAAAGAAGACATAGCCTTCAGCAAGCATCAGCAGGAGACAGTGCTGTGGCCTCAGTGGCACCAGAGCCTGTTGACAGCAGGTGTGGGGATGTGGCAACCGGCTCCTGCACTGTAGAGAAGGAAATTGACAAATGCCACGAAGGAGCTAGAGAGCTGCACACATGAGCATGCAGATAATACCTTCTGGAGACTCTTGGCAAAACTGGAGGAGGGGGCATTTGGAGGGTGGCTTGGGTTTCCTGTGGTCACAGATGGGGCCAGAACCAAGAGCTGAGCTTTGTTGGCTTGTGTTTCTCCCTCTAGGTTGGAAGGTGGGAAACTGTGGCCTATCACAGAAGTACCCTCTTCTTATTAGTCCTGGGTAAGGAGGTGGCACTGACCTGGTCCTGAAGGATGAATAGGAGTTTGTCAGGTAGGACACCAAACTGTTTAGGGAGCCACCACAGTCCTGCAGGAGAAGGAGGAGGGAAGGGAATGGGAATGAAGTTGGAAAGTTAAATTGGAGCCGAATTGGGAAAAGCCTCCTATGCCAAACTCTACTCAATTTTGCAGGTTTGGGGCGGGAGGGGGCACTGGAATTTTATAAGCCAGAAATGGAAAGCAGATAGAGCAGTCAGGTATGTGTCTTACTAAGGGTTCCCCATGGCAGCATGGAAAGTGGATTTTGTATGTGTTAGGGGTGGGAATTAGGGTATGAGTAGTAATCAGAAAAAAGTCAAAGTTATCAACACTTTTGTGTACTGAGTGTTGCCAGCTGGCACATGAGGATGTGGTTTTTTCTTCTCTCTCCGCAGGTTTGCTAACCTCCTTTCTTTCTCCTCCTGCAGGGAGCTCCTGGTTCCTCTGATTCCTCCTCCTAAGAACGCATAGACCAGACTGGTTTCTAGGTTTCCTAGAAGTCCAGAACAAGGCCACCCCTGAAACAGCTGTGTCTCAGAGAATAAAAAATCATTCAAACTAAATAGAAGACAAGAACCATTCATTACCCAGAACCGTTCTAATACCCTAGATATCAGAGTCAGCTAGGTGTGAGCACCTGGGCCTAAGCCACGTATATAGGGGTAGAATGAGTAAGACACACTGATCTGAGAACCTGAGAAATGTTCCTCTATGCCCAACTTGATTCTCTTTATCAAAATGATTTTTCAATTGGGAGAGAAACAAGAAGAAACTACAACCTGGGCTCTTTGACTCTTGCTTTTTATATGACCAAAAGTGTCAGAAAGACATGGGGCGGGGTGAGCTGGGAGATGAATGCTTTTTGTTGGATGCACAGACCCTGAAGCTTCCCCACACCTGGCTCTGTAGAGCCTGCACCCCCAGCCAGTCCCACTCCACAGGCTTCTGCCTCCTCGCTGAGCCAGGCCATACCATGCTCCTTCTTGCTTCCCAGCTTGCCCAACACCCTCAGCCATACCCGAAATACCCTTCTTCCTCTGTCCTCCTCATCCCATCCATCCCTCAGGTCTGGATCACTCTTTACATCTTCCATTGGTTTCTCCTAATCAGCCCAGTCCTTACCAAAAATAACCACAGCAGTGAGGACAGTTATCCATGCTGAGCCCTGCCAGCTAGACACTGAGAGTGCTTCGCTCAGTGGTGCACTCATTCAACACACTGTCTGGATGCCTACCAGGGGTGTGGCTGTGCACACAACAGACGGGTCCCTAACTTTGTGGTATCCTACAGTGCTTCCTGTCCTCACATGGGCCCTGGAGGCAGGCTGCCCTGCTCATTCCAGACACAAAATTCAGGTGCAGAGGGCCAGAGGACCATCTCCTGTGCTGTACTGATAACGGCGGAGCAACCTTTAGATGCTGGTCAGTGTGACACACACTGCCAAACACTAAGACCCAGGGACATCTCCTACTGTGTGTGTAGCTAGCATCATGTCAGACCTGAAGCACCTCCCATATTTCCTTATTGTTTGGTGTGGGATGGATTTAGCTCCTTAACTAAATCGTTAACTAGGTCGTTCAAGGCTGGGCCCAATCTTGGGTGTCATTATTTCCTGTAACACCTAGAGCCATGCTGAGTCTAAAATACTTGGAGAGAGGGGCAAGGCAAGTCTTATCTGCCTTCCAAGCTCCTGTTTGTTTTGCCCATAAATTCAGCCACAGAGGGAGGGCCAGGGGATCTCCTGGATACTGCAAAACCTGCAGGCTGCCCTGCTTGTCTCCAGCCCCCACTGTCTTCTAACCCTTTAAAGCCCTTCTAACACAGTGGGGGCACGGCTAGTTCAGTTGCTACCCAGAATCTTCTAAACGTACTATGTAATCATGCATGTATTCTAAACATATTGTAGCATTCTTTTTTCTTCTCTCAAGTAAATAATAACAAGTCAATCATATAGCACTGATCTTGTGCCAGGCATTGCTCTAAGACAGGGGTTTTCAGTTGGGCAGCATCAACATCACCTGCAGACCTGTTAGAAACACCAACTAAAGGGCGTTCTCTGGGGCAGGGCCCTGCAATCTGTGTTTTCACCAGCCCTCCAGGTGATTCTGTGAGCACCAAAGTTAAGAATCCACTGCTCTAAAGGCCTTTCATGTATTCACTTGTTTCACTCTCATTCCAACCCTATGAAGTAAGTTCTCATGTGAAATTCTATTAATACTTTGTAGCTGGGGGAACTAAAGTACAGAGGTTTGTCCACTGCTCAAACTAGGATTCAAACCTGGACAGATGTACCTCAAATCCCTCAGTGGGGGCAAGAGGGCTTAACCTCAGGAAGTCAGGGGACCTCACATTGCATCTCTCTCACCCCTGGAAAAATATCTAGAGACAAGAATCTGGTGGGCACAGGACAGGCCTCTGGGAGTCTAGTTGGGCAAGGACATGCCTGGCTTCCCAGAGGTCATGTGAGTCTCTGAACGGTGGTTGACCTCAAGGCAGGAAAGAACAATTTGACTAAGTGTCTGAAGGTGGTGCTGTGGAAAGAATAAAGCACTTTTCAAATCTTCCTCTGTCAGTCCCAGGTTGTTTGATAATGTGCTTAGCTCAGGATCTGACACAGTGATAGGGAGCTTGGTAGGACGCTGCCGGGGCCCCTGCCACAGAAAAGGTGGGGTTTATCTCAGACCAGGGGCCTCAGTTGTCCCATCACTGTAGAGCTATTTAATTTAAAGGAAAGTGGCTGAGAGGGCAGAAAGAGCATCCGGGAAACACCACCGCAAGGCTCTCAGGCCCAGCTGGGATTCTCCATCTGGGGTCCTTGGGGTGGAGTCGAGGATGGCCACCATAAAATGGTAACACATTCCTGCAGCTGATACCATGCAATTTTCTTTAAATGTATGCTTAAAGATTTTACTAGCTTTGTGGATTGGGGTAGAGAAGAGGAGAGAAGAGGCAGGGAGATTAAAAAAAAGAAAAAAACAAAGACAGACAGAAATAATAAAGATATGAAACTGATTGTGGTAAACTAAGTAGAGCAGGTATAAAGAGCTTTCATCTTGCTTCTTCTGTGCTGGTCCATCTCCTCTTCTCTAAGGAAAGGGAATTAACATTGCTGAGAACCTACAATGTGCTGGGTGCTCTCCACATACTCCCTTGCTCAGTCGACATTACCACCTCCAAGGCACGTATTATCATTGTACCCAATTTGCAGAAGATAGAAGAAACAAAACTAGTTCTCAAATGTCTTTCTGTTTATTGCCAACCCAACACTTTCAGCTATATCACATTATCTTGAAGGTGTCTTGATTCTTTTGGCTGCAAAACAAGTCCGTAGATATAACAATAAAGGATATTTTTAAAATTTATGAAATGCCTCTTTCATTCTTCCCTTGTCCCTGCACTTCGTTCCTGTACTTTGTTCTCTGTTCTCATCTCATTGACACACGGACTTTTCAAATTAGTCAGTCCAGATGGGAATATTCATTTATTTATAAGGACATGAAATGGCGTTGTTTGTTTGGGGTGGGGAGAGGAAAGGATGCAAGGGCAGGTTCTCTGGCCCTGTCAAAAACTCACCACAATGATCAACCCTTACCTAAACCATGAGGTCATATATTCACTCACTGAAGGAATAGTTACGAATTTTCAAATTTTTGAAATAAATCCTGAAGTTCAACATGGTAGTTTAGGCCTACTTTTACCTCTCCTTCCTCCCCAATTCCAATGAAATAACAATAAATAAATGCAAAAGAATAAATTCATAACCAACATGAAAGGATCCAGCCGCAATCCAGAAAATTTCACAAATACCTGGACCAAAAGAAGATGGGATCATATCGATAGATAAAGCTGAGTGGAAAAATCTACATCCCAGAACCACAGGCAGGGGGAGAACTGGCCTGGAGGTAGAGCCGCCCTTCCCAGCAAAGCCCTGCAGAGGCTCCCAGATCAGAGCCTTGGGGCCACAAGCAGGGATGGACTGTGGGGAGATTAATGAAAGGCCTTTCCAAGTTTCATAACTGCCCGCCCTCCTCCTCAGAGAGCAACCGGCGGCCATGGCATTGGTCTGTGTGAAAAAAAAAGAGTATCCATTTTGTCTTGGCTTTGGGAACATTCTTCCCCTCACTGTTCCCTGTTCAATGATATGGATTTGGTCATACTACTTGGTTTGGCAGCATATAAAATTTTCATAAACAGAATACTTCACATTCATGTATTGCTTTTCTGTTTTCCAAATTAGCCTACAGACAAAACTTGGGGGACCTAGAATATAAATTGTATACACCAGAAGTAAAGGCAGAAGGAAATGTTACAGCTCAGAAAAGGGAGGTGGGAAGGTGGTGAGGGCCGGGGAGTGCGGGTGTGCTGTTGTCGGATATTCCAGCGCCTGCCTGTGTCAGGACGGTTCCAGGCCCAGTGAGGTATGGAGGAACCAAACAGATGTTCTCAGCCCTAGCAGCACCTCCATTCCCATCACAAGCCAATAGATTCCTCCTAACAGTTAACAAATCCCAAAGTGAAGATTTAAGTAGGTTGTTTAATACCTATAAAAGTAGCCACAAGAATGAATGAGGATAATAGCAGTGTGTACAAAAATCCATGGAAGACATGAGACAGTGTAAAGTTGCTAAAAATCCCTGTCATAGTAGGGGGAGTGGATACAGTTTAAATAGGACAATTTCAAGAAATAGATTATAAAGGAATTATCTAAGGTTGTGGTGGGAATTACCAGAAGTAAAAAGACATGGTCAAGGAGTGTACATCCAGGGCATGAGCTCAGAGCTGGGGCAGAGAGACATACTCTCCAACAGCCCTTGCCACATTTTGTTCATGTGTATGCATTACTGTTATAAATAAATTAAGGTAAATGATTAAAAAGCAACTTCACCTACCCCAGGAGGAATGTGAGGTGGATATTATCATTCCCATTCTCATTTTATATGTGAAGAAATAGTAGGCCGGGCGCGGTGGCTCATGCCTATAATCCCAGCACTTTGGGAGGCCGAGGTGGGCGGATCACCTGAGGTTGGGAATTCAAGACCAACCTGACCAACATGGAGAAACCCCGTCTCTACTAAAAATACAAAATTAGCTGGGTGTGGTGGCACATGCCTGCAATACCAGCTACTTAGGAGGCTGAGGCAGGAGAATCACTTGAACCCAGGAGACGGAGGTTGCGATGAGCCGAGATCATGCCATTGCACTCCAGCCTGGGCAACAAGAGTGAAACTCCATCTCAAAAGAGAGAGAAAAGAAAGAAAGAAATAGTAGCCCAGCCCTGTTGTGTGATTAGAAACCAAGTCTCCTGATCATTGGCTTCAAATTCCGCCTGCACAACCCAAAACCTTCTGCTTTTGGATGCAGACTGACTAGGGTTGGAATGCTCAAGTGACTGCTGTGAACCTTGAGCAGCTCACTGTTCATCTTTGAAAATAGGGAGAATACAACTACTACCCCTCCCTGGGTTACGCTAATCACATAGCACAGGGCCTGGTACAAAACAGGCCCTCAAAAATGTCAGTTTCAGCCAGGCGTAGTGGCTCATGCCTATAATTCCAGCATGTTGAGAAGCCAAGGTGGCTTGAGCCCAGGAATTCGAGACCAGCCTAGACAACCTGGAGAAATCCCATCTCTACTAAAAGTAGAAAAATTAGCTGGGCATAGTGGCACAGGCCTGTAGTCCCAGCTACTTGGGAGGCTGAAGTGGGTGGATGGTTTGAGTCTGGGTGATCAAGGCTGCAGTAATCAGAGATCTTGCTACTGCACTCCAGACTGGGAAACAGAGCGAGACCCTGTCTCAAAAAAACAAAACAAAAAACAAACAAACAAAAACTGTCAGTTTCCTCTCTTTATGTTTAGTTTTAAACCCATCCAAAATTTGGAACATTAATATCATTTGTTGATCAGGTTGTCTTTCTTCTCATTTCATGTGATGTATCACGAATTCCGACTAAATTTAAAGCAATTCATTCTCGGCCATATCAAAGGATTTGTCACAACTTAGCGAGGTAGAAAATGTCAAGTTTAAAACATGTGGCAGGAAGATGTGACTTCATGGACACACACAATCAATGGTCCAAGTAGGTGAGTGTTTGTGGTTGTGGGGTGAGGGGTACTGGGAAGGGTTTTACTTTCAGTTCCCTGAATACCTGTTTCCCACTCACCACACTGAGAGGTCACCCTTAGAGTCACTCCTTTGCACCTGGAAGAATTGTGGATCTCCCTGGTTCCCTGTGAAAAAGTCTAAGTGTCCCCAGGCATAGAAAAAGCAGCTGTACAGCTTAGAGAACAGTATACTGGGACTAGACCACTGGAGAACGGCCTGGGAACAGATAGGGGAGGAGAAAGAGGGAGGAAAACAGAGAAGCACTGAAGGAGAAGGCACCAGGGACAAGGGACAATTCCCCCAGATCCACGGCTTTCTTCTGCTTGTTATAACCCATGAGAAGCAGAACATCCTCCCAAAGACACTGCATCATTGGCACACAGTATATGCTAGGTTGGCACTCTACTAATGCTTCACGGCATTTGCACATTTAATTATCACAACAATCCCATCAGGTTGTCACTATTATTCTTCCCATTTTACAGCTTAAGAAACTGAGACACAGAGAGGCTAAGTGTCATATCCAAGTCACAGGGCTGTGTGATAGAGCCTGGAAATGAGCCCAAGAAGCTTGACTCCAATGTCAAACTCTGCACCACCACATTAGAAACACACTCCCCACGCAGAAACACACACACACACACACACACACACACACACACACACACTGTGGGAGGACTCTCAGGGAACTCCTGCTTTCACAGACTGCTAGGTGCCAAGTTCTGCTTTTTAGAGCCAGTGAGATAAGGAGAACTTGCTCTATTTCATGTAAGAAAGCTTATCTGTTACTAACATAGTAGATTTATCCTCTGTCAATCCAGAAGAAAGAACTAGACCTGAAGGGTGGAGCTTGTAGGAAGAAGACAGTAGTTCAACATAAGCAGTATAAAAAGAAGGGCTGCTGTGATAGGTAATGAGCTACCAGTCAGTGGACGTGTTTTTGGTTTGGCAGCTGCAGTCTAGGAATGAGCAGATGGTCTACATCCTGGGGACGAGATTGGAAGAGATGAGAACCAAAGCCCCTCCCAGCCCAGGCAGTCAATCTGAACACACTTCTCCAGACCTGCTGTTGCAAAGCAGTGTGCCGAATCAACAGGAGATGCATGTTAAATAAAACCCGACCCAGCCTCTCAAAAGTTTACAGTGAGATTCTCAGGTTTTCCAATATCATCTTCATAGAGTTCCTGGAGGAATTTAAGAAAGTACAGTGAAGATTCATTCCTTTCATCTCCTAAGGGTAAGTCCGTTCTGACCTGCCCAATAACCCTTTCTCTTCTCTGTCTGCTTCCGGAGAGCACTGTGAGAAGTCAGTCTTCTTTAAAAAAAAAAAAAAAAAAAAGTAAGAAAGAAAAAAAGAAAGACACATATATGATATGTTCTACATCTTTGCCTCTGAAGAGGAAATGCTCTGTGTTACTGTAAATAATAATTTGCAGGTCAGTGAAGGTTGTTAAATGCCCCTGATACCTTTTCTCACTTCCCTCCAGACTCTCGTAATTACTATTGCTCTGAACCCAGCGGGCAAGATGCACATTTCTCTGTCCAGGAAATGACAGCAGCAGTGTGGTACCCTCTTCTCACTTCGGGGAAAGACTGTGTATCTGCATATTGAGCCTGTCCAGAGTCCGTGTCAGAGCCGGGTATGTGCCTGCCTGGAAATAGCTGCATGGAAATGCAGGAAGTGGTTGCCCAAAAGACCTGAGGCTGCAGGTCATAGCCCCTGGGTTCTAAAGCTGGCTCTACCACAAGCTGCGTGACCTCAGACAAGTCACAAAATCTTCTGGGACTCTGTTTCTTCATCCGTAAAGCCAAGAACACAGCACTTACCATGACTCATAAATACTAATATATAATGAGAACTCATTCTTTTATTCAATATCTCATTCAAACACATATGAATCATCACTAAGGACCAGGCACTGTTTTAGTCCCCGGGGGTGCAGTAGTAAACAAAACAGCGAAAGTCTCCCTCTCCCTGGAGTTCCACTGGGAGAAGCAGATAAATAAATGAATAAACAAAACATATGGGATTTCTAAGGGCTTTGGCAAAAAGCAAAGCCTAGAAGGGTTAGGAGGAGTGCTGAGGAAAAAAAAGGGGTGTCTCTAAGAGGGTGCCATTGAGATATAGGCTCAAAGGAGGTAAGAAGGTGAGCTGAGAGATCACTGGGGAAAGAGTAATCCAGGTAGTGGAGTAGCCAGTGCAAAGGCCCTGAGGCCAGAGTGGCTGAAGCAGAGCAACTGGGAGGGATGCAGACTGGATTCAGAAGGACGTGGAATTGAATAGGGTAGGCCTTGCAAGGCTTTGGGCTTCTCTGAGACAGGAGCCACTGGAGAGTGTTGAGCAGAGGAGTGACATAACCTGCCTGGGGTTTTAAAAGAATCTCTCCAGCTTCTGTGTTTAAAAAAAGAGAATCAAATAACATATTTCCCAAAGTGTTTTGAAAAACACAAAAGTACAACATGAAAATGAAGCACAGTAAAAACTCAGTCCTCCAAGCTCCTCAGAAAAAAGTTGTTCTGGAGACCAGGTGTGGTAGATTAAATACAGCCACAAGTTCGTTGTCACTTTCCCCACTGAGAGCTCAAATTTATTTCCCCTCCCTTCACCTGGTTTGTCCTGCAGCTGCTTATCAAATATGGCCAGAGTATTGCTGTGCCAAATCCAGGCCCAGCCTTTTAGGGGACTGGCAATTTCCTCTCTTTTCCGCTTGGAATTCTCACTCTTGGGACTGCTCTTCTCAGAACCCAGCTGCTATCCATGGAGAGGCCATGTGCAGGTACTCTGGGTGCAGCCCCAGGAGGGCTCCCAGACAACAGTCACCATCAACCACCAGCCATGTGAGGAAACGCTTTCAAGATGTTCCAGTTCAATTAAGCCCCCAGATGACTTTAGCCTCATCCAACATTCTGTGGGGCAGAAGAATCTCCCAGCTGAGCCCATTTAACCCATAGCATCATGAGACAGTAAAATATTTGTTGTTATAAGCCACAATATTTTGGAGTGCTTTGTTATGCAGCAATAGTTAACCAAAACTTCAGGGTTTTCTAGAGTTCAGAGTCTACCCAGTAAGGTATCAAAACTTGAAAAGGAAAAATATTAACTATAATAAATGGAAAACATTCTAAAACGGAATATACAACTTCCTTCCTTCCTAAACAGAGTTTACCCACATTGATTAATCTTTCCTTGGTGATTCAAATGTATCCATGTGAACATCATCATATGCTTGTCTTGTTTTTAATGATGCAAAGATTCCCTAAGGGTCTATTGAAATGATTGGAGGTTTTTTCCTTATACTTACTGGCCCTGCACCTGTTTTCTTCCTTAGGTATTTTTAAAATGATTCCTCCTCCTTCATTTTTCTGTTTGTTCCTGTTTATGTCAGCTTCTCCTCATGCCTTTTCTAATTTGTCATATACATTTTGAGTGTAAGAAACTTTTTTTTTTTTGAGACGGAGTCTCGCTCTGTCGCCCAGGCTGGAGTGCAGTGGCGCTATCTCGGCTCACTGCAAGCTCCGCCTCCCGGGTTCACTCCAGTCTCCTGCCTCAGCCTCCCAAGTAGCTGGGACTACAGTTGCCCGCCACCACGGCTGGCTAATTTTTTGTATTTTTAGTAGAGACGGGGTTTCACCTTGTTAGCCAGGATGGTCTTGATCTCCTGACCTCGTGATCCGCCCGCCTTGGCCTCCCAAAGTGCTGGGATTACAGGAGTGAGCCACCGTGCCTGGCCGAGTGGAAGAAACTTCTTAGAGTAATTTGAAAAGTATGAATAAACAGGCTTAGAGAAAGGGCCTAATTCTACAAAAGGGCATGACTTCATGTTTGTGGATTTTGTGACAGCAGTTTTGCTTATAATCTAGTTCTTCCCAATATTCCGTATGAATAGGGCTGCTGGATAACTGAGTTTAGGATGGGGGAGAAGTTTTTGTTATTCCTGTAAATGTATTTAGATATTAGTTCGTAGAATCACAGAGCTGGAACAAACCTTCCAGAGATGTTTACATTCCACTCCCTCAATTTACGGATGAGACCCACAATATTTGTTTGACTTGTACAAAGTGAAAGAGTTCATACCAGCAGAAGCAGGATTAGAGCCCAGGCCTCTACGTCACAGGGCAGTGTTCTTCTACCAGGTCCTTCTGAGCACAATTTGTCCTGTGATCTGTAAATCCCGAGTGAGGCGAGGAAGCCCAAGAAGTACATTCCTACGAGAGCTCATGAAGCATAGGAGAAAGCTCTGCTCATCTGTGCCACTTACCAGCCACATGATATTGGGTAAGCTGCTCTGGCTCTCTCAGCCTAATTTGTTCAGGATAGTGAGTTCCAATATCCAGGACTGTTATGAAAAATAAATAACACAGGCCAAGTACGAAGCGTGGTGTGTGGCACTCAATTATTATTCATTTAATGATTGTCATTTTTCTGTTGTGCCTTCTATTAGTCTTAGCCCCTTAGAGCAGACAAAGTGTGAGGCTCCTTGGATTAAAGACTATACCAGCCTCTCCTTCTCCCCATAACCTTAACTACTTGATAGGAATAGTCCAGTCCCTAGACCCTTCCTTCTGTGGGTGGCATTGCCAAGGTTGTCTGGTGAAGGGTTCCACTAAGGTATGCGTAACTTGCGGAGGTAGAAGAGGAGCTGTTGGGAGAGCCCAGCCCAAACAGAATCCAGGTTAGCTGATTCGCGTTTTGTTGTTATTTTTGTTGTTGTTGTTGTTGTTGCTTGAGACAGAGTCTCGCTCTGTCACCCAGGCTAGAGAGCAGTGACGTGATCTTGGCCCACTGCAACCTCCGCCTCCCAGGTTCAAGCCATTCTCCTGCCTCAGCCGCCCGAGAAGCTGGGACTACAGGCATTTGCCACCATGCCCAGCTAATTTTTGGTATTTTTAGTAGAGACGGGGTTTCACCATGTTGGCCAGGCTGGCCTCGAACTCCTGACCTCAAGTGATCCACCCACCTCAGCCTCCCAAAGTGCTGGGATTACAGGCATGACCACCATGCCCGGCCTGATTCGTGTTTTGGGGTCCTACTGCTGGATTAGGTCTTGTCCCAGGATGGAGAAGAATGGTGGATCCCCAAACAGCAAATGTTTGAAGAAGGGACACAACCTTGAAGCCAGCAATGAGATGCAAATGCCTCCCTTCCTGCACTCCTCCTCCCACCGTCAGTGCTGTGAAGACTGTGAGGCCCCCAGTACTTGTTATGGAGAGGTTTTAGTCAGTGCTCAGAGGAAAGGGGTGGGGGAGAAGAAGGCCAGTAAATCAATAACAGATCTTTCTTTCCATCAGCTGGTTTAAAGTATTGAGCCAATGTCAACCAATCTAGAATTTCTAAGTTGTAAATTTAAAAATTGAATAGTAAGATTTTTATCTGAGCTGCTTCATGAAAGCCACTATTCAGAGTCCAGTTTATCACAGTCCTCACGTAGTCTGAGCTAAGGTCTGGGGTCATGCCAGTCTAGGGAATTCAGTGAGAAAGTTTTCATTTCTACCTGGCTCAGGCTGTGGGGCTTGGATATGGCACTTCTACTGGATCTTTGTGATTCTCCTCCAACTTGTTTCCCTCAACAGATTTCCTGGACTGTGAACTGATCATGCAGAAATATTCAGAGCAATGAAGGACACTGCAGGGCCCTGTACAACCTCATCATCCAGGATTAAAGAGTCAGTCGATATCACATATTCAGCACTATACTAGGCACTGTGGAAAATAACAATGATGTCAGCAACAACAATAATAGTAATGACAATGAATGTTTATTGAGCACCTACTGTATGCCAGGCACTCAACTAGATACTTTTCCTAGATTATTTCTGAGTCTTCCAAAAATTGGATAAAGTGGTTGTCATTCCCTCTGTTTTATACACAAATAAATGAAGACTTAAAGAAGTTAGATAAGTTCTCAAAGTTCTACAAGTAGTGAGAATAAGGACCTATATATGATAATTTCCTTGTCCTTGAAGAGTTTTAGGAAACACCATCTCCCATCTGTTATCCAAGAATATTCTCTTGCTTCTAGTCTCACATCAACATTCATTCAGTCAATAAGTTTTTATATAGCGCTTAGTATGTGTATCTGCAAATACCACCTTGACAACAGAGAGAAAATACACAGAACAATTATTCACTCAAAGCTGGGAAATGTAATGAAAGGTCAGAGACAGAAATCAGTGTGGGCTGGAGAAGTAGGGAAAGGTTTTATGGAGGAGTGGGACTGGGGTTGGGTCTTGCAGGATAAAAGAATTATTCAAAGAGCATTCCTGGCCAGGCGAACAGGATAGGCAATGGCACTGGGGCATGAATAAGCATGACAGGGGGAAGTACATTGGGAGGACACAGAAATGTCATAAGTGGAAGAAAGAAACTATTCAGATGCCCTATGGGGATTGGACAAGAGGATGGCATTCATCTAGGAATTTATTTGGGCTATTGCAAATGATAATCCAACGCTTCAAGTTTCTTATTACCTGAAGATATGGAGTACATAAAAATGATGAATGAAAACAAACAATATTATTTTGCAGTAACATTTAAATTACTAACTCTTCTATAAGAGAAGCAGTCTACCAAGTTAAGGAGTGGTTAGGAAGATTAGGAAAGTGTTTCTGTCCCTCACTGAGAATTAAACTTTGTTTGTTTGTTTGTTTGTTTGTTTGAGATGCAGTCTTGCTCTGTCTCTCAGGCTGGAGTGCAGTGGCGCGATCTCGGCTCACTGCAAGCTCCGCCTCCCGGGTTCACGCCATTCTCCTGCCTCAGCCTCCCGAGTAGCTGGGACTACAGGCGCCTGCCACCATGCCCATCTAATTTTTTTTGTATTTTTAGTAGAGAGGGGGTTTCACCGTGTTAGCCAGGATGGTCTTGATCTCCTGACCTCGTGATCTGCCCACCTCAGCCTCCCAAATTCCTGGGATTACAGGCGTGAGCCACCGCGCCAGGCCAAGAATTAAACTTTGTCCTCCAAAGATTCGTGTGTGTGTGTGTGTGTGTGTGTGTGTGTGTGTATGTGTGTGTGTGTATTTGTTCTAAAAATACCCCCAGAAAACTAGAAAAATAAGAAAGTGTAACTCCTCCTCACCCTGATGTAAAAGTCTCAGTGGGGACCACATTTATTGCGTCCATACCCCTCGTGGATTAGTCTAAAAGTCTTGGAATGTCAAAGACTACCATGGCTGCTATCCTACTTCCCTCCAGTAACCTCTCAAGGGGGCAGATGATTCCACATTGAATAAATCCAATTTAGGGGAAAACTCCTGTCGGGAAAAGGATGGATCCTATGGTAAGAGAAGTTTCTATAGGTAGAGTGGCATTTCCCAACAATGTAGAAATTTACACAACAGAAGTAAAAAGAAGAAAGTACTCTTGAAAAGAGGCAGTGACTTGAGGACAAAGACAGAGGAACAAGACTGCAAACTGGGAACACCTTCAAGGGAACCCTTCTAGGATGATTTAACTTCTTAGGTATCCTTGCTCTAGGAAAATTAGATACAGGTTAAAATTATTTTCTTTTGTGGCAGAGACTGTTAGCTGTCCACCTAGTACTTCCTTTCCATTATACAAATTTCCCTCTGAGAAATGACTGCTCAACCAGGTGTCTCATTTCCAAGCCCCCTTGCATCTAAGTGGGGCCATGTGGAGTGTCGTGTGGAGTCTTCTAGGGCCCCGACTGCCATGGGCATGAAAAGGTCTTTTTCCTTCAAATCCTCTTGCTTCTTCACAGGAAATCTATTCATAATAACATTTCAATCAGCAAGATAATAATAATGATTATGCTAAAATTAATAACTTATAGTTTGCTCACATGCATGATCCACAAACCCTGTAAGGTGGCCATGATATCACCTACTTTTGTCCCCATTTTAGAAAGGAGGAAACCGAGATTCGTGTCTTATCAAAATCTGGTAAGTGTTAGAGCTGTAAGAAGCTAACGCGCCTCTGGATAGATGCTCCCTAAAAGAGAGTTGGTGGGTCTTTCCTAGGGAAATTGCTGTGCTCTGCTCTATGTCACTGCCACTGTCACGGGTACCCAGCTTCCTCACCTTCCGTCCAGTTGCTCCCGTTAGAAATTGCTACCATTTTCACACCCAAATAGGCAAAAGACCAAGAAGGAGACCTTGATTCCAGTGGTTTAATGTTGAATCTCAAAGTGATCATTGAAAATGTAGAAAACAGTTCAAACTAAAGTCAAAATGTTGCGGTAGTGAGCTAAGTCTCTTAACATAGGCATCTTTGTGCATGTCAGTTGTCCAGCTCTAAAAAGTGGAGGCACAGAGTTCCATTGCCTCTAACATTACATTTATTCAATCAGTTGATAGATGCGTTTAGAGCAGTGTCTCTTGATCTTTCATTATTAGACCCCTCTAAAAAGTCTTTTTAGATATTTCCCCCAATATCCCCATGAAAATTTAATGGCATAGATATACTATATATTTATTTATGTACTATGGCCCTTTGAAGGATCACAAACCATTGCCTTAAGTTTTTTTCACATCCTCACCCCCTGAATTAATTTGCACCCCATAAGGGCATTGTCACCTCCTCTCCTGCATTGACATTTCACAGTGTAGAGCATTTGCTTTGAGTGAGGGATATAAAGTGAGGAAATTGACCAGACCCTTGCCCTCAAGAGCATACACTCCAGCATGAAGTGGGCTTTGTCTTACATCATCAACAACCCTAGGAAAGGAGAGAAGCCAGAGGACCTGGGCTAATTTCTGTGTAAACCACCAAAGGTGATTTTAAAACCCTTCTCAATCCAGGAGTTTAGTAGCATTAGGTTGGGTTTCAGTTCTGAGCCATCATCAGTGGGGGCTCTACATACAGAAAAACTGGCAAAGACCTGAGGTCTATGTGGAAATATGGTTGGGAGGCATTCACCACACATTTATGGCATGAAGAATAATTTTTGCTATTAAAAAACTGTTTATAATGAAACACAAGACAGAATGGAACAAATTCCTCCAAAAAACGAAAAATGTTTTTTTTTCAATCACTTCTATTGGAAAACCATTCAGCCGGATTTAAATAGCCAATTCTACTCAAGATAATGTTTCAGTTTCTTTAACAAGGGAAAGAATTTGAAGCCGAAAAGCCAACTGCTACTTCATTTCTTTAATGAAAATCCCCTCGAATGCTATGATCTACTCAATCCTAGGCTCATAGGTTGAGTCACAAAGAAGTAACAAATTCTAAGAAAGGGACTGAGTGGGGAGTAATTCCATTCCACATTAGCACCTTAGAGCAGTACTACTTCAGTGCTTCTGGTGGGCGTGAGGGAGAAAATTAAACATAAGCCACACTCCTTCATTCAGCAAGTATTTATTAAGTGCTACTATGTGCCAGGCACCATGTGAGATGTTTAACAACAACAAAAAGAAGCCCATTAGGGAAAGATTTGGGACTTCTCTAGCATCCAGAGCAAGCTTAGCTTAGTACTTTAAACTTGGGAGTTTCTAAATATATTATTAGAAAATTCTTACATAAAAGCAGGAGACTCAGGTCCTAGATGTACTTCGGAGTTTAGCTGTGTGGCCCTTTGTCAGTTACCTAATGTCTCTTGGGCATGATCTATTCATCTGAAAATTAGGGGACTATTCTAGATAGAGGTTCTCAACTATGGCTGTCACCCAGGGTACTTCAAGGAAATACTGATGCTTGGGGCCCTCCCATCGAAGACCTACTGACTCAGACTCTCTGGAGGTGGGGCTGGAGGGTAGGTATTTTTTAAAAGCTCTCCCAGCTGTACCTCCTTTGATAAAACTAAAGATAAAACCCTAGAAAGAGGCACATCTGAAAACAAGATGGCAGCTCTGACTTCCTGACCACTCCGGCAATTCTCAAAGTAAGAGAAACAGGGCAAGATTTGCCTCCAGTACTTCCTGTTTTAGCATATTTATGCTTTTCTTCCTCCTTTCCCCCATTACCATCTGTTTCCTGATTCCCTTTCTCTCCTGACCCATTCGCTATGGCTTAGCACTTAGTATACTTTTCTTTCTCTTTTGGCAACACGTATGGTAGCATTCATTTGCAGCTAAAAAAGAATTCATCTCCAGAGTTCCTCCTCTCAGGAAAGAAGACATATAACAGTAAAATGAAAGGCTCGATAACACTGAGAACATCATCACAAGCTTCAGGCAAAATAGGTTGAGACACTTCAGGAGCCATACTGAAATCAAACCATGTAGAATACTACCTTCTCTGGCTATGTGTAAGCATCATATGCACTTGATCCCTAGTGGAAAATTAGACAAAAATTCTCCAAGATTTAACCTAAAATGCTAAAAAAAAAAAAAAAAAAAAAGTGGAATGGATTGAGAAGTCTTCTGGTCAAAAACTGCCACCCAGTGTTCAGATACCCAGGCCCATCAGATAATTTACTTGATATTTTCCAATTTGTGGATACGCCTCTTTTAAAAAAATGGAAATTCCATTAAATTAAAATATCTGTTAAATTATTTCCATACATTGAAAACCCCATGTGCCTCTGTAAAGTCCAGTTGTTTTAATTACCTGAAGACACGGACACAGATTTCTAACTTATATCCACAAGAACTTATATTCTTGAACATAGAAGGTATTCAACTAATGTTCCCTTCCTTTTCTTATGAAAGAAGTATATTTTACATTGCTAAAGTAAACACAAGACTTTTTTCTTCACTGACTTTCTTTCAGCCCCCACAAACCAAAAACCCTTCAAGGGAAGACAAGGATTCCTACTCAACTTTTGATTTCTATCACTAAGCAGACTGTTTGTCATTGCAGTGAATGGATCAATTAATGAATGAATGACTCCCTCAAGGAAGACTTCCTAATTTTTTTATTGTATAAACCATCCTTCCTTCTTATTCCCAAAAATATACTTTTTCCCACCACAAGAAGACTTGTACTACTTCAAGATTAAGTAACCCTATGGTCATACCTAAATGCCAACCACGCTATCTGCACTGTGCCCAAATGCCATCCTCCCTGCCCTTCTCAGGTTCCCATGAAGCTGTCACCTATGGTGATGGTGTGGCAGCCTATGATATCATTATAAAGAGCTTTCTACTCTGGGCATCCTATCTGGCCACATGAAAGTTCCCTGTAGTCTCAGTTGAGAGAAGGTTAGTAATTCACTTAGGTCTCATTCACAAAGCTGTTCTTGACTTTTATTCTGAAATAATTATATATTCGCAGGAAGCTGTAGAAATGTACAGAGAGGTCCCACACATTCTTCACCAAATATCCTCCAATTCACCAAACTAGTATGAAGTTGGCAGAATAACTTTTGCTCATGTATGTTTATGTGAAGGAACGGGAAACAGGATGAACAACCATCCTGGTTTGCCCAGAACTGAGGAGGCTCCCAGAATATGGGACTTTCAGTATTAAAATGAGACAGTTCCAAGCAAACTGGGAAGAGGTGATCATACAAACACCATGGAAACATCCATATAAACTTGCTTAGCAAGTCATATTTGCTAGGGATAGAGCTCCATTGCTCTTTTTGGGCCTCCTCTAAAACTTTCTCCTAATGATCTCACTGTACTCCTACCTATTTAATTTCTCCTTCTGTTTGCAGGCCCTGTCCCCTCAATACCTAGATCTATCTTCCCCCCAGAGCCCTGTTTTAGAATTATACTCTCATGCTTTCCTGAGCCCCTCTTTGGCTACCAAAATTTCCATTTGTCCCAGTGCAGTGAAAATAGCCCCGGACAGGGCAGAAGTGACAAAGGTTCTCATCTCTCTTCTACCACCAATTGACTGATTGACTTTGTGCAAACCATCTTCTAGCCCTGGACTTTTTACTCGGAAAATAAGGATGCTGGTCTAAAACAAGCTTTCTCACCCTCGGCACTACTGACATTCGTGACCCAATAATTATTTGTTGTGGGAGCCGTCATGTGTGTTGTTTGTACAACGTGTTAGCAGCGTCCTTGATTTCTGCCCAGTAGATGCCAGGATCATCCCTAAGTTGTGACAAACAAACATGTCCCCAGACATTACCGAATATCACCTGTGGGGTAAAATACCCCTGGTTGAGGACTGGTCTACATTATTTTTAGTCACTTCCAGTTCTAAAAACATTTGATTAAATCAATTCCAAGTAAATTATGCATGATTAATAGTTTCCCCTCAGCTTCCCAAGAATATTTGCATTTTCCAAATAGTACCTATTTGGAAAAAAGTCTAGAAGAATCTTTGGCAAAATATTAAAAGCAGCCCTTTCTATGGTGGGGTCACAGAGGTTTAAATGTTCTTTCATTCCTCCTCCTCCTCCTCCTCCTCCTCCTTTTCATTTTTTGGTTTAATATCTACGTGATTAATCCATTACTTGAGTTCTTTTTTTTAATGGATGTTTAAAATACAAATGAAATCAGTTTGTGCTATTCAAACCCAGCACTAAGAAACATGAGTTTAAACAGAAGATATTACAGTGAAAACAGGGCCTTACAAAGTCACGTCATTTTGAGCTATTTAAACCTTTTCACATAGTTGTATTTATTATATACTATGAAATTCTTATGATGTATTTACACAAATCAGATTGTTTCAGCAAACAACGGGTTTTGAAAATACCTTTCCTACTAAAAGCAACCCAGTTCAGGGCACCTCAGCTGGAATTAACCAAACCTCATCACTTCTCACCTCCCAGAAACAATCAACCTAAGGAGGAATCAGCCTCTGACACTCAGCCTGTCTGGCTGAGAGAGTCTTAGGGGATGAATTCTTGGAAAAACCTAAAAGCACTTTCAAAAGCTTGCGAATTATTCACTCCATACAACATGCTAAATATTTGATTGAACCATATGAAATTGTCAATAGTTGACTGTTTCTAACCTACAAAAATTTAGATTTCATATGATTTCCCCTAGTAATATTCAGGTAATTCATTACTGAATTACCATTCAGTAATGGTCAAATAGGTTAAGAAACCCAACCATCCATTGCAGTTATCCTGCCAGGTGCTTTGACATAGGAAGTTGGCGAAAAGGTAGAGAGAAGGGTATGGAGCCAAGTCTTGCAGGCCTCATGGTCTGACCAGACCCATGATGTCACCAAGAGGAAAAGGCTAAAAAAAATAGTGGCTCTGCCCTGTGCAATGTGCAAGCTCTTGAGGGAAGGGACCGGGTGCTATTATTCAGGTCTGTGTGTCGCACTTTGTGTTTCTCACACTGCTTTATGCACAGCAAGGACCTGAGTGTTACTGTTTAATGGTTATGGGAGTAGGAACATCTAAAGCATATTGCATAATAAAATGATTTATTCTGACCTTCATTCATAGATTCCTTCTTCAAAAGTGTATCTATTACCTAGAATTTGCAAAGAAGAATGCTACACAATGTGGTTGGTTCAATAATTTTGTCCCAGCTTTCACGCAATTTCTAGACTATGCAAATTGGACCTGAAGAAGTGGTTTCAACACTAGAATCCAAGCGAGACATGGTTCCACGTGAATGGCTTTATCATTGAAATAAGTGAACTGGGGAAACGCCTTTGAAGTTATGTTCATGACCCCAGTTCCTCTGACAAACTACAATGCACTGTTAAAATGAAGAAAAAAGTCTCACTGGAAGGGAAAAATATGTTCACTTCATTAATGATTAAATCTTATCCTTAGCAACTTCTTTATGTACTCTCAAAACCATGAATTTGGTCCTATTGTCAAAACTACACATTAGCAGTAAATATTCCACAAATACTTCAATCTACTGAAGTCAAAACTGAAGCCATGAGGGAGGCAAATTATAAATTTTTTGTATTTTTTGGGGGGTGCATTTTCCCTTTTAAAGCATTTATGACTTATGAACAAAATTGACTTGAATCAGGCCTTCCCACTGGTAGAAAGCAAATTAGAGTCATTCCAAATGACCAAAGCTATTAGCTTTGACTTGAGCTCAATAGAATAAATAAGTCATTTTTCAAGGGTGTCTTAGGCCGTTCTTGCTGCTATATAACAAAGCCATAAACTGGGTAGATCACAAACATCAGAAATTGATTTTTCATGGTCCTGTAGGCTGGGAAGTTCAAGATCAAGGTACTAGCAGATTTGGGGTCTGAGGTCCCACTATCTGGTTCATCAATGGCACCTTCTCCATGTGTTCTCACATGGTGGAAGGGGCAAGCAAGCTCTCTGAGGTCTCTTTTATAAGGGCACTAATCCCATTCATGAGGGCTCCACCATCATGACCTAGTCACCTTCCAAAGGCCCCATATCCTATTACCACCACCCTGGGGATTAGAATTTCAACATGTGAATTTTGGGGAGATACAAACATTCAGACCACAGGAAAGGGGAGGCTGGTCTTCCATTTTCTATAAGAATTTCACCAAAATGCTCAAAGTCTGAAAATCTCACATGTTTTGATCATTTTCTTGTTTTGCCCTGACATTTGCATTGTTAATCACTTCCTCAAACATGGTTGACTGGCTTTAAGTGACTGCCAGAATTTGAGCAGGACCATTTATAAGAGGCACAACCACACACCAGCATGTGGTCCTGCTTCTTGGGACCTGCTGACTCTCATAGTTATCATGATGGAAAAACCTCTAGCTGGAGCTCGGTTCCATCCTCTCTTCCTAAGACAGCATGGCCTACCTAGCTTACTTGTTAAAATTCCTCTTTAGGTATCCAAGATCTCCAGAGAAAAAGAAGACTACTGGGGGGTGGTAGGAGGGTCAGGACAGAGCAAAGGTCAAGAGAGCTCACAGCCCACCTTTCTGCCTCCTA